>NC_000002.12:205974466-206277496 GCF_000001405.40 Homo sapiens | reverse complement strand
TAATAATGCTATTTTTAAAAAATGACTATGTTCACCTTCTTATTTCATTCATTTATGTAACATTTAAAATTGCATAAACCTATCCCAGGCAGTGAACAGAGATTTCTGAGCTACCCAGATGACTTAGGCAGAAATGTCTTAAAATACAAATAAAACAGCATTTTGTTTTTGGTTTTTTTTTTTTTAAAGAAATATTTCTTGCACACCTGAGATCTGCACCAGCTGCAGAGGTAAACATGGATAAAAATATTTCTGAAATGAGTCTGGAGTTGTCGTGTGTGTATTTCTCAAACTGAGTGTGGCGTGGCAGTGTGGTAAGAACTAACAAAACCCACAATCCTCATAAAACATATTTTTCAACTGCCTGACAAAAGAGACATCAACTTAATTTGAAAAATAATAATAATAAGGAAAGACAATAGAAAGGCATTTGGTTTTCTGAATAAGACAATCTAAATTTTCCGTCCAGCAGTAGGGAAACAATTGAGGAGCAATGACAAAACAATGGCCGAATGCATAAAAAGACCACACTAATTCAGTGTCAGTTCCTCCACACAACACTACTAATTTTCAATTTTCCCCTTTTCTGGATTATCCACGCTATGCTGGCTTTCCTCTGGTGACAAGCATTATCCTAGACACCTCTATTCAGTCTTAATAAAATAATAATAGCTAATACTTAGTACTTAATCTGAGCCAGGCGCTCTGTCAACAGCTTCCTGTGCATTATCTCATCTAAATAACAAACAGCTTTATAAGGTAGCTGCCATGATTAATTCCCATTTAACAAATCAGGGAACTGAGGTTGAGAGAAAAGAGGTATCTTGTTGCAGGTCTCACACCAATAACCAGCGTAACTGAGATGTGATCACTGGTCAATTTGAGTAGTTTATGCTTTAACCTCTTAACGACTTAGACACTTCCTCTCTGTATTTTTAGGAATACTACTTGTTTTAATATTAGGTGAAAACAAATAATTAGGACTCTTATTTGCTGCAATCAACATCACCACTATTCCAAAGAAAAAATAAAACTAATGTCTAGTTTAATTGCATCTTGCTCATTTGAGTGCTGACAGTACCTTGGATTAGCGACTCTCAAGATTATTTAACATGACACACAGGAACCAATAAATTTTTAATTACAACCGAGCACACACGCACAGGCACATACGCACACTTAAAAGATTTTTCACAAAACAATACTCTCATTACATGTAATGCAGTCTGATATTTTCTATGCGATCTTACTTTTTTTAATGCTAGTCACGACCCACTAAATTTCACAATGCACACGCGCACAGTTAAAATATTTTTCACAAAACAATACTCTCATTACATATAATGCATTCTGATTTTTTTATGCGATCTTATTTTTTTTTAAATGCTAGTCATGACTAAATTAATTTCACCATTCACGAACCGGCTGAAAAAACTCAGTTTGAAAAAACACTGCCTCCAATTATTATGCAGAGTAAACCATATTTTATAGAAACCAGTTCTTACCCTGAATTCAGCTTATTTCTATCCAAATCACTGGCCACTGCAGTGATACTTTATCAACTCTCTAACGAGTTGCTTTCTTGCCTTCTAGGCTTTAGGTTCAAACGATAGAGAAAAGGTCTTCCACGTATTAAGTGAAAAAAGCAAATAAACACCCCTTATGTAACACACGTATATATGTTTGTGTATTAATTAAAAAGGAAGGAAAGATACCCCCCAAATTGTTAGCAGATTCTCTCGAGGATGAGATCGCTACAGGCTGCCTCCATCGTCCCTCCCCCTCCCCACACGTAGCATATTGCTGTAAAAAAGAAAAACAAAAACAAGCTATTTCCTTTAGGTGGGGGTGGGGTTTTGGTCCCTTGAGAACCAGTATCTTGTTATGCATTTTTTTCACGAGCTACCAAGAATCATCGCGTGAGATAATCGCAGGAGCTGGTAAGGCCCTTCTTAGGAGCAAGTAAAAACGATGGCGTAACACGACCACATTTACACAACTGTTGCACGGCGGTAGTAAAAGAATCATTAACACAAAAATCAAACGTTTTCAAATAAACTATAATCGCCCGAGGCTGGGAAAGGCCTAGGTCTGGGGCCAGCTGGACCCAACGCAGGGCACTGGGGGAAGGGGGTGTGTGGACAGGTGGCTCGGGATCTCGGCCCCACAGGTGCCCAGGGGCAAGACTCCGCGGGTTCCCGGCCCTCAATCCGACCCCGCAGACCGCCCCCTCCCCAAGCCCGGACCCGAGGCCTCGTCCGCCGGCCCCTCTGACCCAGGGCCCCGGACAGAAGCGCAATGCAGCCTGCGCCCCACCTCCTTCCCTCGCCCCGCCACCTCGATCCCGGCCCGGAGCCGCCGACACCTCTCACGCAGCAGGGGCAGAAAGGGACGCGGGGTGGGGGGAAGCCGAGGACCTGCGAGGCGGCCGCGGGAGCCCAGCGAGCGGTCCTGGCGTCCCTCGGGAAGAAGGCGCCCCGGGCGCCCGGCGAGCAGGCCCCGCCCGCGGGCGTCGCCCCGGCCGCGCCCCGCCCCCGCCGCGGCACTCACCTCCGCGGAGGCTGCCCGGATTCCTTCCGGGCCGCGGTGGAGACCGAGGACCGAGCCGGGCGCTCTCCCTTCTTATTCCGGTTCCGCGGCGGCGCCCGAATCCCAGACCGTCCGAGCGCCACGGCCCCGCTGCCCGCGGAGCCAGAAATAGGCGACTTCGGCCCCTGCGGTCCGGAGGCGAGAAGCGGCGCGGGAGCGCGTCTCTCAGGACGCGGGCCCCGAGTCGCGACTCCACTCACGCAGGCATCCAAGGCAACGTGGCGTTGCAACCCTGATGGAGGTTTGACGTCAGGGAAGGTGCGAAAACCAGACCCCTTCTGACGCAGGAGCGGCGGGACCGCCCCCTGCCCGCCCACCCACTCACTCACTCTCCCACCCGGGCGGAGGAGCCCCTTCCTCCCCTCCAGAAGCTCTTAAAGCGGACACTTCCTCCCTGGTCAGGGCCCCACTCCGGAGCTTGGGAAATCTATCGCGTTCCAACAAAAATGACTAGACTCATAAGCACAGTTGGGACGCGAAGTAGAGACCAAGGTTTTAGCGTTTGAGGGTCCAAATAAAAACTGCTTGCCAATTCAAAGCAACGTATGAATGTAGAAAAGAAAACGGGGCTAAGAGAGCTAGTCGTTTCCGTTTCCATGCCTATTTCATAGTGAGGTGCATCTCACAAAAGCTGCTGTTCAATGAGCGCTTGCTCTGTGCTAGGCACCGTTTAAGGTTTCTATACATTATTGCATTTCATTTCAGAGTAACTCTGAATGAATCCTATTATTGTCCCCCTTTGACAAATTGAGAAAACTGAGGCTTAAGGAAGTTAGGTATTCAAAGATCTATCCTGCACATTAAAGGGTTACAAATATTAACAAACAACATTAGGTCATGCAATTATATTCACTGCGCTACCCCATTACGAATATAGTTGTGAGCAAAAACAGTTTAAGTGTAACGGAGATCACAAACCTAAATGAATCACACTACTGAATATGAAATTATAATCTGCGATAAGAAGGTTCTGAAACACCTAAACCAATTTTACTAAAATGGAGAGAGGCCCTGTTGCAAAGCTTATGTCTAATGTAAAAATAATCTTAAAATGAGCTACTTTGCTCTTTGGCTGTAGCTGTAATTGTCGTTACCCTTTTTAGTAAGCTTGTGATTTTGTCCCTTTAAAGAACAACAACAAAAAAACTTGCCTATTGCTTTTGCGTCCATTGTTTTTATTCTTTCTGTATTTCTCAGCTCCTTCTTCCCCCACTACATCTTTCTCTCACTTTAAAGTTGGGCTCCTGCAACTGTTCGATTTATAACCTCCCTTAGATTTAACATACCAAAAAGTACGGATTTCTTTTAAGGCAAGTTTTTTCCACATCCCAACTTTGGAATTATAGAAAATCCACTATACATTGATCGAAGCACCATGACATTATGTATTTCACAGATGCTAAGCCATGTTTTTCCCCACATTTTAACATCTGTGAAATCAAGATGCATCTTATAAACTCTCGTTGACCGGGTGGCAGTACAGACCTGGTTGTCATTACCTCCACGTATTACAACGTGGATGTTGCTGTGCAGGTTGTCCTCATTTCAACTGAGATAAGTGCATTGTTTAATAAAACCCATAACCCTAGGAGGAAGGGAATTAACAGACAAAAGTCACTCAAACTTGGAGAGAGATTTTCCTAGGGAAAGAGGGAAGATTTGCCTGGAGAAGATTTTCCTAGGACCAAAAAGAGATTTCCCCAGCATTTAGAAAAGAAAGAGATGGGACTGGCTAAGAACTAGTAGTCTTCTGGGAGCCCTGAGTTACTTACCAAGTACATTCATTCTTGATGGATTTTGGGAACCCATATATGAACAGTTAAATACTAAGCCTACTTGCACCCCCCAAAAATGAAATAACTTCGATATTATTCTTGATAGCCTGATTAGTCAGTTACAACCCCTACAGCTTTTATTCAATAACACCATTGAAGGAGGAAAACAAGTCCTGAATGTTTTGCGTGAAAACACAAAATTGACATATTCAGGTGAGATCAAGAAGGTGCCAGCATCAAAACTTGCAGAATAAGATCAGCTGCTTGGAAGAAAATCCTGCATACAATAGTGCAGCATTCTTCCTTCCTTTCTCTCCCTCTCTGTTTTTTGTTTTTGTTTTTGTTTTTGTTTTGAGACAGGGTCTCCTTCTGTCACCCAGGCTGGAGTTCAGTGGCGCAAACACGGCTCACTGCAGCCTTGACCTCCCAAGCTCAAGCGATCTTCTTGCCTTAGTCTCCAAAGTGGCTGGGACCACAGGCGTGTGCCACCATGCCTGGCTAATTTTTTTACTTTTTGTAGAGATGGGGGTTCTCACTTTTTTGCCCAGGCTGGTCTCGAACTCCTGGCTTCAAGGGATCCTCCCACATTCACCTCCCAAAGTGCTGAGATTACAGATATGAGCTGTAACTGTGCCCAGCTGGAGCATTCTTAAAGTTAGATGCATCACCAACACTTTTGGTGGAAAGCTACAGCCATGGACAACTGATTCAAAAAGTGATTCATAAAAGTTGAGCTCTGGGCTTGGCGCGGTGGCTCACGCCTGTAATCCCAGCACTTTGGGAGCGCGAGGTGGGCGGATCACCTGAGGTCAGGAGTTTGAGACCAGCCTGGCCAACATGGCGAAACTCCATCTCTACTAAAAAAAAACACAAAAATTAGCCAGGCATGGTGGTACATGCCTGTAATCCCAGCTACTGGGGAGGCTGAGGCAGGAGAATCACTTGAACTTGGGAGGCGGAGGTTGCAGTGAGCTGAGACCGTGCCACTGCACTCCAGCCTGGGTAACAGAGTGAGACTTCGTCTCAAAATAAATAAATAAATTAATTAATTAAAAAAATAAATAAAATGAAAGTTGAGTTCCGAATATGAAGTTTCTGAAATACCTAAACCAATTTTACTTATATGTCTCTTTTTATGCATTCACAAGATCAATGCATAATAAATGTGTCAAAGTCTGAGAGTGCTCTTTTACTGAGTATGAAATAAAAATAGGCCAGGTATGGTGGCTCGCACCTGTAGTCCCAGCAATTTGGGAGGCTAAGGCGGGAGGATCGCTTGATCCCAGGAGTTCAAGACCAACTTGGGAAACAGCGAGACCTCATCTCTACAAAAACTACAAAAAAATCAGCCAGGCATGGTGGTGCATGCCTGTAGTCCCAGCTACTCAGGAGGCTGAAGCGGGGGAATCACCTGAGCCCGGGATGTAGAGGCTGCAGCGAGCCGTGATCGCACCACTGCATTCCAGCCTGGACAACAGTGTAAAACCCTGTCTCAAAGAGAAAAAAGAAAAGAAAAAAAGAAAAACACTAAATTACAAGAAATTGTGTTATAGTTTAGTTGGCAAAATTTTTCTTCCAACATGATACTATCATAAAACATCAAAGGGAGTGCCATTCTGCATCAGATCAGCAGTCCGCACAAACCAGATTTCCGTCTACTGGCAATGGGCACGTTTTGTGGGAGAGCTTAGTTATCTATAAGGTTAAGCTCCAAAAGTTGTAATTTCCCCCTCAATTCTTTATTAACCCATTACAGATCTAAACACATTACACATCTAAACATATTTAAAGGACCTTAGAGATCAGGATTGGGTTTGTATGTACTTCATTTCCTCCCCCAACATATTTGGTCCAGGGAGAAAAAAGTGCTGAGTATGTGTTATTTCACATGCTTCCTTCTTTTAAGGAACACCAAAACCTGCTCTTTTGTGTCTAGAAAGCACTCCAATAATGTCTACATTTTGTAAGCCATTTAAGCTAATATTAGGCTAATGTCTTAAGGAAAGGCTATTTGGAAAAAACAAGATCTCATAGCTGGGTCATAAAAGAATTGAGATTTCACCAATTTAGAGTGTGGACTATGTCTTTTCCCAAATTCTATTACTGTGTGCTTCATTCTACCTATTTACAGTCAGGTGAGGTCATTATAAAGCTTTTACCCCGAAGCCTGGCATGTTAGGTCTTTAAAAAGTAAAATGTTTTCTTTAAGCATAAAGGGATTCATGCACATGCCCCATCCAAATCATTATTTTAAAATAATTGTGGGCCGGGCACCGTGGCTCACACCTGTAATCCCAGCACGTTGGGAGGCTGAGGCGGGCGGATCATTTGAGCTCAGGAGTTCAAGACAAGCTTGACCAACATGGTGAAACCCCATCTCTTCTAAAAATAAAAATTTGGCTGGGCATGGCGGCTTGCACCTGTAGTCTCAGCTACTCAGGAGGCTGAGGCAGGAGAATCGTTTGAACCCGGGAGGTGGAGGTTGCAGGCAGCCGAGATCACACCACTGCACTCCAACCTGGAAGACAGAGTGAAGACTCCATCCCAAAAAATAAATAAATAATAAAATCAAATTAAATTACTGTGAATGGTCAGAAAATATCTTCATTTTGTCATGTTGATTCCTCCCTGTAAAACAGATAAAAGTTTCATTTGCAAGGTAGAGGGAAAGATGGTAGTGTTAAATGTCCTCATCTTCCTGGTTGTTGGAACAAAAATGTTGTTGAAGAAAATGCAGGCCGGGCGCAGTAGCTCACGCCTGTAATCCCAGAACTTTGAGAGGCCAAGGCGGGTGGATCACGAGGTCAAGAGATCGAGACCATCCTGGCTAACACGGTGAAACCCCCTCTCTACTAAAAATACAAAAATTAGCTGGGTGTGGTGGCGTGTGCCTGTAGTCCCAGCTACTCGGGAGGCTAAGGCAGAAGAATTGCTTGAACCTGGGAGGCAGAGGTTGCAGTGAGCCGAGATGGTGCTCCTGCACTCCAGCCTGAAGACAGAGTGAGAATCCGTCTCAAGAAAAAAAAAAAAAGGCAGGCTGGGTGCAGACGCTCATGACTACAGTCCCAGTTACTCAGGAGGCTGAGGTGGGAGGATTGCTTGAGCCCAGGAGGTCAAGGCTACAGTGATCTGAGATTGCATCACTGCACTCCAACCTGGGCAACAGAGTGAGACTGTCAAAAAAAAAAAAAAGAAAGAAAGAAAGAAAGAAAAAAGAGAGAGAGAAAGGAAAGGAGGAAGGGAAGGGGAGGGGAGGGGAGGGGAGGGCGCGGTAGCTCATGCCTGTAATCCTAGCACTTTGGGAGGCTGAGGCAGGCGGATCATTTGAGGTCAGGAGTTTGGGACCAGCCTGACCAACATGGTGAAACCCCGTCTCTACTAAAAAATACAAAAAAATTAGCCGGGCTTGGTGGCACGCACCTGTAATCCCAGCTACTCGGGAGGCTGAGGCAGGAGAATCGCTTGAACCCAGGAGGTGGAGGCGGAGGCTGCAGTGAGCCAAGATCTTGCCACTGCACTCCAGCCTGAGCGACAGAGCAAGACTCCGTCAAAAAAAAAAAAAAAAAAAGAAAGAAAGAAAGAAAGAAAGAAAAAGAAACAATGCATGTTAAAGTATATGGCTTTAAGTTGCAGAAGTATACAGTAGGCAGTTGCGGAATGGCAGTATAACTAAGTGTGGGGAGAAGAGTACAAGGGGAAATCGTGCAAATGAGTTATTAATAACTCCTCATCTGTCATGTAGGAATTTAATATATTATATAATGTCTACAGCCAGCAAATCACTGAATAGCAATATAAGCCTTTTTTAATATAAACATACAGATGATCCACCTAGGACAAAATAATTTTTTTAAATAGAGACCGAGTCCCACTCTGTCACCAGGCTGGAATGCAGTGGCATGTAATTCACTGCAGCCTACAACCTGGGCTCAAGCGATCATCCTGCCTCAGACTCCCAAGTAGTTGGGACTACAGGTGCACACCACCACATCAGGCCGATTTTTTTTTTCTTTAGAGATGGGGTCTTGCTATGTGGCTAAGGCTGGTCTCAAACTCGTGGCCTCAAAGGATCCTCCCACCTCGGCCTTCCAAAGCACTGGGATTACAGGTATGAGCCACACCACACCCAGTTCAAAGTAAAATTTTAAAAATAGTTGCTTCTGCTTATCAGGAGTAAATGTGGGCAAAGGAGTTGCAGGGGTAAGAAACTACAAGTATAAAATCATGATAACATTTTCCCCCACATGAATTTAAAATTATGCATAGTGTGATTTTTAACTTCTCAGCTGTAGTCTTTACATTGTATTCTTCCTTCATTCTAGTCTTTTCCACTTTACGTTGTATGGAAACATTTGTAATACACCTCCTTCATACAGGCATAGCTGGGGTGTTTGTTTCCAATAATTCTCTACCAATTGTTGCCATATTCTACTCCTTTCTCTTTTTTCTTTCTCTATTGCTCCTCTTTGTTTTTTACTCACACGTTTTTTTCTCCTCCTTTCTCTTTTCCTGCTAATAGAAACACAATCGGTAGCCCTCAAAGAGTGCTTTTAACATCTGTTGATAATTGGGGCTGAAAATGCTATGAACGTCACACTTGTTTCTTTCTTAAATTCAAAAATCATCCAAAGTTTATGTCCTCTAGAGATTTAACTTTAAAGAAAGAATTACTATTGCCTTTTAGACAACGAGGTCATCAATATGAAAACGATATTACTGGCCGAGCGCAGTGTCTCACACCTGTAATCCCAGTACTTTGGGAGGCTGAGGCGGGCGAATCACCTGAGGTCGGGAGTTCAAGACCAGCCTGACCAACATGGAGAAACCCCGTCTCTACTAAAAATACAAAATTAGCCGGGCGTGGTGGTGCATGCCTGTAATCCCAGCTACTCGAGAGGCTGAGGCAGGAGAATCGCTTGAACCTGGGAGGCAGAGGTTGCTGTGAACCGAGATCGCGCCACTGCACTCCACCCTTGGCAACAAGAGCAAAACACCGTCTCAAAAGAAAAAAAAAAGAAAACTATATTATTGAGCTGTTCTATTTAAACTCAGACATTTTCAGCAGTTAACTTGCAACAATAAAGCAATTTATATTCAAATAGAATAACTCTATAAGGAAGAATTTAGAGGCTGTGAATTCCACAGATACTATTTTTTAAAATTAATTGGTAGTGTTCAAATATTAGGATATGGTAAGGACTCCAGAAAATGTTGTTATGCTAGAGCACTACAAGTCAAATTGGATTAACTGTATGTTCTTATTTTCTGTATTATTGATGCAATTAGGGCCTTTCGGACCTGGGAAACCACCTCTCTCAGGTTTAACTCATTCCCAGAGATAACAAACAGCTTGCCTGCCAGCACGCCTTTGCTATGCAAACCAACGAATCACCTGTCCACCACCCCTAGCCATCTCCTTTTATCAGAACTCTACAGCCTGGGACACTATCCCCTGTCCTATTTACTATAGCGCCAGGTACTAGACCACCAGGGACCCACCCTATAACTCAGAATTCGCTGAAACCATGCAAACTATCTAATCCTAAATTTGCACCACTTGCTTACTTTGTTTTGCCCATTCTTTCCTGAAAATATCATAATAAAGGCTCTGCCAGCAGTTCCCCTCTCTCTACACTTCCTCACCCCAATTTGTCACTTTCCTGTGTGGCCCTGTGTAGTATGCCTGCCTCCCATGTCTTGGGAATTGTGGGTATAATAAAAAATGTGCCGGGCATGGTAGCTCATGCCTGTAATCCCACCACTTTGGGAGGCCGAGGCGGGCAGATCACGAGGTCAGGAGTTTGAGACCAGCCTGGCCAACATGGCAAAACCCCGTCTCTACTAAAACTAAAAAATTAGCCGGGAGTGCGGCACGCGCCTGTAATCCCAGCTACTCGGGAGGCTGAGGCAGGGAGAATTGCTTGAATCCGGGAGGCAGAAGTTGCTAGGAGCTTAGATTGCACCACTGCACTCCAGCTTGGGCAACAGAGCGAGACTCCATCTCAAAAAAAAAAAAAAAAAAAAAAAAAAAAGAAAAGAAAAGAAAAAGAAAAAACAGTATTCCTTTCTGGTGATCATTTGCATGTCTGGTGTATGTGCCTTACTATACCTGCTCAAAAACAAGGCCAGGGTATATTTTTAGAACAGTTAGTACAGCGAGCAAGCTAGGTGGTGTACACCACATGGAGACAATGAGTCTGTAGAGTTCTTAGTAACTGGCCCCAGCAGACGGCAGCCACTGCCTGAGAGGGCACCCCAATGTTGGCACCTCGCTGCTTGCTGGCTACTGCTTGTGTTGTTTTTTAATGGGTATTACCATGATTTTTCAACCTAAAACTGGGGGGCTGGAAAAGCTGAGTTCTCCCTGAGCTGTCCCATAGATTGCGGTGAGGAGCACCACGCTGTGTAGATTACCGTACGGATCACCATGCACAGTGCCAAGCAGCAGAGAAGGAAGAGTGCAGAACCCTTGGCACATGAAAACCCCATCCGAATCCCTGCACTGAGACCTGATCAAACAAGTCTGGCTTCTGGCAGCATAAGGCTGTGTCCCTAGAATGATCCCAGGCCCCTAAATAGTGCCTGCCTGAGAAAGCTAAGTGCTGCCAGGAAAATCTACTATGTGCTCTAGCCAGCACACATCTGATGATAGCTCCTTGACCACACTTTCTTAGGGCACTTACCAAAAAGTCCTCACAATTGTAACTCAGGAGCATCTCTCTCAAGGATCTGAGAGCCATTCCTTCAAAATATAATCATCAAGAAGGATAAGGCCTCCGTCTCCAACTCTCTGTGGGAGGATAGATCCCTAATTCAGATAACTGCCTGCTAGCAGACACAGCTGACCTAATCACGTTTATATTGACCAATGCTTTGTACTCTTTTCTTTGGAGCTTGGAAGTCATTTAATCTGGAAACATTATTCAATATATATGCTTAAATCACAAACAACAGTTCACAAGTGTATATATATTGTTTCCTGGATAACACACTGAAGAGTCAAAAGTGATAAGAAGCACATTTAGAGCAATATCCCTAGAATTAAAATTAATTCTAGAACAATGCCAAAGAGCCAAAATTATATTACTGTGCTTAACAATGCAAAAAGTGTAGGTTTTCTCCATTCAGTTGGGCATTGATTATATATTACCCATATAGTATTTCAATCAGAATCAAAATTTTCAGATGCATTACCACTAATAACGGGAAAAGTTCTTAAACCTTGTTCCCCTCCGGCTCTAAGTTGGTACAAATGTTCTTTCATGTGCTGAGAAATATGGCAAATTCACCCTTCTATGCCAGGTACTGCAATTACTGCTGATGGCTTATCTGATTCTTCCTCGAAGGCTGTTAATAATGATGATTTGTTCGTAGTAGTAATCAAATTCATTCAATGGCCTGAAAGACACTGCTTCCTTCCCTACAAAATTTTTATCGATTAAAAGTGATTCATGATGACTGTGGAAGGTACTTGTACAGTTTCTGTGTCAAACATTCAAGAACAACTATCAGGCATAACGTAACTATCTTTCCCATGTGCAATATATTGTTTATAGCAGCAAGAAGGTAAATTTTTTTCGTATGGTCCTTGAACTTTCACAGTATCTGTTATCTATCATTCAGTGTCCCAGTTCCGCATCTGAATTGAGTCCAAATTCTATTCCAACAACTTGAGAAAAACTCCCACCAAAAGCTGAATATTTGTTAACCTCATTTTCAAGACCTTCAAGCAGCTGTGCCTGTGTTACTCTGACAACTAAAACTGGGGTCCATTATGAGAAGGATAGCCAAAAAATCACGCAAAGCGAAATTTCCCACTGGATGTATTCAATTAGATCTGGAAGTACCTGTATGAAGCAATGCTACATTGGCATGAATAGCTTCCAACGTGGCATTAGTTACCAAATTTCCAACGTTGCTTCGGTTCTTCTTACAGTAATTTCACAGCTATTTAATTCCGTATCAATTGGGTGGAGAACTTCTAACATACACACGTCCAAGAGGTTCAGAAGTAAATCTATCATCAACATTACTGAGAAATCAGATGAAGTGCATTTGTTTCATAGATTCTTCCAAAATATTCACACCGAAATCAAACTTGTGGTTTCCAAAAACTGCAAAATCACCGGGTGCAGTGGCTCACACCTATCATTTTAGCACTTTGGGAGGCTGAGGTGGGAGGAGGATTGCTTGAGGCCAGGAGTTCAAAACTAGCCTGGTCGACATGGTGAGACCTCTGTCTCTATAAAATAAAATAATATAATATAAAACAAAACATTAGTTAGGCGGTGTAGTGCGTGGGTGCCTGTGGTCCTAGCCACTTGAGAGGCTGAGGTGGGAGGATCGCTTGAGCTCAGGAGGCTGAGTAGGTAGTGAGCTGTGTTCCCACCAATGCACTCCAGCCTGGATGACAGAATAAGACCTTGTCTGAAAAAGCAAAACAAAAACTGCAAAAGGTACTTCCGATTCATTAATATAGGAATCGTATGCTTTCCTTTCGTTATGATACTTAAAACTGAGGCATTTAAGCAATCGCCACTAAAAATCAAAAGTGGATTCAGAAAATTGAAGTTTTTCACAGCTGCTGCAAATTTCCGTTTATTAGTTTACTATAAAGGAAACTACCACGTATGTAGATGAACAGCCAAAGGGAAGAGATACACAGGGCAAGTGCGCGGTGGGAGCGGGAAGGTTCCACGTCCTCTCTGGGAGGACACCCTCCAGGAACCTCCACGTGCTTCGCTATCCGGAAGCTCCCCTTTGCACTTTTTCACTTCCCCGACACTTCGGAGCTCCTTTATTCCCGTCTCCCTCATTCTTTCTTTAAAACACCCAAATCACCTCTGCCGAAATCGGAATAAGCTCAGCTCCTTCCCTACTTTCAGTAGTTACTGAATAAAATCTGTTTTTTCACCACTTTAACTCACGTCCAGCTGTGTTTCTGACAATGGTCTGGTAGGCAACTCGGGTCCAGATGGGAACCACCTACCTCCTGCAGTTTGGGTATCCAGTGGAGAATCGGACTTCACATCCAGTGTCTGAACAAGCATTTATTCAGGCACATTGAGGACAGGTTTTCATTCTTTCAATTCTTTTTTTTTTTTTTTCCCTCCGAGGCAGAGTTTCACTCTTGTTGCCCAGGCTGGAGTGCAAGGGCGCGATCTTGGCTCACTGCAACCTCCACCTCCTGGGTTCAAGCAATTCTCCTGCCTCAGCCTCCCAAGTAGCTGGGATTACAGGCATGCGCTACGACGCCCAGCTAATTTTGTATTTTTTTAGTAGAGATGGGGTTTCATCTTGTTAGTCAGGCTGATCTCACACTCCGGACCTCAAGTGATCCACCCGCCTCAGCCTCCCAAAGTGCTGGGATTACAGGCATGAGCCGCCGCGCCCTGCCTGATTCTTAACAATTCTGAGTATACTCTCAGAAGCTGGGTTAGAGTCCCAGGCTTCTTTTGAAAAGTACCTCCTAGGCTGGAAGTTCTTGCTGGCTCCTTGTTCTGATTAGAATTCATTCCCTGACCCCTGGAAAATTTTGTTTCCTGGCTCCTCACGACATCTTTCTATTCTCTCTATTTGAGCCTGTTTCTCTCACAGGAACTTCTCAGTCAACCGAAACCCCTGTTCCTCCAATCCTGCGTCACCACGATGGTCCCAATACTGGCCGGGTTCTTTCTCCGCGGCAGAAGTTTACTGAAGATCTTGAATTACAATGGCCCTCTGGGGCTCCTCGGATATCCCCAAATTAATCCACCTAAAGGGACACCCAGAACAAAAAGGAACAAAATTCTCAGATGCATGATGGTCTGCTTATTTAAGGAAGACGCCAAAAAACAGTGAAATAATTCATACCTCACTCAAACCACTGAGGCTTTTACATCATGCCTTCAGAAACATGTTTTTAACCCAGAAAACCCCATAGCAATTCCATATCCTGCTCCCAGCTCTCTCCTGCATCCTTCTCTCCCAGAATGTCCTCTGCCAACTGAACCTCAATGCCCCTCAACTCCCTGTAACCTTAAGATTCATTGGGCCCTGATCTCCTACAGATGAAGCCAGGGTACAGCAGGCCCCTGTTCCCAAGCTAGACTGAGGAAAGAGACATAATTTAAACTTCGGTCTTGGTCTGATTTATATGCCGTCACCCGTGAAAGGAAAGGAAAAGGAAAATTTACTGAACAATTCAGAATTGTCCTGGGGTCATACTCTCCCTGACTTATAGCAATGTAACCAGCTCTTGGTTGAACCTGGAGATGCCGCCTTTTGGTTTAAAAAAAACCAAATGGACCACCATTTCCGGGGACCTTTTTTCTCAGCCTATCCCTGACCCCTTCTGAAGACTGAAAGAAATAAGAGAGAAACTACTGGGAGGCATCCCTCAGTTCTATCCCCTTTTCTCTTCACAGTTTTGAGTAGCTGACCAAAACCAATCAGCCATATACTCAAAACTGTATACAACAAAGGGATGAAACTGTGGCAAACTATCGTCATCGACTGGAGAAAACAAGGAAGGAGCATTCAGGGTGGGTACTGATTTCCCCAAAAAACCTCTGCTCTGGCCACTAGAACATGATAAATGGTCTCAGGGTGGAGTTCACACATCACAAAAAAATAATATCAATGCCTGGTCGCGGTGGCTCAAGCCTGTAATCCCAGCACTTTGGGAAGCTGAGGTGGGCAGATCATGAGGTCAGGAGATCAAGACCAGCCTGACCAACATGGTGAAACCCCATCTCTACTAAAAATACAAAAATTAGCTGAGCGTGGTGGTGCACGCCTGTAATCCCAGCTACTCAGGCGGCTGAGGCAGGAGAATCACTTGAACCCAGGAGCGGGAGGTTGCAGTGAGCCAACATCGTGCCATTGCACTCCAGCGTGGGTGACAGAGTGAGACTCTGTCTTAAAAAAAAAAAAAAAAGAAAAGAAAAGAAAAGAAAAAATAATATCAACTAGAAAAATGCAGACATGTATGAGCTTCAGACATTAGTCCAACAGTATAAAGGTAGCATTTCCAAAGAATCGGAAAACACAAAGGTTTGTGGCAATGCAATCAATGTAATCACAACAATTAGAAAAACCCTAAGATTTTAACCCATGGGGCAAGCTCCAAAATCATGGGTTCCCAGTGATCTGGAAGCTTGTCAATACTGTAAAGAAAAAGAACACTGGGTCCAGAATTGCCCAGCTCTCAAGAGGAGGGAAAACTTTCAGGGCCCTTCTCTTAGAAAATCACTGACTCCCCTCCGAGGAAGTAAATGTCCAGCACTTTCAACTGCCACCAGACTCAAAGTTGAAAGGCACTTCACCATGTTTTATTTATTTATTTATTTATTTATGAGACAGAGTCTCGTTCTGTCTCCCAGACTGGAGTGCAGTGGCATGATCTCGGCTCACTGCAACCTCCACCTCCTGGGTTCAAGCAATTCTCCTGCCTCAGCCTCCCAAGTAGCTGGCACTACAGTTGCGCGCCACCACAGCCGGCTAATTTTTGTATTTTTAGCAGAGACGGGGTTTCATCATTTTGGCCAGGCCAGTCTCGAACTCCTGACCTTGTGATCCGCCCGCCTCAGCCTCCCAAAGTGCTGGGATTACAGATGTGAGCCACCGCGCCTGGTCCACGTTTCTTATTGATACCAATACCTGGACTGCACAATCATCTACCCTTAACACCACCCACCACCCCGGTTCCTGTGCTCCTTCCTCAGCATTACCAGACTTTTTCAGTAGCAGGTTTTGATCATGTGTCTCACGATTTGCCTTTCTCAACCTCTTAATGTTTTGGGGGGCCTCTTAAAGCTCAGTACAACCTTTTTTCTCAATTATCTCACCCTCGTAAATCTGTTAAGAAGGGATCTTTTCAGGAATTGGAGTATCAAAATTCACTATGCCCACAAGGGACCCCTCTCAAACTCCACCCTCCCCCGCCATGTCTGTCCCCTAATGGCTTTGTCTGACTTCTCTGAGTTCCTCTTCCCCCTTCAACCTAGCAATGCTCTGCTAAGGACTTACATCGACTGTTAGACAAAATCCTTCCTTTGTGGGCAACAAACTCCACTGGTACACGGCCCGCAGAATTCCTTAAGGTGGAAACAGATCTTCCCACGCTCCTCCCCAAACTGCCCAAAATCATTTAAAACCATGGGGACTTGAAGGGCTCCACCCAATAACCCAAGATTTATTAGACAAAAAAAGGCTAATCCCCACTTCTAGCCTAGGCAACACTCCCATTATGGCCACTACAAAGCCAAACGGAAGAGGATTTTCAGCCAGTCCAAGATCTGAGAGCTTTCAATAAAACTGTCAAACCCAGATTTCCCCTGATGCCCAACCCTAATACTATGCTGGCTGTGATCCCTTCCAAAATCTAATATTTCACCTGTCATCAATTTGCGTTCAGATTTTTTCAGCATCCTTTTTCATTAAGATTCCAAGTATTTGTTTTCCTTCACAATCAACAATATATCTGGACAACAATATATCTCGACAGTTATGCCCCAAGGATTTACTGAGGGTCCTATTTAAGGGACTTAAAATATGCAGGAAACTCCACTTTATTTCAATATGTGGATGATGTTCTATCTCCTGCCCGTTATGACAGTGCTCTTCTGAACCCTTAAGGCATTAGCAATAAAGAGCCACCAGGTGGCTAAAGACAAAGTTCTGCATTCAATATCTGGGTCATGATATCTCAGCCACAGGAAAAACTATCTCCACAGACTGGGCTTCTACTATTCAACAGTTTACTCTGCCAGAAACAAAAAGACAATAGAGAGGATTTTGGGGTCAGAAACTGCACGATCTCTCTGTAACTGCCTTGCCCCATATGCCCACCTGGTCGCCCAGGACCCCCTATCCAAAGATGCTTTTGAGAACCTTAAGAGCTCTGTTTTTGATCTGTCTGACTAGCCAGGTGTCCCCTTCCTCCTGAAGCTGTGAGCTCCGTCAAAAAGGACAACCTACTCTGATAGAGGAGGATCACTCTTCGATGGAGGGTATATGAGTAGCTGCACTCCCCTGTTAGAACCTCCAAACAGGCTCTCAAGGGCTCTGTAATTTCACATCCCACCTTGGACTTTCTGATTACTCCCTACTTTCTTCCATGTGGATTTCTCCCTACCTTTTTCCAAGTGGCCAGGCAGCACCGCTTCAAGAAGTCTCTCCGTGCTTGAAGTCTGCAGGCACCAGTACCCTCAGACGCCCTCCCTCCTGCCAAGATGCCCTAGAGCAAGTTCCCCGCAGCTGAAGGGGCAGCGAAGGAAGAGCCGAAGTGAAGACTGGTGAGGTTATCAGCTAAAACCGCCCCTACAAAAGTGAAAACAAATCCAAAACAGGCAGCAGGAAAGGATAAATCTTCACACAAACAAATGAAAAAATGCAAAGAAAAGTATAAGACAAACAGGCCAAAGTAGCTGCCCCAGAAAGTAAAGATTTTCCTGCAGAAAATGGAGAAACTGAAAATAAGGAGAGTCCAGCCTCTGCTGAAGCAGGAGAGAAAGAAGCCAAGTCTGGTTAATATCCTACACCCTTGTCTTATCAGTGGTCCCTGTCTTCCTTCTTGTGCAATTCTGAGAAATATTTTTATCAAATACTATATTTTGTAAACGCACAAGTAGCTCTGTAATTTTTTTTTTTTGAGACAGGGTTTTGCTGTCACCCAGACTGGGGTGCAATGGCATGATTATAGCTCACTGCAGCCTTAATTCCTGGGCTCAAGCGCTCTTCCCACCTCAGCCTCCCAAGTAGCTGGGAGTGCAGGCACGAATCACCATGCCCAGCTATTTATTTATTTTTATTTTTGATGTTTAAAGAGATGGGGGTCTCAACACATTGCCTGGGCTGGTCTCGAACTCCTGGCCTCAAGCAGTCCCCCCATCTCGGCCTCCCAATGTGCTGAGATTAAAGGCATGAGGCACTGCATCCAGCCTATGAATATTTTTAAGAAGGAAGAACTATGATTTTTAAAATGTAAATGCTTTTTTTGTTTGTTTTTGAAACAGGCTTTTGCTCTGTCACCCAGGCTAGAATGCAGTGGCAAGAACAGGGCTCACTGCAGCCTTGACCTCCTGGGATCAAGGAATCCTTCTGCCTCAGGGTCCTGAACAGCTGGGACTACAGGCCTGCGCCACTGTGCCCGGCTAATTTTTTTTATTTTTTGTAGAAACGGGTTTTTTGCCATTTTGCTCAGGCTTTGCCATGTTGCTCAGGCTGGTCTTGAACTCCTGGGCTCAAGCAATCCTCCCACCTCAGCCTCCTAAAATGCTGGGATTACAGGCTTGAGTCACTGCACCTGGCCTAAGTGCTTTATTTATTTATTTATTTATTTATTTATTTATTTATTTTTGAGACAGAGTCTCACTCGGTCGCCCAGGCTGGAGTGCAGTGGCACAATCACTGGAATCTCCACCTCCCAGGTTCAAGTGATTCTCCTGCCTCTGGGACTACAGGCGTGTGCCACCATTCCCCAGCTAATTTTTTTATTTTTAGTAGAGACGGGGTTTCACCGTGTTAGTGAGGATGGTCTTGATCGCCTGACCTCGTGATCTGCCCGCCTCAGCTTCCCAACTAAGTGCTTTTTTTAAAAAAGAGGCAAAATCATATGCTGTTTATTTTTTATACAACCAGAAAACAGTGGGATATAAATTATGGGAGCACTTTACTGTTGTGGGTGTCAACTTAACAAACCGTAGGTGGAGAGGGTAGTTTTATATCCTGTAATACAAAGCTGTAGGGAATTCTTACAATTTTATGTTGCCTGGCATCCACTTTGAATATAAGTTGGACTTTGTCGTATTGAATATAATATAAAATTGGACTTTCTCATACCAGAAGCAGGGCTTAGTCACCCTTGACACTGTTTCCAGTTCTCAACTCTCCACCTCCTCTCAGTTTCTCAAGGTAGATGATCCAGCAATCTACTTCATACACCATCTCCTGGTGACCACCTCCCTAGAGGACAGCTAGGCACAACCTACTAGACTCACCCACTGGCTCCCACACCCTGCATAGACTGCACAGATATGTCACAGTGCCCCCCTCCCAGTCACAGCATGCGTGCCCCCACGGAACTCATGCCTGCTTGCTCTAAACCCCCCACGGGGACCAGGTGCAGTGGCTCACGCCTGTAATCCCAGAACTTTGAAAGACCGAGGTAGGTGGATCACCTGAGGTCAAGGTGTTCGAGACCAGCCTGGCCAACATGGTGAAACCCCACCTCTACTAAAAATACAAAAAATTAGCCAGGCGTGGTGGTGGGCCACCTGTAATCTTAGCTACTCGGGAGGCTGAGGCAGGAGAGTCGCTTGAACTGGGAAGGCAGAGGTTGCAGTAAGCCGAGATCATGCCCCTGCACTCCAGCCTGGGCAACAAAAGCCAAATCCCGTTAAAACAAAACAAAACAAAAAAAAACTCCCCGCAGGAAGCCTGCTTGGGTGACGCCCTGGACCCTTCTAAAGGCTTGGCCCACAGTTCCCCTGCACACTCTTGCTTGCTCCCCGCCCGCTGCCTAAGCGTGCATGTCCCAGATGGCTCCCCGCTTCTCGCTGGCCCTGCAAGACGTGCTGTCCTCTTCTCTCTGGGATCTGTCAGTGACACACTGCTTTTGTTGTTGTTGTTATTTCACGTGTTTCGTTGTGTTACCTCTGCTGTGTCTCACCTGAGCTAAACACTGGAAGCGAACCCTCCTGCCGGTCAGGGCTCTTAGAGGGAGTATTCCGGCTTCAGCGGAATAACCTGGACATAGGTCAGACAAGAGCCACAAGGGCACCTGCCCATATAAACAAGCTTCCTGTGAGAGGGACACCTGGATACAGGCTGGACAATCAGGCATTAGGTCAGGATAAAGAAGTATTCTGTGAAAAACACAATATAAGCATCCTCTTCAGGGCAGCCCCTTCAGGACAGGCTAGACTTCATAGCTACTGTCTGTCTCAGGAGCAAATTAGAGGAAAGATCAAATTAGAGAAAAATACAACTGGCACAGCAAGCAGGGTGTGTGGTCACAACCACAAGGGGCACAACAAAATGCCTTTGACCTGCGTGTGGCTTGCTGTGGCTCTTCCCCCATGGCTAGCACCATGTGGGGAAGCAGAACTGCTTGCTGGAGGGGTGTGCTGCTGCTATGCGGGCTGCATAAAGCCCTCTGTTGTCTGTTGTTCACCGTGTCCGCCCTAAAGCATGAGGTTGCCATTATCAACCTAAGTCCTCCCAAAAAGAGCCATGCGACCAGGCGCCTCTGGTCTAACAAGAATAGACCACATAGCAGCTCCTGATTGACTAAGGTTAAAGACAAGACAGATTAAAGACCAGGTCCTCCCTGCCTCAAGCCAAGGAGAGCTGAAGGGCATGGAACAATTGCAAGATTGCTATCTCCGCCCAAGGTGGGGCTAAATGCTAAAGTGAACCAGGAAAGTAACACCCATAGCAAAGGAGGGAGTCTTCCCTCACCCCTCCCACCCCTGACCTCCTACTACACCGCACCCCCCACCCAACCCCCCAACCCCTGGCCTATGTGTCCTAACCCCAGTGGGAGGAATAATCTCACAACAGGAAACCAATGGCACCACCAAAGGTGAAATACCGCCCAGACCTGGGATCACTAGGTTGGGACCTTACCTTATTTCTTTTGCTCTCTGTCAGAGCTACCGGCTACCACCAGGAGCTTGTCAGGTGAACATCAAAAGACAGAGGGGGAAAAATGGTAGTTGCCTAGAAATAAAAGCCATTCTAAATATTTTACTTTCAAAAGGGGTTGGGGGGGTGCGGGGGGCGGGTGGGCGTGATGGCTCATGCTTGTAGTCCCAGCTACTCGGGTGGCTGAGGCGGGAGGATCGCTTGAACCCAGGAGTTCAAAGCCGCAGTGAGCTATGATTGCACCAGTGTTTTCCAGTCTGGCTGACAAAGCAAGACCCTGTCTCTAAAAAAAAGAAAAAGAAAAAGAAAGAAAAGAAAACCACTCCTTAATCTTTACTCTCCCTGTCAGAATTCTATGCACTCGGCCGGGGTGTGGTAGCTCATGCTTGTAATCCCAGCACTTTGGGAGGCTGAGGCAGGAGGATCATTTGAGGTCAGGAGTTCAAGACCAGCCTGGCCAACATAGTGAAACCCCGTCTGTACTGAAAATACAAAAACTAACCAGGCATGGTGTCACTCACCTGTAATCCCAGCTATTCGAGAGGCTGAGGCAGGAGAATCGCTTGAACCTGGGAGGCAGAGGTTTCAGTGAGCCGAGATCGCGCCACTGCACTCCAGCCTGGATACTTATTGAGATTCTGTCTCAAAAAAAAAAAAAAAAAAAAGGATTATGTGCACTCTGTAATATCTTTGGTTATGGTAGTCCATAACCAAAGTTATTTCCTAATAACTTTGTTAATATGCCGCGGAAGATTGAAAATTTGGGCAGGTAATTTATATGATATTACATTGTAAATTAACAGCTCTTAAGGAAAATTTGCCCCAAGCTTTTAAGCTGGGAAGTCACTGGAATCGTTTTAGAAAAGACCACAACAACATGGCTTTTGAGATTTTCATTCTAGTATGTTAAGAATTGTATTCAAATACAAATGTTTGTGTACTGATCCTCAACACAGCCCATAACATGCCCACTACTAAAGAAAAAAGAAACAAAAATAACAAGTGTTGGCCAGAAAATGGAGAAGCTGGGACCCTTGGGCACTGTTGGTAGGAATGTAAAATAATACAGCCATTATGGAAAACAATATGTAGGGCCCTTAAAAAAAATGAGCCAGTCACAAGAGGACTCCTATGGAGGATCTAAAGGAGTCAAATCACCAGGTGTTGTGGCACACACCTGTAATCCAGCTATTTGAAAGGCTGAGATGGTAGGATTGATTGAGCCCAAGGAGGTGGAGCCTATAATGAGCTGTGATCCCACCCCCACCACTGCATTCCAACCTGGGAGACAGAGTGAGACCCAGTCTCTAAAACAAACAAAAACAAAAACGGCCAGGCACAGTGGCTCATGCCAGTAATCCCAGCCATGAGGGACGATCCCTTGAGGCCAGGAGTTTGAGACCAGCTATGGCAACATAGGGGAACTCTGTCTCTATAAAAGATTTAAAAATTAGCAGGATGTGGTGGTGAGTGCCTGTAGTCCCAGCTACTTGGGAAGCTGATGTAGGAGGATCACTTGAGCCCAAGAGTTCGAGGCTGCAGTGAGCTATGATCACAATACTGCATGTGCACTCCAGCCTGGGTAATAGAGTGAGACCCTGTCTGAAAAAAAAAAAAAGAAAAAGAGAGAGAGAAAGAAAAGAAAGACTAAATAAGGTAGTCAAAATCACAGAAACAGTAGAAAGAGGTTACCAAAGGCCAGAAAGAGGGAAGGAGAATCAGTGTTTGCTGTTTACAGACTTTTAGATTTGCAAGAAGAAAAAGTTCCAGGGATTTGTTGCATAATAATGTGAATATACTTAACATTACATTACTGTACGCTTAAAATGGTAAATATGGTAAATTTAATGTTATGTGTTTATTGCTACAAGTTTTAAAATCTTGAAAAGAGGAGGGAGAACAACGGACAGACTGGTTTCTAGGGCCTTCTCTGTGGGCTCCAAGCTACAGTTCATTATCTTGGAGAAGCAGCAATTTGCTTAGAGAGCATCAGGCCCTAAAACTCATGATTTACTAGCCGGGCGCGGTGGCTCACGCCTGTAATCCCAGCACTTTAGGAGGACAAGGCGGGTGGATCACGAGGTCAGGAGATCAAGACCGTCCTGGCTAACACTGTGAAACCCCATCTCTACTAAAAATACAAAAAATTAGCCGGGCGTGGTTGCAGGTGCCTGTAGTCCCAGCTACTCGGGAGGCTGAGGCAGGAGAATGGCCTGAACCCAGGAGGCGGAGCTTGCAGTGAGCCGAGATCCCGCCACTGCACTCCAGCCTGGGCGACAGAGCGAGACTCCGTCTCAAAAAAAAAAAAAAAAAAAAAAAAAAATCATGATTTACTAAGACTCAGACTCTCCAAAACCAGTCTTTATACAATTGGGGATGCACCCTATAGCGCAGAATCTGCTGAAACAATGCAAACTATCCAATCCTAAATTTGTGCCATTTGCTTACCTTGCTTTGCCCATTCCTTCCTGAGAAATCCACAATAAAGAGTCTGCCAGTGCTTTCCCTCTCTCTACGCCTGCTCATTCTGCTTTGTCACTTCCCTGTGTGGCCCTGTGTGGAGTGACCCCCCTCCCGTGTCTTGGGGACTGTGAGTATAATAAAATATGACTTGTTCGTTGGCAATCATTTGCGTGTCTGTGCATCTTATTATTCCTGCTCAAAACAAGACTGGGGCATATTTTTAGGGCAACTAGAGCAGCAAGCAGGACAGGGACACCAGATGGAGATGATGAGTTCATAGAGTGCTCTGGGCTTAGTAATGCGCCCAGCAGACAGTGGCCACTGCCCAAGAGGGCACCGCCAGTGTTGGCAGCGTGATGGCTACTGCTTGCGTTGTTTTCTATTGGGCATTGCCATGCTGTTGCAGCCTAAAGATGGGGAACTGGAAAAGTTTGAGTCCCCAGGGAGCTACCGTGGAGAGTGCTGCATACGGTAGCGCAGGCGGCTCCAAGTCGTGTAGAGTGCCGCCGGCGGTATTACATGCAATAGAGTGCTGCGAACGGTTCCAAGACAGGAAGACCGGGGTGTGTGGTCCCATAAAGAATTCCAAGACAAAAAAACTGGGACCTGCGTTCACTGAAAGAATCCCAAGATGAAAAGACTGGAGCATATTTTACCCCTAAAGAATTGTAAGACGAGAAGACTGGGGTGTACAGCACCGCAAATGATTCCAAGACAAAAAGAGGGAGAATACAGTACCTCCAAAGATTCCAAGACAAAAAAACTGGGGCAACTGGAAGTAACCAAGATGTCTCTCAAGAGGTGAACATAAATGTTTAAAACTGTGGTACTTTGAAAAAAACAGGGGCATACGGTCTTCCAGATAATTCCAAGATGAACCGGGAGTACCCCAAAGGATTCTAAGATGAAAAGACTGCGGTGCACGGTACTGCAAAGAATCCTGAAACAATCCTGAAACAATAACACTGGGGCATACGATTCCCCAAA
Organism: Homo sapiens; assembly: GCF_000001405.40. NCBI lineage: Eukaryota > Metazoa > Chordata > Mammalia > Primates > Hominidae > Homo > Homo sapiens. The sequence goes on along the minus strand of NC_000002.12, from coordinate 206,253,053 downwards.
GACCCCAAAACGAAACGATTGGGGCATCCATCCCAGAAAACAATTCCAAGACAGATGACTGGGACTTACAGTCCCTGAAATAATTCCAAGATGAAAAGACACTTCCAAGATGACAAGATAATTCCAAGATGACACCGCAAACGATTACGACACAAAAAGATTAGGGAGTCCAGCACTGCAAATGATCCCAGGATGGAAAGGCTGGGGCATGCGATCTCTCAAAAGATTCCAGGATGAAAAGCCTGGGGCATATAGCCCTGCAAATAAGTCCAAGACAAAAAGACTGGGCATAGGGTCTCTGGAAAGATTCCAAGATGGGAAAGACTGGGGCATAATACAGTGTCCCCAAAGATTTGAAGAGTACAGCCCTGCAAGTGATCCCAAGATGGAAACACTGGGGCACACGGTCCCCTAAAGAATTCCAAGATGAAAGAACTGGGGCGTATGACACTACAAATGATTCCAAGACGAAAAGGCTAGGGAATGGCTAGGCACAGTGGCTCACGCCTGTAATCCCAGGACTTTGGGAGGCCTAGGCGGGCGGAACACGAGGTCAGGAGATGGAGACCATCCTGGCTAACACGATGAAACCCCATCTCTACTAAAAATACACAAAATTAGCCGGGCATGGTAGCAGTTGCCTGTAGTTCTAGCTACTCAGGAGGCTGAGGCAGAAGAATCGCTTGAACCCGGGAGGCGGAGGTTGCAGTGAGCCGAGATCACGCCACTGCACTCCAGCCTGGGCGACAGAGCCAGACTCCATTAAAAAAAAAAAAAAAAAAAAAAAGACTAGGGAGTAAAACACTGCAAATGATTCCAAGATAAAAAGACTGGAGTATACGGTTCCCTGAAAAATTCCAAGATGAAAAGACTGTGGTATATAGTCCCCCAAATAATTCCAAGAGAAAAAAAACTAGGAAATACCGCACTGCAAACGATTCCAAAATTAAAAGACTGGGGTGTATGACACTGCAAATGATTCTAAGACAGAAAGACTGGGGCATACTGTCTCCCAAAAGATTCCAAGATGAAAAGACTGGGGTGTACAATGTCACAAAGAATTGTAAGACAAAAAGATTGGGGCATACGGACTCCCAAAAGATTCGTAGATTAAAAGACTGGGGTGTATAGTCCCCCCAAAGAGTTCCAAAATGAAAAGATTGGGCCAGATGGCACTGCAAACGATTCCAAGACAAAAAGATTGGGATATACAATCTCACAAAAGATTCCGAGATGAAAAAACTGGTGAATACAGTCGCCAAAGAATTCCAAAATGAAAAGACTGGGGCATAAGCTGCCCCTAAAGATTCCAAGACAAAAAGTCTGGGTCGTATGGCACTACAAAAGATTCCAAGATGAAAAGACTGGAACATAGCGTTTCCCAAAAGATTTCATGATGAAAACATTGGGGTGTACAGTCCACCAAATAATTCCAAGATAAAAAGACTAGCGCATACAACACTGCAAATGACTCCAAGACAAAAGACTGGGGCATTTGATATCCCAAAATATTCCAAGGTGAAATAACTAGGGCATAGGGCATTGCAAGCGATTCCAAGCCATAAAAACTGGAGCATACAATCTCCCAAAACATTCCAAGATGGAAAGACTGGTGAATACAGTATCCCAAATAATCCCACAACAAAAAGACTGGGGCATACGGTCTCCCAAAAGATTCCAAGATGAAAAACGGGTGCATACGATCCCGCAAAGAATTCCAGGACTAAAAGACCAAGGGTACAGTATCCCAAAGGTTTTCAAGACGAAAAGATTGGGGTGTACAGCACTGCAAACAGTGCCAAGACAAAAGCACTAGGGCAATACGGTCCGCTAAAGGATTCCAAGATGAAAAGATTGGGAGTGCAGTTCCCCAGAGAATTTCAAGACGAAAAATCAGGGAGTACGCTACTGCAAACAATTGCAAGACAAACAGACCGGGACAGTCGAGCGCCGTGGCTCACGCCTGTAATCCCAGCACTTTGGGAGGCCGAGGCGGGCGGATCATGAGGTCAGGAGATGGAAACCATCCTGGCCAACATGGTGAAACCCCATCTCTACTAAAAATACAAAAATCAGCCGGGCATAGTGGCGCGTGCCTGTAATCCCAGCTACTCGGGAAGCTGAGGCAGGAGAATCGCTTGAACCCGGGAGGCGGAGGTTGCGGTGAACCGAGATCGCGCCACTGCACTCCAGCCTGGCGAGAGCGAAACCCCGTCTCAAAAAAAAACAAAAACAAAAACAAAAACAAAAAAACAAAACAAAAAAAACCCGGAGCATACGGTCTCCCAAATGATTCCAAAACAAAATAACTCGGGCGTATGGCCTCCAAAGAATCCCAAGATGAAAACCTAGGGCATCCGGCACCACTAAAGATCCCAAGACAGGCCGGGCGCGGTGGCTCACGCCTGTAATTCCAGCACTTTGGGAGGCCGAGGCGGGCGGATCACCTGAAGTCAGGAATTTGAGACCAGCCTGACCAATATGATGAAACCCTGTCTCTACTAAAAATGCAAAAATTAGCCGGGCATGGTGGCATGCGCCTGTAATCCCAGCTACGCGGAAGGCTGAGGCTGAAGAGTCGCTTGATCCCAGGAGGCGGAAGTTGCAGTGAGCCGAGATCGCGCCATTGCACTCCAACCCGGGCAACAAGAACGAAACTCCGTCTCAAAAAAAAAAAAAAAAAGATCCAAGACGAAAAGACTGAGGCGTATGGTATAGCAAATGATTCCAAGATGAGGAGTGAGGCATAGTGTACTACAAAGAGTCAAACGTGAGTAGAGTGCAGCACAAGGTATGACATACAATAGAGTGCCGAAAAGCGAACACCAACAGTTCCGAGATGCTTAGAGTGCCGCCTACTGTCTCACATAAACATCCAGGCCCCAGGCTGTGCTCGGCGGCTCCCGCCTGGAATCCCAGCACTTCCAAGAGGCCGAGTGGGAGGATCGCTAAAGTCCAGGTGTTTTGAGACCAGCATGGGCAACAAATCGAGACCCCGTCTCTACAAAAAAAAAAAAAAAAAGGAAATTAGCTAGGCATGGTGGTGCGTGCCTTTAATCCTAGCAACTCGAGGATGAGGCAGGACGATCACTCGAGCCCAAGAGCTCAAGGTTACAGCGAGCTATGATTGCACCACTGCACTCCAGCCTGGGTGACCCTGTCTCAAAAGAAAAGAAAAGAAAAGAAAAGCCCGCGGGGCAGGGTGGCCCATGCCTGTAATCCCAGCATTTGGGAGGCTGAGGCAGGAAGATCACTTGAACCCAAGCGTTTGAGACTCACCTGGGCAACATGGCAAGACTTCATCTCTACAAAAAGTCCAAAATTAACTGGGCATGGTAGTGTGCGCCTGTAGTCCCAGCTACTTAGAAGGCTAAGGTGAGGGGATTGCTTGAGCCAGGGAGGTCGAGGCTTCAGTGAGCAGTGATTGCACCACTGCACTGCAGCCTGGGTGACAGAGTGAGACCTTATCTCAAAAAAAAAAAAAAAAAAAATCCCACCTAGAGACAGCATAGAACCTCTGTGCACTTTCCTATGTGGCTTGTCCTATGCATCACTCCCATCTGGCTGCCTCTGAGTTCTAGCCTTTGTAATAAACTGCAAATATAGGGAGTTAACTATTTTCCTGAGTTCTCCAAGCTGACCTAGTAAATGAACGAATGTGAGAAGCAGTCATAGGAACCCTGGATTCCTGTTGGCTATAAGAACAGGTTACAACCCAGCATCTGAAATGGGGGCAGTCTTGACTGAGCCCTTGACCTGTGGTTTCTGTACTATCACCAGATAGAGATAGAGTCAGAATTAAGTTGATTCGTAGGACACTACTTGATGTCCATAGAGACCTGGAAAATTGTTTGCTGTAGGAAAAACTGAATCTTGTGGCAGAAATATTAAGAATACCGTGAAAGTATAGAAAAAAAGTTTGTGGCCGGGCACGATGGCTCACACCTGTAATCCCAACACGTTTCGAGGCTGAGGCAGGCAGATTACTTGAGGTCAGGTGTTCGAGACCAGCCTGGCCAACATGGCAAAACCCCGTCTCTACTACAAATACAAACATTAGCCAGGCATGATGGCACACATCTATAATCCCAGCTACTTGGGAGGTTGATGCACAATAACTGCTTGAACCAGGGAGGCAGAGTTTGCAGGGAGCCCGGATTGTACCACTGCACTCCAACCTGAGCCACAGAGCAAGGCTCTGTCTCAAAAAAAAAAAAAAAAAAAAAAAAAAAGTTTGTTTGTGCCATCATATACACAGTCTCTGGCATATAGTAATCTATTACTATAATTTCCTTTTCTAGCTCCAGTCCCCTCCAATTCCCTATCTTCCCTCTATTTCTAGTGTCCTTCTAGTTTCTATTTTCTTATTCTCAGCCCAACATAGATACTCCAAATATAATACACTGATCACAGGCACGAGAAAAATTTTTTAGCACAATCAGTTCTCATTTCTTTATCTGTGATCTGGGGAAGAAACCCATGAGTAAATCATTCTAGGTTTGCTGTACAAAGGACACAAGATAATGCATGTAAGTGCCTAGCATAGTGTCGGGCTCATAGGAAAAGCTATGCAATAGTAAAAGTGCACAATATCATTGTAATAACCTTACATGATTAATCCTTTTATTAGAATGTATTATGAAATATTTCAAACAACTAACATGACTTTGTTGAAACTTAGCAATTTCTTTTTCTTTTTCTTTCTTTCTTTTTTTTTTCTCTTTTTTTTTTTTTTTTTTTTTGAGACAGAGTTTCGCTCTTGTTGCCCAGGCCGGAGTGCAATGGCACCATCTCGGCTCACCGCAACTTCCACCTCCCAGGTTCAAGCAATTCTCCTGCCTCAGCCTCCTGAGTAGCTGGGGTTACAGACATGCGCCACCACTCCCAGCTAATTTTGTATTTTTAGTAGAGACGGGGTTTCTCCATGTTGGTCAGGCTGGTCTCAAACTCCCAACCTCAGGTGATCCGCCCGCCTCGCCCTCCCAAAGTGCTGCGATTACAGGCGTGAGCCACCGTGCCCGGCGAAACTTAGCAATTTCTTGGGCTTCTAGTAATTTAGTGATCAATGGCTCCAATCAGAGAGTTCATTTGATGATATTATTTTAGATTTATGTTGAGAGTACCGTGAGCAACAAAATAATGGTTTCTTGCTGTAACAGTAAAGCTACACTGTGCTCATATTCCTTCCTTGACAAGTGGGACGTGCTGATCCTGTGATAATTTTCTATTAAAGGAGTTAATTTATTTTGCAGCAAATAATTTGTGGAGATGAGTTCATTTCCTGTGATGAATATCAGTACAACATAACCAGGTTACTTTCTATGATCTCACTGAGCTGCTATAATCCAACTGGCTAAAGAACTCATCAACTGTATACCTCAGCAAGAAAGAAACCCAGCTTTTCCAACGAAATTCTGTTGGGACACTCTCTTAAGTTTGATGAATACGTTATTTACTGATTGCTTGAGAAAAACATAAAAAGGAAGAGATGTGCATGCTGTAGGAAATTACTGAAGAGCAACCCAATCAATATGAGCAGATTCCACTTGCAATACCTAGAAGACAGCCTCTTTTAAAAAATCAACCTTTATTTATTTAAGGCTGAAACAAATGAGTGTGAATATTCCTGTGAATGAACTCTCTGATTGGAGCCATTGATCACTAAATTACTAGAAGCCCAAGAAATTGCTAAATATTTGAATAAAAAGGTAAAATGGCTGAATACTTGCTACAATCATTTTTTTCTCTCTGTTTTTAATACATTTCTGAGGAAATCTCAAAATGCCACTTATATACAATGTTTGGGATATTATAATCCCTCCTACAAGATAAGCTGTTTTCAGTGTGTGCCGAAATTCAGCCCTTCCCATCCAACCTCCAAAAATCCAAAAGGAAGACCACGGAGAAACACTGTATTTATATATGAAGTATCATTCCAGAGCAAGGAGCCCCTCCCAGACAAGAAAGGAAGAACCATTTCATTTTACTATCTTCTAAAATTTTCCCAGCTTCTTTAGTGCATATAAAGAACCATAAATAAGTATGCATGTATATGTGTGTTAATAATGATAAAATCATTCCAGAGGTAGATGATTTTACTTTGTATAATGTTAAAGAAATGAAAGTCTCATTGGGGCAGAATGACAGATAGAAAGGCCATGTTTAATGTTATCAATATAGTTGGGTGATAGAATAAATAATTTATATCAACATGACATTTTCCATATGGTAACCAAAAATTTATTTGACTAAGCTTTTATCTCCTGAACTTGCTGGCGGCTTTGGAATTAAAGAGAAAATCAGCCGGGCACGGTGGCTCACTCCTGTAATCCCAGCACTTTGGGAGGCCAAGGGTGGGGGTGTGGATCACAAGGTCAGGAGTTCAAGACCAGCCTGGCCAAGATGGTGAAACCCTGTCTCTACTAAAAAATACAAAAATTAGCTGGGCGTGGTGGTGGGCGCCTGTAATCCCAGCTACTTGGGAGGCTGAGGCAGGAGAATGGCTTGAACCCGGGAGGCGGAGGTTGTACTGAGCCGAGATTGCACCATTGAGCTTTAGCCTGGGCAACAGAGCAAGACTCTGTCTCAAAAAAAAAAAAAAAAAAAAAAAGAGAGAGAAAATCGCCAGCTCTTCTAAAGGGTAAGTGGTATTTTTAGATGTTACTTCCCTAAATGAACTCTTCCCTGCCTCTACAAACCTATGCCCCAGCCTAAATCAGGGCCCCTGCTCTAAACTTCTCACTTAGAGCAACTATTATTATGTATGGGGAGGCTTATTTCATGAATGTCTGTCTCTGCCACCAGCCTGTGGTTTTGCTTACCTTCATACTCCCAGAGCCTAGCACAGTGCCTGGCAAACAGTAAGGCTCAATAGTATTTATTGAAGGAAAGACTATTCAGTAAGTTTGGATAAAGGCATTCATGTGCCTGGGCATCTTGGCAATAACTACTTTGTGTGAGAACACAAACGTGAACTGGAGAAAAGAATTTAAGTCTTAATTATCATCAAATCTGTTAAATCTATTAGTTCCTGTTTCAGTTCCTCTTTTCTTTTTTTTTTTTTTTTTTTTGAGATGGAGTCTCACTCTGTCACCCAGGCTGGAGTGCAGTGGCGCGATCTCGGCTCACTGCAAGCTCTGCCTCCTGGGTTCATGCCATTCTCCTGTCTCAGCCTCCCGAGTAGCTGGGAGTACAGGCACCTGCCAACTGCCCGCCACCACGCCTGGCTAATTTTTTTGTATTTTTAGTAGAGACGGGGTTTCACTGTGTTAGCCAGGATGGTCTCGATCCCCTGATCTCATGATTCACCTGCCTCGGCCTCCCAAAATGCTGGGATTACAGGCCTGAGCCGGATTACAGGCCTGAGCCACAGCGCCCAGCCCTTTTTTTTTTTTTTTTTTTTTTTAATCAAAAGCGTTAAAAGAATGTTGAGTACCTAGAAAAGCCAGCCCCACTCCTGAGAGGTATGTTCAATCTGTTCAGTCACTTCCTTAGACCAGCACTTTTGATTGATAACAGGTCTCATTTCCAGGGAAAGATGATGAGATTTTTCTCTAAACTACTACGAGGAGTTCACTATAGTTCACTAGAAACCATTGTCACTGTCATGTGTTGCTTATCATTAAAACCAGTTGACCTAACTCCACTCAAAGGAAGCAAGTACCAACCACATCTAATTATGTAAATAGCACTTAACACATACAGTAATACTCAGCATTTCCTGAGTACTTGTTAAGTACAGTACAATGCTAAGCAACTTCATGTGCATTGTCACATTTAACTCTCACAAGAATCCTGGGAGGTACTGTTATTATTTCCACAAGGCTAAAAGAGCTTTGGCCCTTAGCAAAAGTGGTGAAGACCAGACTAAACATCTGGGTTTGTCTGACCTCAGGGCCTTCCTTCTTAACCCCTGTACACACAGTCTCTCTGCGTAATCATCTTTTAAGGTGTTCATCTCCCTTACTAAACTGAGAAAGTCAAGGGCAAGACATATATTTTACTCATCCTTGTATCTCAGCTAGGAGCAGAGTGCTGGAAACATAATAGGTGCTCAGTGAATGTCTAGTGAATGAGGAAGGAAGTGCTTTCTCAATCATCAAAATGATGCTATGTTTAGTAGGGTTTTAATGTTAAATATACTGAACTATACTATGTATAGAAATAAAATATGAAATAAGACAAATTGTATGTAATAAGTCAAATATTACATATATAAATATATATAGCTCTTCTTGAGTTATTTTTTTATTTTTTTGAGACAGGGTCTCACTCTGTCGTCCAGGCTGAGTGTAGTGGCATGATCACAGCTCACTGTAGCCTCAACCTCCTGGGCTCAAGTGATCCTCCCACTTTAGCCTCCCAAGTAGCTAGGACTACAGGCACACACCACCATACCTGGATAGGTTCTGATTTTTTGGAGAGACGAGGTCTCGCTATATTGTCAAGGCTAGTCTTGAACTTCTGGATGTGAGCAATCCTCCTGCCTTGGCCTCACAAAGTGCTGGGCTTACAGGCATGCCATCGCACCTGGTATATATAACTATTTTTATTAAATTAATCCATGTTTTATGTCAAAGCATAAAACACTGCCAGTTTGTTAGGTCAAAAATGGTCAAGATCAAATACCAGCACTTTTACATGGCACAAGCTAATTTTTTTTAAAAGCTCTGTCAACTCTCAGTTATATAATTAAGTAAAATTCTCCAGTGCCAGATTTTTCCACTCAACTAGAGGTTTGTCATTATAAACTGTTAAAGAGAAAGTTTCATAAAAAATTAAGGATATCATATCTATAAACACGTTCTTCCAGGTTGAATAATCTAACTTTCATCCAACTTTGTGTTTTATTATTTTTCATGCCATTAGGGACAATGTGGTACTAACGAAAATTCAAGCAGGCACATATATATTACACATGGCTTGGATTCTCCATCTTTTTCGCTGCCAGATTGCCTATCTCCTTTCAAACTCCTTCTCAATGAAGTCTTTTCTTTTTTAGATTAACTCCACCTTTATCCCATGCCCTAACCCACCCGCAGTGTTCCTCAAGCACTTTCATAATGATGATAGTTCACATGTTTATAGTGATCACCTTTTGTTGAATACTGCTCTCTATTATATCCAATTATGTAAACCATTTGAAATGGAGGAACTATACCCAACTAATTAAGTTATTATACTAGGTGACTGACTGGTTGAGTTGGAAGATTAATTGTTTTTCTTTTTTTGTGTAAAAACAAACATAAAATTAGCACTTCAGAGAGTGACCCTGGATGACATTTTAAACACATGTGAGCTCTGCTTTGCTTCTACACGATACCTGAGGGAGCACTATGACCTCTCCTTATTGAATTCCTTATGCGCTAAACTTTAAACAGATTACTTTCTTGGGCCAGGCACAGTGGCTCATACCTGTAATCCCAGTGCTTTGGGAGGCCAAAGCAGGATGATGGCTTTGGGCCAGGAGCTTAAGACCAGCCTGGGCAACATAGTGAAACCCTGTCTCTATAGAAACATAGCTGGGCATGGCGGCATGTGCCTGTAGTCCAAGCTACTCAGTAGGCTGAGGCTAGGGGATTGCTTGAGCCCAAGAATTCAAGCTGCAGTGAGCCAAGGTCACACTACTGCACTCCAGCCTGGGTGGCAGAGCAAGACCCTGTCTTCATTTCACCTTACTCGAAACTTTGTCATCTAGGGATTGCCAGTGATACCAACAAGGCCTCCTGTTTTTTGGTGTTCCAAGAATACATACTTAATCCACTGGTGGGCCTCTGTGGAATTTTAAAACTCCACTCAATGCAAAGTCCACTTGGGAACTTCCTGGTCCTAGTTGAGTTGAACACAGTTGTATTTATCTGGCCTGGTTAAATTCTGAAATCCTACACGTAGATCAGCAACGCTGGCATTACTGGTTTTAAGAATTAAAGCAAGAGCCTTCATTGCTGATCTGAGTTAGATGTGGATTTCAAAGAGGATAGTAATCGACAGTGTTGTTGAGAATAGCACAGTGAAAAATGTAAAGGTCTACGCAAATATATTTTGCTTGTAACCTGACATTTTCCCTGTTCCCAGTGTGTACAAATGAGGTAGCATTTAGAATTGTAACTCAGGATTGGGGTGTCCTCATTGGCTGGTCCATTGCCCACTGTGTTTGCCCAATAAGTATATCACACTTTCTTATTTGTGAACTGAGATTAGAGGTGACTTCAAGTGACAATATGTTGTGATTCAATAACATCCTTCTAAAAACATGATGTTGACTACTTCAGAATTAATATTAGAACACTTGGAAACATTTCATTCAATAGCTGTGATGGTATTACTTTTTTTTTCTGGAGGCGGAGTCTCGCTCTGTCACCCAGGCTGGAGTGCAATGGCTCGGCTCACTGCAACCTCCACCTCCCGGGTTCAAGCAATTCTCCTGCCTCAGCCTCCTGAGTAGCTGGGATTACAGGCACCTGCCACCACGCCGAGCTAATTTTTGTATTTTTATTAGAGAGGGGGTTTCACTATGTTGGTCAGGCTGGTCTCAAACACCTAACCTCAGGTGATCTACCCACCTCAGCCTCCCAAAGTGCTGGGATTACAGGCATGAGCCACTGTACCCAGCCAGAATTACTTTTTTTTTTTTGAGACGGAGTTTTACCCTTATTGCCCAAGCCAGAGTACAATGGTGCGATCTCAGCTCACTGCAACCTCCGCCTCCCGGGTTCAAGCGATTCTCCTGCCTCAGCCTCCCAAGTAGCTGGGATTACAGGCACGCACCACCACATCTGGCTAATTTTTTTGTATTTTTAGTAGAAACGGGTTTTCACCACGTTAGCCAGGCTGGTCTCAAACTCCTAACCTCAGGTGATCCACCCACCTTGGCCTCCCAAAGTGCTGGGATTACAGGCATGAGCCACAGCACCCAGCCCGGAATTACTACTTTTAAAAATCAAAAGTAACCTTAAGTTGTTTTCATCACCCCTATTTTCGTCCTGCATTACTGTGCCTTCTTTCAGGAAGAAACTAGCCTACAGTATAGTCAGCATATTTTGTGGTCCTACTGACTTGTGAGCTCATGTTCCCAACCATTTGCCAGGTTTAGTTTGTAAGAAGGATGACGAGGAGAAGGTTATAAATAATTGGTTCTGTCCCTGGCTGAAAAGCCATCTGTTTCCCATTTGTGGTTTGGGGTAATTTACTATCTCCAGCGTCCTACCTTTTAGATTAGGTAGAAAGAGAAAGTCCATTCTCAGATCCATTTTTTATAAAGTTAACACCATAACAACAGCTTAGATAAGCTCACTTTACATCCAGTTGTAGTTTAAGCTTCACAATACCCTGGTGTCACTGATTTTGTTGAATTGTATTTGGGTAACAGGTATGGGAAGGCATTGCTAAATTTTATGCAGAATTTGTGCCTTTGAGAAATAGATATTTGCTATTGGTTTATGGTAAGTAATATAAAATATAAAAGTTCTTTTGTTCATGTAAGTTGTGAGCTTATGTGTGATTTTTAACTTTTTTTTTTGAGATGCAGTTTCACTCTTGTGAAACTGGAGACTGGAGTGCAATAGCGCGATCTTGGCTCACCACAACCTCTGCCTCCTGGGTTCGAGCGATTCTCCTGCCTCAGCCTCCCAAGTAGCTGGGATTACAGGCATGTGCCACCACATCTGGCTAATTTTGTATTTTCAGTAGAGACAGGGTTTCTCCATGTTGGTCAGGCTGGTCTCGAACTCCCGACCTCAGGTGATCCACCCACCTCAGCCTCCCAAAGTGCTGGGATTACAGGTGTGAGCCACCGCGCCCAGCTGATTTTTAACATTTTTAAATTTTTAAATAATTTCAGAACTCTCCGATCTGTGTTTAATTTCTTAAGGATATTGTGAAGTTACTTATATATTAAGCCTACACAACTGTTGGAACAAAATACTGTTTCTGCTAGAAAAACTTGTCAATGTTCTAATGATGGGGTCCTGTTCTCCAATATTTGTCTACTGTTTTAAAAACACAGCAAAGAAAAAAAGAAGGAAGGTAGGCAGGCAGGCAGGCAGGGAGAAAGAGAAAAAGAGAAGAAAAAAGAGAAAGAAAAAGACTACATGAAAAGAAGAATGATAGAAATATAATAAAATAAAACTCAGCCTTAGTAAGTCACAAAAGAGATGCTTAATGGAAAAAAAATAAAAAGCAAACCTAGTACTTGCCAGATATTTTCTAAATATTATTTAGTAATGCATACAACAAACCATAAAATGAAAATTATTATTACTATTTTAACTGTGAGTAAATTGAAACTCAGAAAGTTAAGTAGCCAACTCCAGGTCACAAAGAGAGAAAGACACTGGGTAGGAGTCCAGCTTCAGGTGTAAATGACTTCAAAGCTGCCCTACTCTGTGTACCTCAATTAAAGATGACTCAACTCAAGCTTGGGACTAGTGGTGACTCCCAACGTGGAAGGCTGGATGCTTTACTTACATAGCAGAACCCTCCATTTGAGCTACATCTGTCCACTTCTGCTCTGATTCATCCATGCCTGTGCACATCTGGAAGGCCTTGGAGCAGTTCCCGCCAGAAATCTGTTTGCATGAGTCAATGAAGAGCCTCCTGAGAGAAAATTGATCCTAAGGGAGAAAACAGTAGGGACGTTGACATTTGTCCAATTACAAAGTCCTCAGAGTGAAGGAAGGAGCAGAGGAAACTGGTTTTAAACAGTAAGGGGCAAGGCTACATATCAATGCTGGAAGATGCTGGTACACATGCAGCCCAGCTTTCCTATCGTCTCTCTAACAGGGATGTGGGAGGGCAGCAGTCCCCCAATCCCCAAGACGGACCACAGACCAAAGCATTGCTCTGACCCTAGGAAAGGGCCTGTTTATGGGTGACAGGAAGGTTCAGATCCTAGTGGAGGAACCAGCAGTAGTGCCTGGAATAGAGCCCATATCCCAGGCATGGAGGAACAAGAGGAAGTAGTTGCTGGAGGAGGGTTAGAAGTGCTGGACAGAGGCCGGACACAGTGGCTCACACCTGTAATCCCAGCACTTTGAGAGGCTGGGGCAGGTGGATCACTTGAGGCCAGGAGTTCGAGACCAGCCTGGCCAACATGGTGAAACCCCGTCTCTACTAAAAATACAAAAATTAGCCGGGCGTGGTGGTGGGGGCCTGTAATCCCAGCTACTCGGGAGGCTGAGGCAGGAGAATTGCTTGAACCTGGGAGGTGGAGGTTACAGTAAGCTGAGATGGCACCACTGCACTCCAGCCTGGGTGACAGAGTGAGACCCTGTCTCAAAAAAAAAAAAAAAAAAAAGTGCTGGGCAGAAATGGTGGCTCTCAGAGAATATAGCCCAGAGTAGGAAAGGGAGCAAATGGCTAAAGCCATCTTTTAATTAGCCAGTTTGGTGTTAAGGAAATGTAAGCCACCCCTAGTGAGTCCATGAAATGGATCCAGTCTTCTGCTCCACTGGGAGTAGGGGCCAGTAACATCCACACAAAATGCATACATTATCTCATTTAATGCTTACTGCAACCTAATAAAGTCTCAGTGTTGCTACCTCCAATTTATAGTTATTTTTAAAAGAAATGAGGTTCAAAAAGGATTAACAACTTTCTAGACTCACAAAAATAAGTAGTTGTGTTAATAAGAGGTTATGTCAGCAACTTGGCAGTATAAAAAACCCTGAATTATCCTTCCCCCCTCCCCTCCACATACTGATTCAGCAAAAATTCATTGACAAAATCCCTTTGCAAAAGATCAGAAACTACCTGAAAGGCTCCTGCACCCCCAGAAAATGCTACATCAGACTCACTAAAGCCAGTAAGGAGACTAAGGACACTCTCTCACTGGAGACCCTGCCCCTAACCCCATGCTGTATGACCATGAGAAGATCCCCTCACTCCCAAGCTTCCACCAGAGGAGGGGAGAGGTTGGTCTTTGTGTCCAGCACCCCAACTCTTGTGAGAGGACTTCCCCAAACACTAGCTTTTATTTTGCCAGTCCTGGAAGTCTCATGATCAGTTACAGTTTGGATACCGAGGGGAGAATGGAGGTGGAGTCTCTGGCTGATAGGTGCCATTGGCCCTTCCCCTTGCACAACACAGAGCTTGTGGATTAAAAAAACGTCCAGTTCTCAGCTCCCAGGGAAGAGAGAGTTGGCCCAGCAGCCCCGCTTATCAAAAAGAAAAAGATAAAAAGTGTTGACAAGGATGTGGAACTCCTGTACACTGTTGGTAGGAATGCAAAATGATGCAGCCACTATAGAAAACAGTTTGGAGTTTCCTCAAAAAATTAAAAATAGAACTACCATGTGATCTAGCAATCCCACTTGTGGGTACATATCCAAAAGAATTGAAATCAGGATCCCAAAGAGATATCTGTACCCCTGTGTTCATTGCACCATTATTCACAATAGCCAAGATGACTATGGAAACAAACTAAATATCCATTGAAGGATGAGTGAATAAAAAAAATGTGGGGCCAGGTGCGGTGGTTCACGCCTGTAATCCCAGCACTTTGGGAGGCTGGGGTGGATGGATCACCTGAGGACAGGAGTTCGAGGCCAGCCTGGCCAACATGGTGAAACCCTGTCTCTACTAAAAATACAAAAATTAGCCAGGCGTGGTGGCATGCAACTGGAGTCCCAGCTACTAGGGAGGCTGAGGCAGGAGAATCACTGGAACCTGGGAGGCAGAGGTTGCAGTGAGCCGAGGTCGTGCTACTGCACTCCAGCCTGGGTGACAGAGCGAGACTCCATCTCAAAAAAAAAAAAATGTTTTTGACATGTTTAAATGGTTGTTTAAAAAAAAACAAAAACAAATAGCAACAAAAAACAGAAGACTATGTCACAGAGACTGTATATCAGATCAGTGGCCTGTTAGGAACCAGGCTGCATGGCAGGAGGCAAGTGGCAGGCGAGAGAGCATTACCGCCTGAGCTCCGTCTCCTGCCAGATCTATTAGATTCTCATAGGAGTACAAACTCTGTTGTGAACTGCACATACAAGGGATCTAGGTTGTGCACTTCTTATGAGAATCTAATGCCTGATGATCTGAGGTGGAACCGTTTCACCCTGAAACCTTCTGCCCCATACCCTCATCCATGGAAAAATTGTCTTTCACAAAACCAGTCCCTGGTGCCAAAAAGGTTGGGGACCACTGCTATATGTGGTCCACGAAGCCTAAAATCTTTACTATCTGGCCCTTTGCAGAAAGTTTCCCGACCCCTGTTAGATCTTTATGACCAGACATGGAAAGATTTCTAAGCAAAGTTATGGACTAGTATTAGCATATTTATGTTTTTAAAAATTCTTAGATATGTGTATGTACCTCTATGTACATATACAGGCACAGACAAAAGATTGAATCAATAGCCAGTAAACTGCTGTCAGTGACTCCCACTAGGAAGCGATGTGGGAACTAAGTGGGTCGGGATGTTTACTTTTTACTCTACAGATTTGTTCTGTTCTTGTCTTCTACAAAGAGAATATATTCATGTATTACTTTTTTGTTTTGTTTGTTATTGTTGTTTTTGTTTTGAGACAGGGTCTCATTCTGTCACCCAGGCTGGAGTGCAATGGCACGATCACAGCTCACTGCAGCGTTGACCTCCTGGGCTCAAGCAATCCTTCTACCTCAACCTCCCGAGTAGTTGGGACTACAGACGTGCACCACCGTGCCTGGCTAATTTTCATATTTTGTTTGTTTGTTTGTTTGTTTGTTTGTTTTTGTTTGAGATGGAGTTTCACTCTGTTGCCCAGGCTGGAGTGCAGTGGCATGATCTTGGCTCACTGCAACCTCTGCCTCCCAGGTTCAAGCAACTCTCCTGTCTCAGCCTCCCGAGTAGCTGGGACTACAGGCGCATGCCACCACTCCTGGCTAATTTTTGTATTTTTAGTAGAAATTGGGTTTCACCATATTGGTCAAGCTGGTCTTGAACTCCTGACCTCAAGTGATCCACCCACCTCCTCCTCCCAAAGTGCTGGGATTACAGGCGTGAGCCACCACACCTGGCCTTAATTTTTGTATTTTTTATAGAGACAGCATCTTGCTATGGTGCCCAGGCTGGTCTCGAACCCCTGGGCTCAAGCAATCCTCCCACCTCTGCCACCCAAAGTGCTGGGATTACAAGCATGAGCTACCACACCTGGCCTATGTATTACTTCTATAATTAAAAAATAGTAAAAGGGTGCCCGGGAGGTGATGGCCACCCCCCAGCAGTGTCTGGGCTCTCCTGGCAGGTGTGATGCTTCAGTACATCTGTGGTCAGACCATTGTCAAGCTTGTGAGGCCTCCTGTTTAGGTACACAGTATGGAAGGTCGCTATGCCATGGCTCTTTATTCTGCTGCATCGAAACAGAATAAGCTGGAGCAAGTAGAAAAGGAGCTGTTGAGAATAGCACAAATCCTAAAGGAACCCAAAGTGGCTGCTTCTATTTTGAATCCCTGTGTGAAGTGTTCCATTAAAGTGAAAAGCCTAAATGACATCACAGCCAAAGAGACATTCTCTCTCCAACCCTGATCAATTTGCTTGCTCAATATGGTTGCTTAAGCAATACCCAAGGAGTCGTTTCTTCTTTTTCTATCATGATGAGTGTCCACCGTGGAGAGGTACCTTGCACAGGGACCACTGCATCTCCTTTAGAGGAAGCCACACTCTCTGAATTAAAAACAGTCCTGAAGAGCTTCCTAAGTCAAAGCCAAGTATTGAAATTGGAGGGTAAGACTGATCCGTCAATCATGGGTGGAATGATTGTGCGCATTTGAGAGAAATATGTTGACATGTCTGTTAAGACCAAGATTCAGAAGCTGAGCAGGGCTATGCGGGAGGTTGTCTAAAAGTATTGGTTTTCTACCATCACTGAAAATTCTTAAACTTGGAGCAACAATAAAAAGCTTCCAGAGCAGAAAAAATAATAATAAAAATACTACTTGAACAAAATAATAAATAATAATCTTTAGCCCTTCAAATTTCTACTTTTCAGCCAGGCATGGTGGCTCACGCCTGTTTTCCCAGCACTCTGGGAGGCTTGAGGTGGATGGATCACTTAAGGTCAGGAGTTCAAGACCAGCCTTGTCAACATGGTGAAATTCTGTCTCTACTAATAATACTTGGATAAAAATTACTAGAATACACACGGCAGATTAACATTCAGTATCTACCTAATCTCTTTCTAGTGTGCTCTCTTATATTGAAGATGAAAGATCAAAGAAAAAAAATTCTACATATTTCAGACTCCCTTGCAGCTAGGGCTCTGGGTGTGATTTAGGTTTCTTAAATCAGATTATGAGGTAAGAGCCCTCCTTTTTTGTTGTTTCTACATTTACACTTTAAAAATGGTCACAAAGAGGCTGGGCATGGTGGCTCACCCCTATAATTCCAGCCCTTTGGGAGGCTGAGGCAGATGGATCTCTTAAACCCAGAAGTTCAAGACCAACCTGGGCAACATAGCAAAGCCCTGTCTCTACAAAAAATTAAAGAGTTAGCCAGGCATGGTTGTGCACACTTGTAGTCCCAGCTACTTGGAAGGCTGAATTTGGAGCCTGGAGTTCAAGGCTGCAGTGAGTTGTGATTGTGCCATTGAACTCCAGCCTGAGTAAAAGAGCAAGACTCTGTCTCAAAATAATAATTTTTAAAAAATGGTCACAGAGGTGTGTGGTTTCTCTAGGGTAGGATTAGCAGCATTCAGGCACTAGCTCCTCTGTCAAGGAGCAGGCTACAGCAGGTACAGCTCCATTCTAAAGCTGGTCATTGTGGAGACAGGTTTCTACTCATGACGGCTTCCTGATTGGATCAGTGATGGTATGACTTCATGGCCAACAACTGTTACAGCAGCTTCCCCATTCAGCAAATGCCTTCCTGACAAGAGAATATGCAGCAGCTTCCTTGGTGTTCTGATTCTGCAGTGTGGCTTTGAGAATCATTTCTGAATACTCAGCCTAGAATCTTGTTTCTTTAGCCCTTCAAATTTCTACTTTTCGGCCGGGCATGGTGGTTCACGCTTGTAATCCCAGCACTCTGAGAGGCTTGAGGCAGATGGATCATTTGAGGTCAGGAGTTCAAGACTGGCCTTGTCAACACGGTGAAATCCTGTCTCTACTGAAAATACAAAAATTAGCCGGGCATGGTGGTGGGCACCTGTAACCCCAGATATTCAGGAGGCAGAGGCAGAGGCAGGAGAACAGCTTGAACCCAGGAGGCAGAGGTTGCAGTGAGCCCTGATTGTGCCACTATACTCCAGCCTGGGCAACAGAGCGAGACTCCAACTCAAAAAAAAATCAACTTTTCTATAGCTTGAGTAGATTCTGTTCTCTAAAAGTGAACCCCAATCAACACAGCAACCTAAGTCCTGTAACAGAGTTATGAGAGTAAAGAAGGAATTCTAAGGAGGTCACATACATTCTTTCTAATCCTCACAGCAACATAGGAGGTAGGACTCTCATTTTAGAGGAGAGAAAATAAAACACAGGAGATAAAGTTCCTGAATCAGCGTCATATAATTATTAACTAGCAGAACAGGGACTCGAACCTATATCCATCTGAGTATAAAACCCATTTCCATACACACAAAAGCATGGATGTCAACTTGGCAATGCGATCCTCAGGCTCATTATGGAGGTGGTGGTGGTGGGGTTGTTTCTGTTACCATTAAAGTACAAATGCACGCATGTACAGCAACAGGACAGAGGTTAAATGTTGGTAGATTTATGTGACCCAGAGTATTTATCTTTTAAGTATACTCATGGCTTTTAATCTTTGGGGATGGCGGGGGCGGTGATCACAAACCCAACCACTGAGAATCTGATGAAACTACAAATCTTTTCTCCAGAAAAAGTTCACACTCAATTTTAAGGAGTTTATGTACCCAAGTAAATAATACATTCAATAAATGTTATTGAGCTTCACCGAGTCCTAAGGTTGTAATAATTTGTATCATCTTTTTTATTTTTTGAGACAGAATCTCACTGTTGCCCAGGCTGACGTGCAGTGTCGTGATCACGGCTCACTGCAGCCTCAACCTCCTGGCTCAAGCAATCCTCCCACATCAGCCTCCCAAGTAGCTAGGACCAGAGGTGCATGTGTCACAACACTGGGCTAATTTTTTTATTTTTTGTAGAGACGGGGTTTTGCTATGTGCCCAGGCTGGTCTTGAACTCCTGGGCTCAAGTGATCCACCCACCTCAGCCTCCCAAAGTGCTGGGATCACAGGCGTGAGCCACCACACTTGGCCGTTTGCATGATCTTAAAGCAGCTACAAATTTCATTCTTCCAAAGAACTGGTTCACACAATCTTCCTAGTGAACTTTTCTTAACAGATTCATCTGTTCAAATCATTCCCAATTCTAGGCATTATTCAGGGTATCAGAAGCCCTTACCACTGTGTCATTCTCACAGGGTTCCACCCAAGTTCAAATATGACAGAACCTCTAGCCTCACACAGTATCTGCCATCATGTGTTTGCTTTATGGGAAAACATCCCTTTGTGCCTGGTTTGTCCATGAACATATTACTGCGCATTCACTCAGTTAAATTAAACAACTTAAGCCAGGCACAGTGGCTCATGCCTGTAATCCCAGCACTTTGGGAGGCCGAGGCGGGTGGATCACCTGAAGTCAAGTGGATCAGCTGAAGTCAGGAGTTCGAGACCATCCTGGCCAACATGGTGAAACCCCGTCTCTACTAAAAATACAAAAATTAGCTGGGCATGGTTGTGGACCCCTGTAATCCCAGCTACTCAGAGGCTGAGGCAGGAGAGTCACTTGAACCCAGGAGGAGGAGGTTGCAGTGAGCCGAGATCACGCCATTGCACTCCAGCCTGGGCAACAAAGCAAAACTCCATCTGAAAAAAAAAAAAAAAATTAAGCCACTTGATGTAATGCATATTTCCAGGCCACATGAGCCTGGAGGTTAAAAATAATCAAAATAGACATCACCTAAAAGGATAACCTTGATTTCATTCTCATTTATGCTGTAGGAAATCCAACCATCCATCAAATTCCTCCCAAATGGTGCCACTTAGCTCTATTGGGTGCCTCCAATGTACCCTTGAAGCCACCTTCCATGTACCTCACTCAGCACTTAAATCTGGTGCCAGAGCCTCTAAAGCGACCATAATGTTGCAAGACCTGATATTCTCCCTGCTTTTACTCCGTAAATCCCTGTGTCCACCACCCGCTCCAACTGCATCCAAGGAGAAACATATCCTGCCACTGGATGGAAGTAAAACTGCATAAAAGCAAGCTTACTGCAGTCATTTCTGCCTTGCAAGAGACCATAGTCCATGCACAATTCATATCAAGGGGCAGAGAAATTTCTTCACTGCTTCCATCTACTGCAAACAGACACCGGTGGAGGCAAGAGGAAAAGGAAGACTGAAATGTCAAAGACACAGCTCCTCTATGTTGCTAAACTGCGTGATACAGAGAGTAGATGGCATGTTGTTTTCACGGAGATATTCATGAGACTTCAGCTATAAGACCAAAGGCCTGAAAAACTAAGAGAGGGCAGAGAATTTAAACTAGTAGCAACTGAAATACAGAGAGTAGGTGTATTGGTTTAGGTTTTACAAAAAGCAGCTGCTAAGGAAGGGCTTAGGTGTAGGCAGGTTGCCGGGAGGTGTTGCTAGGAAACAGAAGTGAGGGGGTGGGTAAAGTGAGAGACAGGAAAAAGAGAGAAGCCATGAAGGATTTTTGTTTTTCTGTGTTTTTGTAAACTAAATTTTATTTTGTTAATTGACAAATAATAATTGTATATATTTATGGGGTACATAGTGATGTTGCAATACATATGTAGAGTGATTAGATCGGGATAATTAGCATATCCATCATCTCAAACATTTATCATTTCTTTGTGTTGGGAACATTCAATATCTTCCTTCTCACTATTGAAATGACATAATATATTATTGTTAATTATAGCCACCCTACAGTGGCATATGTTAATAAGAACACTGCTGGTGCTGGGACTCTCCGCAGAGCTCTGTAGAACATGCTACACAATCTCCCCACTGTGAGACTGGGAAGCTGGGGTATTTATCTACCTACATATGCTCCCCATCAGCTCTGGGTTGGTATTAGAGCATAAACCCCCCTGTCGCAGGCCCGGTGTCTCAGAATGCCCTTAAGCAGTGACGCACTTAAGGCCCTGAAGTGAGGAATAGTCAGTGTGCCTGATAACCAGCCACCAAAATTGACAGGTGACCTCAGAGAGGGCAGATTGCTTTGTGGTGAGATAGACTCTCCAGGGGAGGTTGAGCAGTGCAGTGATGTGATACCATTTCTGGACTCTAAATATTAAATAAAATCTGCCACATGTATAAACACCTTCCATAAGGGGGTCTTTGAAAGAAAGCAGGAAAGGCTGGGTGCGGTGGCTTCTGCCTATAATCCCAGCACTTTGGGAGGCCGAGGCGGGTGGATCACCTGAGGTTAGGAGTTTAAGACCAGCCTGACCAGGGCCGGGCGCGGTGGCTCATGCCTGTAATCCCAGCACTTTGGGAGGCCGAGGCAGGCGGATCACAAGGTCAGGAGATCGAGGCCATCCTGGCTAACACAGTGAAACCCCGTCTCTACTAAAAATACAAAAAATTAGCCGGGCATCATGGCACATGCCTGTAGTCCCAGCTGTTCGGGAGGCTGAGGCAGGAGAATGGCGTGAACCCGGGAGGCGGAGCTTGCAGTGAGCCGAGATCGCGCCACTGCACTCCGGCCTGGGCAACAGAGCAAGACTCGGTCTCAAAAAAAAAAAAAAAAAAGACCAGCCTGACCAATATGGTGAAACCCCGTCTCTACTAAAAATACAAAAATTAGCTGGGCATGGTGGTGCACGCCTGTAATCCCAGCTACTTGGCAGGCTGAGACAGAAGAATTGCTTGAACCAGGGAGGCAGAGGTTGCAGTGAGCCAAGATTGTGCCACTGCACTCCAGCGACTGCACTTCAGCTGTTTGACACAGTGAGACTCTCAGAAAGAGAAAGAAAGAAAGAAGGAAAGAGAGAGAGAGAGAGAGAGAGAGAGAGGAAGGAAGGGAGGGAGGGAGGGAAGGAAGGAAGAAGGGGAGAGAAATAATCCTGGGAAAGTGCCTGAATTCCTAATGTGGGTAACTGAAGAAGAGAAAAGCCAAGCCGGCTGAGGGGTGGGGTGAAGAGGCCAGTGGGAGCAGAAGCCAGAGGTGACCCTGGGGATAGCCACGGGAAACTGAAAAATCAGGGTGCTCTCAGATGAAGCTTCACAGTAAGGTGTCCTGGTCCCCTTTGTGTCTTACTGAGGTTACCAGCAGAGCAACTCTTTCCATTCTTATTTGATGTTTATTGCCGCTCCTTCTCCTTCCTCCAGGACGCAAGAGTGCAGCCCAGCAAGCTGACACAGAGGGCCATGGGAGTGGCAGACATCCATCACAGCACCCTCACAACCCTGCCCTCTCTTGTCCCCAGTACTTGGCTTCTTGCTATCTTTAAACCAACCTGTGAACTTCAATTATTTTTTTCCCTTTATGTGGTTCCTTTCCATGAGGCTCTTAATTCAAAAACCCAACCCCCTGGGACACATCAGCCTTCCAGATCATGCCCAAGCAAGTCTGAGTCCTAAGATGAACTGGGCTTAGGTTATCCAGCAGGGATCCCTGCTGTGAACCTGCTGCAAGTGTAGAAGGGATCAGCCCCAGGGCAGTTGGCTAATTACTGCCTCATAGAAATATATCACTATGTCAGCAGTTCTGAGAGCACTCTTAGAGACAGACCCTGTGGTGAGCCAGAAAGAGCTGTTTTTCTGTCCACTGGAAAATATTTCTAAGACAAAGCCTGATCCACCAAAGCATTAGCTAGGATTTTAGGCCATGGGCAGATTAATCACATTCCTGCCCAGTGGGGCTCCACTGAGGGAAACCAGGGAGAGCTGCTAAGTGGGTAACTGCAGTGCCTCAATAAATGCACCAGGATTCAGGCAGGCAACAAATCCCAGATCCTGCCTGAAGATGGGGAAGGAGTTCCAATATCCCACCATGCTTGGTCCTCAGAGTTTGCAGACCTAGACTGGGTCAAAGTTTCCAACCATTTTACTTTCCTTACCAGTGTTCTTTGAATACTTACCAAGTCCTCTACAGACTTCCTAAAGTTTGAAGTGTCTCAACCTGCCTCACCCCCCAGCCCCAGCCCCAGCCCCAGCTCTTCTTGCTCTGATTTTAGGGCCCATAGACTGGGCCACCCTCTGCTAGTGCAACCCATTTTGGCAGGGAAGGAAGGGCTGGGTAGCATGATGCTGCCAAAGGGGGATCTATTTTTAACTTCCATTCTTGTGAAAAGATAAGAAAAAAACCTTCTCTGAAAACACAGAAACCTTCTCTGTGGTCCTACCAGAGAAAACAGATGTAGGTACCATTACTATGAGACCCAGATGGAGAACACACAGTTGGTGGCATTAAATTCTCCCTTGGCCACATTGGTAAGGTGTTATTGCAAGTGTATGTCTGACTGAACGCTACTCCAGAATCCATTAGACATCTTCTGTATTTTATTATGTTAAAATGTATCCCTAAATCAAATGGGCTAAGTTATGCTGCAATAACAAACACTTCCAAAATGTCAGTTGCTTAAAACAATAGAGGTTTATTCTCACTCTCCCTACACATCCATCATACCTTGGCTGGAAACTCTGTTCCAAGTTTACTCACTCTGGGACTCAGGGGAAAAGGAGAAGACATTCTCGAGAATATTGCCTGTCTCTCTGGCACAGGAAAAGAGAGAACATGGTGTTGTAGACCAAATTCTGAAAGTTCAAAAAAAAGGCAGGCATTATCCCCCTTCCCTCTCTATAGAATCTCTTCACATTAAAAAAGGTCAGCAAACAAACCTTTCTCAAACCCCTCTAGTTACTATTACTATTATTATTTTTATTAATATCTTTCCAACCTTTTTTTTTTCCCGAGACGAAGTTTCACTCTTGTTTCCCAGGCTGGAGTGCAATGGCACGATCTCGGCTCACCACAACCTCCACCTCCTGGGTTCAAGAGATTCTCCTGCCTCAGCCTCCTGAGTAGCTAGGATTACAGGCATGTGCCACCACACCCGGCTAATTTTTTGTATTTTTAGTAGAGATGGGGTTTCTCCATGTTGGTCAGACTGGTCTTGAATTCCTGACCTCAGGTGATCCGCCCACTTCAGTCTCCCAAAGTGCTGGGATTACAGGCGTAAGCCACCGCACCCAGCCCTTTCCAGCCTTTTAAAAGTAATTTCTCACCCAGGCGCGATGACTCACACCTGTAATCCCAACACTTTGGGAGGCCCAGGCCGGCAGATCACCTGATGTCAGGAGTTTGAGACCAGCCTGGCCAACATGGAGAAACCCCGTCTCTATTAAAAATGCAAAAAATTAGCCAGGTGTGGTGGCGCATGCCTGTAATCCCAGCTACTCAGGAGGCTGAGACAGGAGAATTGCTTAAACCTGGGAGGTGGAGGTTACAGTGAGCTGAGATCGTGCCACTGCACTGCAGCCTGGGCGATAGAGTGAGACCCCTGTCTCAAAAGAAAAAAATAAGTAATTTCTCACTGACTGCACTTGTCCACCCCCTTTCCTCTAACTCTCCCCAAATCATTTGGTCTGCCTTGCTCCTCGACCACCCATCTGTAGATGCTCTTGTAAAGTCACCAATGACTCACCTACTGCTTAAACCAAGGAATACTTTTCCCATTCTACCAGTCATCTCTGAAACATTTCTGCCTGATGGCCATACCTTTCTTTAAATCTTTTTGTTTAGTATTTTAGGACACCAGCATATTTTAAAGACCCAGATATCATATGATTAATAAGCATTTCAGGATGTATTGCTAACTAACAAACTTTTTTAAACATAATCATCTTTCCATTATCACACCTGACAAAATTAACAAGGGATCCTTTACTTACTTCATCTAATACCCAGTGTGTGTTAAAATTTCCCTGATTGTCTCAAAGGCAGCCAGCCTTCAAACAAGGTCTACACATTTTATCTGGTTATAAAGTCCCTTAAATCTCTTTTATTTTATTAGTCCCTCATCTCTCCTTTCATTCTCGTACAATAAATTTGTTGGAGAATCATTTATCCTTTAGAATGTTACAAATTTTAGATGTGGCTGGTTGCTTTCTCATAATGTCATTTAACTCTTCCTCCATCCCCGGCATTTCTGGCAAAATGGTAGTTAGATTTAGAGATTTGATTCTATTTGGTTCAATTTACTTTAGGCAAGAATACTTCATAGGTGATGCTGTGCACTTTCTATTGTATCACATCAAGACGCACGGAATGTCTGGCTGGCCCACATTTAGTGATGTTAAGATCAATCAGTTGGGTTCAGGTAGTAGCCTAATTCTTCATTTGTAAAGTTCCTCCATCAACTTTTAATCTACTTATTTTAGCATCCACTGAAGATGATTGCCTAGATCCATTATATTTTTAGGAGTTGCAAAATGGTGATTTTCTAATCCTTTCATTTTTTTTTCCACCTACAGTTATAAGCTGGATTTTTTATGTAAAGGAAAACTTTCCTTTATTAATAGTTTGGCTATCCTGGGCATAGTATATACAGGAAACACAGGAAAATGCTTAATTCTTTCCTTATTTTCAGGGTAATGACAGTAAATGAGTTATAATGTCCTAATGACCTCCAAATGGTGACCAATTAGTTTTTCCTTCAGTGTCATTATGAACTCATAGATTTTTAATATATTTGATGAGCTGTAGTCATTATTTATCTTGATTTCTGCCCAAAATGTCTATTCTGAGACCAGAGAATGGCCCTTCAAGATGGCTCTTTTATGGCCAGGTGCAGTCGCTCACACCTGCAATCCCAGCACTTTGAGAGGCCGAGGCAGGAGGATCACCTGAGGTCAGGAGTTCAAGACCAGCCTGGCCAACATGGTGAAACCCTGTCTCTACCAAAAATACAAAAATTAGCCAGGCGTGGTGGTGCATGCCTGTAGTCCCAGCTTCTCAGGAGGCTGAAGCAGGAGAATCACTTGGACGCGGGAGGCGGAAGTTGCAGTGAGCCGAGATCACGCCACCACACTCCAGCCTGGGTGACAGAGTGAGACTCCATCTCAAAAAAATAGATGGCTGTTTTATCATTTTGACTTAATTTATAACTTCTTTGTTTTCCAGCTCATATAGGTACTAACCTCATATAGGTAGTGTACATTTCCTATCATTTTTCCAAAGACTTCTGGCAGCTTTGTAAAGAAAATGGATATTTAGAGACTGTAATCTAGGCACAACTGGAGCTCGTCACTTGCTTTTTATTACTTCTAGGTGTTTTGGAGAACAGAGCTAAAATTACATTTTTAAGAGAAAAATATAATTTTGAGTTCATTCTTATACTTCCAATTCAAATTTAAAATTACAATGTTTTAACTTAACCTCCTTGATTCTTTAAATCTTTTTTTATATTTTTTCTTTCTTTTTTTAAATTGTTTTAAATTATTTTATTCATATTTATTTATACATTTCTTTTGGGTTTTGTTACCCATGAATATAAACTTCCTTGATTTTTGTACATTATTTCTCTGCTCTTGTACTGATTACTGAATATCTTCATTCTAAATTATATTTATGTAAGTTTTAATTTCACTTTACTTTTCAATATATCTAGAATATTTTCAGATAATGCCAATATTTCTACTATCAATAAATACTGATTGCAGTTTTGAGTTTCTTTGCCATTCTTTTGTTCTTAAATTATATCTCATAAGGATGTACAGGAAAAATACTGTATTTTAAAGTCACTTGAAATGATTTTTTTCTCTGTATGAATATGCTACCAACTTGACATACAGTTAGGTTCATTAGTTTCAGGTTGTTTTTCATTTTTAAAGACTGCTGTCTTCATTTGATTCTGTTTTATTCATTTAATTAAATAAAAAATATGATTACAAAAACAGAATTATATATTGAGATACATGTTTTTTGGTTTTTGTAGGGACAAGGTCTTGCTCTGTCACTCAGGCTGGAGCACAGTGGCAAAGTCATAGCTTATTACAGGCTCAAACTCCTGGGCTCAAGTGATCCTCCCACCTCAGCTTCCCAAGTAGCTGGGATTACAGGCATGAGCCACGATGCCCAGCTCAAGTTACTTTTTAGATACCTTTTGTTGCAAAGGGAATGGATTGCAGATAGGGACAGCTTTCATCCTTATCTTTTTCACCTTTTATTCTACCCTATTTATAGATAACCATTTTAATATAAGTATATACAGATGTGTGTGTGAGCGCATGTGTATACACACACATATTCACATATAGACACATATGCACACACTTTGTCTTAATCAAACATTAGCATACTATAATACAGTTCTAGACCTTCATCGCACCATCTTGCCATCAGTATTTGATGAGCTCTCCTCTCCCTCTGAAACAAGTGACTAATCACAAAACTGAAAGTTGAAGAGTCTCATTCTAGAGAGGAAAGACCTCTCCTCGAAAATGCGTGGTCAGTGCCTTTCTCAGGGCTGGGCCCTTTATCTCCAAGTGCAACAGCACTTAATCAGTTTGACTCTGCTTTTTCTACCAGCAAGTAATTTCAGTGCCATTTCCATTTTCTGTTCTGGCCAAGAGTGTCCTGCTCTTTGTATTTATCACCCTTATGTGCATTGGTGCCATAATAATTTTGGTTTTGTTTCCAGACAAATTTCCAAAGGTGACATTAACTGCAACTTTTTGATAGCCACAATGACAGGAGAGGAAATAAAATATCAAGTATGCTCTTTTTATTATGCTTTAAAGCACTATAAATTTGTATTCATTGCAGAGGGCTTGTGGGCTGTAGCTAAAGCTATAAGCTTCCAACTCTGTTGCTATCTGACTCTAGAGGATGCAAGAGAGGCTTTTGTTTTTCCATTTCAATATGCTTTATAATTCAACAAAAATTTCTCCTCACGTTGCTTCCTGGATTTCATAAAAACTTAAATGGAAAATATTAAGTAGCTTAATAGCAAAGCACCACGAAGTAGCATGCTTGGAATAACATTTTTAAAATATAGTCTCATTATATTAAATAAGTCTCATTATTGTAATTATGCTGCTACAAGTACAGTGAATGACATATCACGTCATTATTTAATTTTATGGAAAAAGCTTTCTAAATTGTTGACAGATAACACCAGATTCTCTTTTTATTTTGCCTAAATTGCAGCCTGTGCTAAGGTTTTGTCTTTTACTTTAATATTTCTTAAAATGTACTTATCCTTTAGGATACAACTTGATAATACTTTATTTCAGCATAAGATAAACCAGTAATTGCTTGGAAGACAGGTTTGACAGCACTGAAACTTTTGTGTGTGGCAATAAATTTAGTTGTCACTTTTTAAAATGCCTTAAAGAACTCTGTAGAGTATGATATTATGCAGCTATTAAAAGCATGTTTGTGAATAATATGTAATGACACGAAAAAATGCTCATGATGTAAGTAAAATGGGTAGGCTATAAAACTCCATGTATGACCTAATCTCACATAGATATTTTTTAAATATTAAAAATATGCCAAAATGTCAAGACTGGTTTCTCTAAATGGCGGGGGGAGGGTTGAGAATGATTTTTGTCAGTTTCAAAATGAGGTCTCCTTGTGTTGCCCAGGCTGGTCTTGAACTCCTGGACTCAAGTGATTCTCCCACCTCGGCCTCCCAAAGTGCTGGGATTATAGGCGTGAGCCACCATGCCTCGCTGCAACTGTTTTAATTGAAAAAAAAAGGTTTTGGATGGGCACAGTGCTCATGCCTGTAATCCTAGCACTTTGGGAGGCCGAGGTGGGCAGATCACCTGTGGTCAGGAGTTTGAGACCAGCCTGGCCAACGTGGCGAAACCCCGTCTCTACTAAAAATACAAAAATTAGCCAGGCTTGGTGGCAGGTGCCTGTAATCCCAGCTACTTGGGAGGCTTAGGCAGGAAAATCGCTTGAACCCAGGAGGCGGAGGTTGCAGTGAGCCGAGATCGTGCCATTCCACTCCAGCCTGGGCAACAAGAGCAAAACTCTGTCTAAAAAAAAAAAAAAAGAAAAAGAAAAAAAGTTTTTTGTTTTAGGGGGTTTGGGGGTTTTCTTTTCTTTCTTTCTTTCTTTTTTTTTTTTCTTTTTTTTAATGAGACAAGGTATTGCTCTATTACCCAGGCTGGAGTACAGTGGCATGAATACAACTCACTGCATCCTCAACCTCCCAGACTCAAGCACTCCTCCCACCTCAGCCTCCCGAGAAGCTGGGACTACAGCCGTGCACCACCACACCTGGCTACTTATTTGTATTTTTTGTAGAGATGGAGTTTCGCCATGTTGCCCAGGCTGGTCTTTAACTCCTGGACTCAAGTAATTTGCTAGCCTCAGCCTCCCAAAGTGCTAAGATTACAGGCATGAGCCACTGCACTCAACCAAAGTTACTATTTTAAAAGTTCCTTTGAATGAGTGAGTGGCAGGTGCTACAGTGTGACCCTGACTGTAATGCAGTAAAGCCTAAACAAGCTGCTAGCATCTTATTCTATGGATGGTTTCATGCCAAAGATACCAAGCATCTCCAAAGCCTATGGTAAAGACAATGGTCTGGGCTCTTTTCTATCCTTCTTCTTCCAGGAACTCCACCTGTACCTCTGCCACTCCAGGCAAATTAGTCTGTCCTGTCAGGACCTGCTTGGACTGTTCTTTCTATTTACATTGCCACTGTGAGGTTGATTCCCTTCTTCAGGATGGCTGAAAAGATCAGTTGAGATCTCCTTTTGAAAATTCAGGGGGCCAGGCGCAATGGCTCACGCCTGTAATCCCAGCACTTTGGGAGGCTGAGGCGGGTGGATCACCTAAGGTCAGGAGTTCGAGACCAGCCTGGCCAACATGGTGAAACCCTGTCTCTACTAAAAAATACAAAAACTAGCCAGGCGTAGTGGCAGGAGCCTGTAATCCCACCTACTCGGGCGGGAGAATTGCTTGAACCCGACAGGTGGAGGTTGCAGTGAGCCGAGATCGCACCATCACACTCCAGCTTGGGGGACAAGAGCGAGACTTCATCTCAAAAAAAAAAAGGGAGGTAGTCCAGGCACAGTGGCTCATGTCTGTAATCCCAGCACTTTGGGAGGCCGAGGCAGGAGGATCACTTGAGGCCAAGAATTTGAGACCAGCCAGAGCAACATAGCAAGACCCTGCTTCTACAAAAAATTTAAAAATTAGTGAGGTGTGGTGTGACAAGCCTGTAGTCCTAGCTGCTCAGGAGGCCGAGATGGGAGGATCACTTGAGTCCAGGAGCTATAATCACACCACTGTATTCCAGCCTGGGCAACAGAGTGAGACCCTATCTCTAAAAAAAAAAAAGAAAAGAAAAAAATATCAAGGAAGTAGTTGTTTAATAGGTATAAAGTTTTAGATTTTCAAGGTAAAAACATTCTAGGGGTCTGTTTCATGACAATATAAAAGTGAATTACTGAACTGTACACTTAAAAATGGTTAAGGTCCAGGCCAGGCTTGGTGGCTCTCGCCTGTAATCCCAGCACTTCGGGAGGCCAAGGTGGGCAGATCACGAGGTCAAGAGATCGAGACCATCCTGGCCAACATGGTGAAACCCCGTCTCTACTAAAAATACAAAAATTAGCTGGGTGAGGTCGCGCGCGCCTGTAGTCCTAGCTACTCAGGAGGCTGAGGCAGGAGAATCACTTGAACCCAGGAGGTGGAGATTGCAGTGAGCCGAGATTGTGCCACTGCACTCCAGCCTGGGCGACAGAGCGAGACTCCATCCCCACCCCCGTAAAAAAAATGGTTAAGGTCCAGACACATGCCTTACAACTGTAACCCCAGCACTTTGGGAGTCTGATGTGACAGGATCACTTAAGCCCAGGAGGTCAAGGCTGCAGTGAGCCATGATCATGCCACTGCACTCCAGCCTGGGTGACAGGCTGAGATCCTGTCTAAAATAATAATAATAAGAAGTAAATAAAAATAAAAGTGGTCAAGATAAGTCAGGCACAGTGGTGTGTATCTGTATTCCCAGTTACCCAGAAGGCTAAGGCAAGAGGATCACATAAGCCCAGAAGTTTGAGACTATAATGTACTATGATAGCACCTGTGAATAACCACTGCACTTCAGTCTAGGCAAAATAGCAAGACCTCCTCTCTTTTAAAAAATGGTTAAGACAGTAAGATTTATGTGTTTTTTACCACAGTTTTTTTTTAGAAAGAAAAGTTTCTAAAAATTCAGTACAGAGGCTCCAACAGAACAGAAGAAACCCAATGAACCGGGACATACATTGATAAGTTTGTGAAGGGGATCAGAATATGCCACCCCCAAATATACCACTTTGGTATAAGGAATATTTTGAGCTGAAGGCAATTAAGAAATAGTGGACACAGGAAGAACTTTTGCTGTCTTCCTTTCTGCCTAAAACCAGTGCATAAGTTTCCCTTTGTACAGGTAACACAGGTTTCCATTTATAAAGATATGTTTCTCTCTAGTACCAGGAGAGGAGAACAAATTTAACCACCAGACTATCTTATCACTGGAGATGACACTGAATTGAGTCTGCATAACAAACTTGGGAGCTTATTTGGAGGTTCTAAAAGGGGAGCACAGCTACTCTTATACCCTTGACCAAGACCAGTCCTTCTTTATTGGGGATGGTCATCCTCTTCCACCAAGTGTGCACTTCGAGAGGGATGCACATGGAGTGGTGAGGGAGGAAGGGGACACCCGCCTAGACATCCAGATCAGCTGAATCAACCCTGGCAATCAATGGGGTGAGAGATGTCACAACCAGACCGCCCTCACATCCTGCATAACAAACTTTACTTAACAAGCCTTGTCTACTATACATTTCCTAGTCACCTTCCCACAATTTACTGCCCCTAGAAGCCCAAACCACCTCACTTTCCTTTGTCTAGTCACTTCTCTACAATTTATCACCCTTTGTTAAAATGGTATACAAGCTCTGAACTGCTTCTTTGGGTTTTTAATTCTTTTCTGTGAAGCCTCTGTGTGCTCGTGAAATAAATCTTTTTTCTCCTGTTAATCTGTCTTTTGTCAGTTCAGTTTGCAAGCCCCAGCTTCCAAATTTAAGAGGGTACACAGGAACTTTTTCCTCCCCTACATTACTTTGATGTCTCTGTGTACCATTGCAGTGGTGTATCTATGCTGGCATCTATAGTAGATCAATTTTTAGTACTCTCTTTTTCAATATGACCAGAATAATTTCAGTAATATCATGAAATGAAACAAAAACTGCAGATGGTGAGGTGTTTTTTGTTTGTTTGTTTGTTTTAGAGTCTCCTTCTATTGCCCAGACTGGAGTACAGTGGCATGATTGTGGTTCACTGCAGCCTCAATGTCCTGGGCTCCGTCTCACATCTCAGCCTCCCAAGTAGCTTGGACTACATGCATGTGCTGCCACACCTGGCTAATTTTTACAGACAGGGTCTCACTATGTTACCCTGGCTGGTCTTGGACTCCTGCACTCAAGCAATCCTCCTGTCTCAGCCTCCCAAAGTGCTGGGATTTCAAGTGTGAGTCACCACACTGAGGCATGAGCTACCACAGAATTTTTTTTTAATTGAACCTCATAATATATAATTGTGCCAGGAAACTAAATTAAAAATAAATGAGTAATATATATCCACAGTACAAAAAAAGAAAAAATGGACAATGATTTCCTCACAGTTTTTATATCTAACAAATTTGACCATAGAGCTCTTGGTTACAGTATGACATAATAATATTTTATGCAAATAATTGTCCAGCAATTAATAACTAAATTTTAATAAAACTGAAATGTCTGCAGAAGGTACAATTCAGGCAACTAGTAAATCACGTCATTGCCATAATGCCTTTACTTCTTGATTCAGTTTGTAGTTTTAAAACAGAGCATTAAAAAAACTTTAAAAAATTTTTTTCCTTCCTCTTTTTTTTTTTTTTTTTTGAGACAAGGTCTTGCTCTGTCACCCAGGCTCCGGAGTGCAGTGGCATAATCACACCTCACTGCAGTCTCAAAGTCCCGGGGTCAAGTGATCCTCCCACCTCAGCTTCCCAAGTAGCTGGGACTACAGGTACAAGCCACCATGCCCAGCAATTTTTTTTTTTTTTTTTGTAGAGACAGTCTCACTATGTTGTCCAGTCTGGTCTTGAACTATTGGGCTCAAGTGATCCTCCTGCCTCAGCTCCCAAAGTGATCATTTTTTTAAAATAACTTTTAGGCCAGGCATCATGGCTCATGCCTGTAATCCTAGCACTTTGAGAGGCCGAGGCAGGTGAATCATCTGAGATCAGGAGTTCAAGACCAGCCTGGCCAACATGGCAAGACCCTGTCTCTACTAAAAATACAAAAATTAGCTGGGCGTGGTGATGCATCCCTGTAATCCCAGCTACCGGGGAGGCTGAGGCAGGAGAATCACTTGAACCCGGGAGGCGGAAGTTGCAGTGAGCCGAGAGCATGCCACTGCACTCCAGTCTGGGTGACAGAGTGAGACTCCGTCTCAAAAAAAAAAAAAATTAATGTAAAAAATATCCAAATTCAGCCAAAAATTTCATCTATGGACTAAAATTTACAATTGCCAAAGGAAAAAAAAATAGTACACCTTGAAGCACTTTTTGTTTCACTGTTTAAAATTTTAAAAAACTAAAAATTCCAAGAGAGAATATGGAATAAAGAAGTTGAAATGACAAGTTCTGCTTCTTTATTTTGCCATGGTTGTGCTATCATTATGTATTTTAAATCTGTTGTTTGAATGCAGGCACATGTAGATCACAATGGGAAAATGCAAGCTGTGCCAGTGTTTTGGAGCCATTATCAACTTAATCTCAAGAGAAAGCATATCTGAATCAACACATGGCATCGGGGCATCTTTATAATTGGGAGTTTTTTCAGTTATCTTCAATGTAAAATACATTGTCTATTAAAGAGAAGTAACAAAAATTAAAATAAGAATACTTAGCTTTTATGTAAAATACATTGTCTATTTAAAAGTAGATTATACATATTCATAAAACTACAGCTCATTATAATCACAGTAATTGTTCACAACTGAAACCAAAACCAACAAGAGGTCTCTTGAGGGGAGGAGTATTTCATCATTGACTTGAGAATTGCTGGCACATGGTGCCAACAAAAAGCAGAAGGGCTTTAGTTGGTTTTATTATCGTTTTTAAATTCCCTACAGACAGTAGTCCCTTTATTGCCTATACCTAGGTGGACTGCTCCCTACTACACGGCCTTTCGTCATACTTCCATTCCATAGTTAAGCTCAGCAAGGTTGGTTTTGTTAATTCCATAATGCTTTATAATGCATTCAGGTTTTACTAGGGAAACACTGGGGATTCATTTTCTTTTAATGAACAAATCTAAAGCTCCTTATGCAGTAAAAATAAGCACCCAGTGACTTATTCTGCATATTCAATTTTCCTAAATGGAAGAAACTCAATAGGAAAAGAATTAGAAAAAGATACAAAAATTGAAAGTGTAAATTGCTGGAGGATCCAGACAGTGTCCATGAGTGAGGAGGACAGAGGAGAA
Organism: Homo sapiens; assembly: GCF_000001405.40. Taxonomy (NCBI): domain Eukaryota; kingdom Metazoa; phylum Chordata; class Mammalia; order Primates; family Hominidae; genus Homo; species Homo sapiens. Next base: position 206,218,584 of record NC_000002.12, on the reverse strand, counting down.
AGGTGTGGAGCTGGGATGCAATGCCCTGCCAAAAGCGGGCAGGTGGTGCTGGGAGTAAGCCACTACGCAGACACCTCGAACAGTATCCCTGTTGGGACATGGGCCCAGTGTACCCAGATCTGCTAATTTTTTCATGAGGAGCCGATAATCTAGATGGCTAAGATTTCTGACTTCTAAATGTTGGAAATTAATTCAAACTCTAGAAAACACTGCTTCACAAACAAAACACATTCACAGCTGCAGTGAGCCCCCAGGCTACCAATTTCCTAATGAAAAATGCAAAAGTAGCAGCTGAACAAGTTTAAAGAGGTTGAGAAAATATGCTGTCTTATCTGATCCTTTTCCTTTCCTAAAATGTGGCATTTTGGAAAAATCCAGATACACTTACATCATAGCCACAATTATCTGCAGTTTAATGAGAAAAGTAGCATAATTAGAGTAGGTAATTGGGAGTGACCTGAATGTCCACAGCAGCCCTTTCTCTTAAATCAGGGCCAACAATGGTGTCACCCAGATGCTGTTGACTAACTGATGTACAACAGATTTACTTAACCACTGGCAAACCACATTTCCTTTTCCAGGGCAATAACTTAAAATATTATGTATTTCCCTTTGTTGCAAAGAGAGGAAATACTTCTTCCTAGACTCAGGGCAGCTGTGACCCGTCCTCCCAGAGAAATCATTAAACCACAAGGATTCAGACAGAGCCCAGAGCCCTGAAAACTTTGGCCACGCACTTTCCCGCAGCAGCCACAGGCACCGGCAACTTCAGAGAGGTGAGTGCTTGCTTTGCCCCCCAAAGCTTCACACCCCGCGCATGCCTTGTGTCTGAGCCAGTATATTGTAGTTAAGAAAACCAACCTAAAAATGCTTTGTATCTGGATCTCTTTTGAATTCGTATTTGGCATATTAAAAGTGAAGGTTTATTCAAATTAGAGATAAAACAGAAGCTGTTCCCCACATTTCTACAGGTAATTAGAACTTCGGAAATCTTAGTGGAAAAGATGGAGAACTAAGTCCTCCGCAGACTTTCCCACTAAGTATCCTCAAGAATCACTTTCTGCATCGGGCAAAACAGAATTAGAAGCAAGAATCTAGACAAGGCTTCGTCCTCATTTAGAAGCCTTTAAGAATTCTCTGCTTTAAGTGGATGAAAACGTCCCTGTATGGCTGGGTTGCCATGGTTCCTCGCTGTGACCCCCAGGGCTACTGAGCCTGCCATGTGAGTCCATTTCAGTCTCTGGAAAAAGCTTTGTGTGTCTCCAGCCTCACAGTTTAACCAAGTAAGGGCCTCCTAAGTCTAATCTCCAATGTGACTACCCTGAAGAGCCAGCCCTAAGAAAGGCATTTACACAAGATAGTCATCACCCTGTATGACAGGAGGAAAAAAATTGAAGTGTCTTTGTTTTTCATAAATCAGCTTCTTTGTAAGAAAGTGTCCTTTTGTATATCTCTCTTCCAATGCTTTTGTTCCGGATAGATTTTTTTTTTCAAACAACAACAAAAAGATTAGAATGATCACTGACAAAAATTAATATGACTTGATGATATAATATTCTCCCAAATGTCTATTTCTAAAATTTCTATCATCAGAGTTTTTAGATGTTTGGGAGAAATGTGCTATTTAACGTCATGCAAGAAAGAGAAAGAATAATGCTAACCTTAATGATATCAAAAGATGAAAGGCCAAGTTGGCAACCCCAATTTTTCTCATGGGGTTGATGGGAGGGGAGGGGATGACCCACTTAAAATCGCCCAAACCTTTCTCACTATTAAAGCTTCATTAGATTAATATAAATCTTCTCTTTTACAATGTAATATCTTCAAAAGAACAGTTTTCTAATAGTGATAGTTCAAGCATTAGTGGAGAAATGCTATTTGTATGAAATGGGAGATCCTAGTCCCCAGAATAATATGATAGCGGCATTGTGTATCTTCCATCTCTGAGCCCAGTTGGCCCTATAGACCTGCTTGCACACATTCTTCTGTCAAAAACCTGTTGAGACCAGGCATGGTGGCCCATACCTGTAATCCCGGCATTTTGGGAGGCTGAGGCAGGAGGATTACTTGAGCCCAGGAGTTTAAGACCTGCCTGCGCAATACAGTGAGACCCTGTCTCTATTTTTATTTCGAGATGGAGTCTTGCTCTGTCGCCCAGACTGGAGTGCAGTGGCACTATCTTGGCTCACTGCAACCTCCACCTCCTGGTTCAAGCAGGTCTCCTGCCTCAGCCTCCCAAGTAGCTGGGGACTACAGGTGCACGCCACCACTTCTGGCTAATTTTTGTATTTTTAGTAGAGACAGGGTTTCACCATATTGGTCAGGCTGGTCTTGAACTCCAGACCTCAGGTGATCCACCCACCTCCACCTCCCAAAGTGCTAGGATTACAGGCATGAGCCACCGCACCCAGCTCCTGTCTCTATTTTTAAAAATAAAAATAATATGAAAAGAAACCCCTTGAAATACTAGCCATAACAGCCTTCAGAAAATTTGCAAATGGTTTTTTAGAAAGTGGCAAAACTGTCCAGAAATCCTTCTACCTGGCAGAAGTTTTGCTATCCCTTCCCCTCATACACTCAATTCTATAAATATCTCTTCCAATAAGGAGATGGATAGCCCAATGGTTAAGTTTCTTAAGATAATGGTATTTGAAGTCAGAACGTCTGGAGCCAAACCCCAACTCTGCCACTTACACAAAAGGCTCTCTTAATAGATCTCCAATTAACTGACCCACCAGCTTAACCAATGCACCAAACAGCCTGGCTGGTATCTACTATACCCTTAATGCTCAGAGGTGGCAGGTGGCTTATCTCTAGTACACCTGAGCACTTCAGCTACTTTTGCATAACAGATCAACTGCAAGTCATGCCTTAGGGTGTCAAAGGGAAGCTCTTCAAACATACCTCAAACTATAAGGCACATTTGCAGAGATATTTTATTTATTATTCCTTTTATTTATTGTTTCTTAGACTAATTTCAAAGCTAAGCAAGCATATGTTTTAATTGTTTTAGGTGGTGGCTAAAACATAAAAATGCTTACACTTTCCTGGGTTTCAGTGTGTACTGTGCTTAAACTATGCGTGGCACATAGGACAATCCTTGATCAATGTCATTTCTCTTGTCGCTTTTCATATTCTTTGCTACTCAATGGTTCCTGCTCTATAGCCAAAAATAAACTCATGTAAAGTAACCAAAACTTCCTGAGATTCTCCTCAATAATGGCTTTTACAGATGAAATTGTGATTTTGTGGATTACAGAACATAGTATAGACTATAGTAAATACTAATACTGCTAACGCAAAGGAATGGAAACTAGCAGAGCTCTACTAAGTACCCCCTTCACTGACGACATCTATTCATCCGGTCTCACAAAACACTGAAAAATATGCCAAGATTGAATCAAGGGATTGCGGGTAGGTGTGGAAGCCTATACATTCTTATAGGGCAGAGGGATATTTGTAGTTTGAAAAAGTGCACCCCCTACCCCCGACCTCCACCGTGAGAATTCCTGCTTTAGATTTCCTAGACTTGGTCTTTAACAGCGGAAAAAAACAAAATCCTGTGCTTCTCTGGCAGCTGACCTTTCATGGCCTAACAATGTGCAATTTCAGGTATCACATGGTTGAGCTGAAGTTAGACCATACAAAAATAAAGATAGCGGCCAGGTGTGGTGGCTCACACCTGTAATCCCAGCACTTTGGGAGGCCGAGGCGGGCGGATCACGAGGTCAGGAGATCGAGACCATCCTGGCTAACATGGTGAAACCCCGTCTCTACTAAAATACAAAAAAAAATTAGCCGGGCGTGGTGGCGGGCGCCTGCAGTCCCAGCTACTCGGGAGGCTAAGGCAGGAGAATGGCGTTAACCCAGAAGGCGGAGCTTGCAGTGAGCCGAGATCGTGCCACTGCACTCCATCCTGGGCAACAGAGCGAGACTCCGTCTCAAAAAAAAATAATAATAAAAAATAAAATTAAAAAAATAAAGATAGCTAGCCGTCAGAGGTAAGCTCACCACATCAAGGCATGCCTACCTTCAAGCTCCATGCTTCTCATCCCTTGAATTTATGAATTCTGAGTCCTGCCTCAGGTACACAGATGTGCCCACATCTGCCAGGCCCACAAATGGTGACCAGGGATAAAAATCAAACCTTTAGGCCGGGCACTTTGGGAGACCGAGGTGGGTCAGAAATTCGAGACCAGCCTGGCCAATGTGGTGAAACCCCGTCTCTAATAAAAATACAGAAAAATTAGCTGGGCATGGTGGCGCATGCCTGTAATCCCAGCTACTTGGGAGGCTGACGCAGGATAATTCCTTGAACACGGGAGGCGGAGGTTGCAGTGAACCGTGATCACACCACTGCACTCCAGCCTGGGCAACAGCGAGACTCCGTCTCAAAAAAAAAAAAAAAAAAAAAAAAAATCAAGTCTTTAAGGCCAGGCGTGGTGGTTCATGCCTGTAATCCCAGCACTTTGGGAGACTGAGGCGGGTGGATCACCTGAGGTCAGGAATTCAAGACTAGCCGGGCCAACGTGGTGAAACCCCGTATCTACTAAAAATACAAAAATTAACCGGGCGTGGTGGTAGGTGCCTGTAGTCTCAGCTACTCCAGAGGCTGAGGCAGGAGAATCACTTGAACCTGGGAGGCGGAGGTTGCAGTGAGCCGAGATTGTGCCATTGCACTCCAGCCTGGGCGACAGAGCGAGACTCCGACTCAAAAAAAATAAATAAAAATAAATAAACGTTAAAATTCACACTTAACCAATATGTGATTCCATCTCTTCACTATCAGGACACACTGAATCACAGAAAGTAAAATCTCCTGATGAGCCTTATACCATGCATTCGAAGAACATTCCATCTCTGCTAATTTAACTTGCCTTTTCATAAGCAAAAGCCTACCCAGACAAAGGAGGGCTGGGTGACCCCCATCCATTACCGATTTTCAGTCTGCAGCAGAACAGCTAGTAGCAGTGGTTTCCATTCAAAAAACAAACTTCTTACACAAACATAGGCTGGTCGAAAGAATTAATTTGTACAGTATGTTCATTGCTTACTTTTCTCCAGGATTGCATGATGAATTTTTATGGAGGGGGGTGGGGGAAGGGAAGAACCACATTCAAAACCCAACATCATTCTTCTCTACACTGTCATTTCAAAAGCCAGATAAAAGTGGAATGAGGAATGCAGCCGTTCTGAACACCACCCTCCATTTCATTCTGGAACCGGGAAGGTACACCCAGGCATGACAATAGCTTCTCTCCTCACAGAAATTTAACTGGTAAGTGCTTTCCTGTTTGTTTTCCTCAAACTGACACATTTACAGTGGACCTGATGAGGATTCCTGCAGATGATTTATTTACAAAACAGCATTTGACTAACTACCAGCTGGCAAAAAAGGAAAAGGACTCCTGATCGTTTACAAAATGCTCTGTCTGCAGATTCATATTTTTGGTCTTGGCAAAAGTGTTTAGGGACGATCCTACAGGGTTCGCTACAGCTGCTGATTAATCCTAAAACACTGCAAGAGAGAAAATGAGCATGTTGCTGGGGTGGGCGGACAAAGAACTTTCAGTAATTTTCTCAGCTTTTACCTACATAATTACAGCTCATAAATCTGTCTTTTAAGGAGTTGTGATCTAGAAATAGTCAAACATCATTTGTGGAAGGCTCACTGTTGAGAAACTAGTAGAAAAAAATGGTACTCCGAGATGAAAGCTGATATTGCCCTCTTTAGATTACAAGGTGGGAAAAAAGTTATAAATTGAGTTGTAATGCAGCTCCCCGCCACTGGCTCCCCATTTTTACGATGAAAGGCTTGTGGTTTGTTGGGCCTTCCCATTTGTTTGTTGTTGTTGCCTTTTTGAATCTCGCTATCAATTTCTTGTTAGAATAATTGGTATCTGGGCTCTCCCAACAAGGGGTAGATGGCTAAATGCAGGGAAGACTGTGGGAGACAAGGGTTCAGCTATTCAATTATTCCTTTTCTAGTCAGAAACTGTGAGCACCAATTGTCTTTTATCTTTTCCTCCAAAAGAAAGCTGATGAAAACCAAATCAAGTTTGATAACAGGACTTTCACTGGCAATAATGCTCTTAAATTGCCTTTTTCACTTAAGGCAGACTCATTCACCCAAGAATCCACAAACCTGTTGTTAAATTAATCCGATGGTAATTTTGTCTTGTTAAAAAAAAAAAGGCCAAGGGACCTTTCCTGGGTCTCAAGTTATAAGTAATTATTCTTAGTGAATAATTCTCATCATATTTGTACATCTTCCAGACACTAGATTATTATGTTTTTCATGGCCTATTTTATGATTTTATCTGATTTAAGTCATTTAGTTTATAAAAGGTCATACATTTTCTGTTACTTGACTGCTAATTGTCATGTCCCTGAGATAAATATTTAATAACAGATCATGTTAACCAGAATGATAATCATGTAAAAAATAAATGAAGTAGAAAAGATTGAATATGCAAAACTGATAATAGATGTGTTACTCTGATGGTGAGATTATAGATGTGTCAGGGAGAAAAAACTTCTCCTGTTCCCTCTTAGATTTGTTATCAGGCACCAGCAAATGAAATTGACAGAAGAAAGATTAGCAAGAGAAAACAAAATTTAATTTTATGTATGTAGATATGGGCGTTCCCAAGTAAATGTGACTCAGAGGTTGCTGAGTGAGCTATGATTGTGCCACTGCATTCCAGCCTGGGCAACCAGAACCTAACCCTAGCTTAAAAAAAAAAAAAAAAAAAAGTGACTCAGATGGGTAGTTAGAATTTAGGGCTTATATGCCATCTTTTTTTCTTTTTCTTTTTTTAATGTGTGTGTTTTTTTGTTTTTTGTTTTGTTTTATATATGCCATCTTAATAGGAGAATAGGAGAAATGGAAGAGAAGGGCACTTACGGGAAAACAAGTGATTTTTGGAAACATAAATGGGTCCTTAGGAGAACAGACTGGTGATATGATAGTTTTAGTGACAGTAACTGTTCAGGCATGGTGTGGAGACTTCTCATCTCTGGTGATAAGATATGGCCAGGAGTTCGAGACCAGCCTTTAGTAGAGACTCTGTCTCTACTAAAAATACAAAAATTAGCCAGAAGTGGTGGCATGTGCCTGTAGTCCCAGCTATTTGGGAGGCTAAGACAGGAAAATTGCTTGAACCCGGGAGGCGGAGGCTGCGGTGAGCTAAGATCGTGCCACTGCACTCTAGCCTGGGAGACAGAGCAAGACTCCGTCTCAAAACACAAAACAAAACAAAAAATAACTGAATGAATTGGGTATAGTTCCTCCATGTTAAGTGCTTTACGTAACTGGATACAGTGGAGACCAATATTCAACCAAAAGTGATCGCTATAAACACATAAACTATCATCATTATGAAAGTGCTTGAGGAACACTCGTGGGTGGGTCAGGCATGGGATAAAGGCAGAGTTAATCTGAAAAAGAAAGGAAAAGAAAAGCCTTCATGGAGAATGAGTTTGAAAGGAGGTAGACAACCTGGCAGCTTGAAAAAGGTGGAGAATCCAAGCAGGAATATATATGTGCCTGCTTGAATTTTCATTAGGACCAAATTGTCCCTAGGCATGAAAAATAATAAAATACAAAGTTGAATTGACGTTAAATCATTGAACCTAGAAAAAAATAGCATATAGATATGATATCCTTAATTTTTCACAAAACTTTCTCTTTAACGGTTTATAATGATAAACCTCTAATTGAGTGGAAAAATCTGGCAATGAAACATTTTACTTAATTGTATAAGTGAGAGTTGACAGAGCTTTTTCTTTATTCAGTTGTGCCATATAAAAATGCTATTTGCAGGCCGGGCACGGTGGCTCATGCGTGTAATCCGAGCATTTTGGGAGGCTGAGGCAGACTGATCACCTGAGTTCGGGAGTTTGAGACCAGCCTGACCAACATGGAGAAACCCCGTCTCTACTAACAATACAAAAAAATTAGCCCAGTGTGGTGGCACATGCCTGTAACCCCAGCTACTTGGGAAGCTGAGGCAGGAGAATCGCTTGAACCTGGAAGGCGGAGGTTGCAGTAAGCCAAGATTGTGCCATTGCACTCCAGCCTGGGCAATAAGAGTGAAACTCTGTCTCAAAAAAAAAAAAAAGAGTAAAAATGCTATTTGCTATTCACAATAGCAAAGACCTGGAATCAACCTAACTGCCCATCAATAATAGACTGGATAAAGAAAGTGTGGCTCATATACACCATGGAATACTGTGCAGCCATGAAAAGGAATTAGATCATGTCCTTTGCAGGGACATGGATGGAGCTGGAAGCCATTATCCTCAGCAGACTAATACAGGAACAGAAAACGAAACACAGGGCCAGGCATGGTGGCTTAGGCCTGTAATCCCAGCACTTTGGGAGGCTGAGCAGGCAGATCACCTGAGCCTGGCCGACATGGTGAAACCCCGTCTCTACTAAAAATACAAAAATTAGCCAGTCATGGTGGCGCACACCTGTAGTCCCAGCTACTTGGGAGGCTGAGGCACGAGAATTGCTTGAACCTGGGAGGCAGAGGTTGCAGTGAGCCGAGATTATGCCACTGCCCTCCAGTCTGGGTGACAGAGTGAGACTCTGTCTCTGAAAAAAAAAAAAAGAAAGAAAAGAAAGAAAAGGGCCGGGCGCAGTGGCTCACGCCTGTAATCCCAGCACTTTGGGAGGCCGAGGCGGGTGGATCATGAGGTCAGGAAATCGAGACCATCCTGGCTAACACAGTGAAACTCCGTCTCTACTAAAAATACAAAAAATTAGCCGGGCATCGTGGCGGGCGCCTGTAGTCCCAGCTACTCGGGAGGCTGAGGCAGGAGAATGGCGTGAACCCGGGAGGCGGAGCTTGCAGTGAGCCGAGATCATGCCACTGCACTCCAGCCTGGGCAACACAGCAAGACTCCGTCTCAAAAAAAAAAAAAAAAAAAGAAAGAAAAGAAAACCAAACACGGCATGTTCTCACTTATAAGTAAGAACTGAATGATGAGAACACATGGACACGTGGGGGTAACAACACACTGGGGGCATGTGGGAGGGCTAGGGGAAAGAGAGCATCAGAAAGAATAGCTAACGGATGCTGGGCTTAATACCTAGGTGATGGGTTGATTCGTGCAGCAAACCACCCTGACACACATTTACCTATGTAACAAACCTGTACATCCTGCACTTGTATCCCAGAACTTAAAATAAAAGTTGAAAAAACAAACAACAACAAAAAAGTGCTTTTTTTTTTTTTGGAGACAGAGTCTTACTCTGTCACCCAGGCTGAAGTGCAGTGGCTGCGATCTCAGCTCACTGCAACCTCTACCTCCTAGGTTCAAGCGATTCTCACACTTCAGCCATTAGAGTAGCTGGGATTACAGGCGTGTACCACCATGCCTGGCTAATTTTTGTATTTTTAGTAGAAACGGAGTTTCACCATGTTGGCCAGGCTGGTCTCCGACTCCTGGCCTCAAGTTATCCAACCACGTCAGCCTCCCAAAGTGTTCAGATTACAGGTGTGAGTCACCGAGCCTGGCTGTGACCTTGACCATTTTTGATCTAACAAAATGGCAGTTTCTTATGCTTTGACATAAAAATGGATCAAAATGTAATAAAAATAGAAGGCTGGGCCTAATGGCCCACACCTGTAGTCCCAACACTTTGGGTGGCCAAGATGGGAGGATTGCTTGAGCCCAAGAGTTCGAGACCAGCCTGGGCACCGTAGTGAGTCCTTGTTTCTACCAAAAATTTAAGAATTAGCCAGGCATGGTAGTGCATGCCTGTAGTCCCAGCTACTTAGGGAGCTGAGGCAGGAGGTCCTAGTTACTTAGGAAGCTGAGGCAGGAGGATTGTTGGAGCCTGGAAGGTGGAGGCTGCAATGAGATGTGATCATGCCACTGCATTCTAGCCTGAATGACAGAGTGAGACCCTGCCTGGAAAAAAAAAAAAAGTTACATATATTTATATATGTAAATATTTGTCTCATTTTATATAAATATTTGTTTTGTGTATTTCTACACATTAAAACCATAGTAAGCATAACATTTGTTTGTTTATTTTTGAAACATGGCTCTCTCTGTTGCCCAGGCTGGAGTGCAGTAGTACTATCACAGTTCACTGTAACCTCGACCTTCTGGGCCCAAGTAATCCTCCCACTTCTGAGTAGCTAGGACTCTCAGGCATATACCACCATGCCTGGCTACTTTTTCGATTTTGTAGAGACGGAGGTCTCATTATGTTTCCCAGGCTGGTTTCAAACTCCTGGCCTCAAGCAATCCTCCCATCTCTGCCTCCCAAAAGGCAGGGATTACAGGCATGAGCCACCACACCCAGCCTAAACATAACATAGTTTTGTTGATTGAGGAAGCACTTCCTTCTTCTTTCACGAGACATTCATTGAGCACCTACTGAGCACTCTGCTCCTTGCTGAGATATAAGGATGAGTAAAAGTTATTCCTTGCCCTTGATGTTCTTAGTTTAGTAAGGGAGATGAGCACCTTAACAGATTATTACTCAGAGAGACTGTGTGTGCAGGTATTAAGAAGGAAGGCCCTGCCTGGGTGTGGTGGCTTACGTCTGTAATCCCAGCACTTTGAGGGGCCGAAGTGAGTAGATCACCTGAGGTCAGGAGTTCGAGACCAGCCTGACCAACATGGAGAAACTGTCTCTACTAAAAATACAAAATTAGCTGAGCATGGTGGCACATGCCTGTAATCTCAGCTACTTGGGATACTGAGGCAGAAGAATCGCTGGAACCCAGGAGCCAGAGGTTGCGGTGAGCCGAGAACACGCCATTGTACTCTAGCCCAGGCAACAACGGCAAAACTCCATCTCAAAAAAAAAAAAAAAAAAAAAAAAAAAAAAAGGCCCTGAGGTCAGACAGACCCAGATGTTTAGTCTGTTCTTCACCACTTTTGCTAAGTGCCAAAGCTCTCTTAGCCTTGTAGGAATAATAACAGTACCTCCCAGGATTCTTGTGAGAGTTAAATGTGACAATGCATGTGAAGTTGCTTAGCATTGTACCATACTTAACAAGTACTCAGGAAATGCTGAGTATTACTATATGTGTTAAGTGCTATTTACATAATTAGATGTGGTTGGTACTTGCTTCCTTTGAGTGGAATTAGGTCAACTGGTTTTAATTATAAGCAACAGGCCAGGCATGGTGTCTCATACCTGTAATCCCAGCACTCTGGGAGGCCAAGGCAGGTGGATCACCTAAGGTCAGGAGTTCGAGACCAGCCTGGCCAACATGGCGAAACCCTGTCTCTACTAAAAATACAAAATTAGCCAAGTGGGGTGGCACATGCTTGTTGTCCCAGCTACTCCAGAGGCTGAGGCAGGAGAATCACTTGAACCCTGTTGCAGTGAACCAAGATCATGCCACTGCACTCCAGCCTGGGCAACAGAGCAAGAGACTCTGTCTCAAAAAAAAAAAAAAAAATTATAAGCAACACATGACAGTGACAATGGTTTATAGTGAACTTGTTTGCTCCTCATACCAGTTTAGAGAAAAATCTCATCATCTTTTCCTAGAAATGGCAACTGTTGTCAGTCAGAAGTGCTGGTCCAAGGAAGTGGCTGAACAGATTGAACACACCTCTCAGGAGTGAGGCTGGCTTTTCTACGTCCTCAACATTCTTTTAATGCTTTTGATTAAAAAAAAAAAAAAAAAAGGGGCAGGGGGACTGAAACAGGAACTAATGGATTTGATGATAATCAAGAACTCAAATTCTCTTCTCCAGTTCACGTTTGTCTTCTCAGACAAAATAGTTATTTCCAAGATGCCCGGGCACGTGAATGCCTTTATCAAAACCTACTGAATAGTCTTTCCTTCAATAAATACTATTGAGCCCTACAGTTTGCCAGGCACTGTGCTAGGCTCTGGGAGTATGAAGGTAAGCAAAACCACAGGTTGGTGGCGGAGACAGACATTCTTGAAATAAGCCTCCACATATGTAGTAACAGTTGCTCTAAGTGAGGAGCTTAGAGCAGGGGCCCTGATTTAGGCTAGGGCATAGGTTTTTGGAGGCAGGGAAGAGTTCATTTAGGGAAGTAACATCTAAAAGTACCGCTTACCTTTTAGAAGAGCTCGCGATTTTCTCTTTAATTCCAAAACCACCAGCAAGTTTAGGAGATAAAAGCTTAGTCAAATAAATTTTTGGTTACTATATGGAAAATGCCATGTTGATATAAATTATTTGTTCTATCACCCAGCTGTATTGATAACATTAAACATGGCCTTTCCATTTGTTATTGTCCCCCAATGTGACTCTCATTTTATTAACTGTATTCAAAATAAAACCATCCACCTTTAGAATGATTTTATCCCTATTAACACACACATACAAATGCATACTTAATTACAGTTCTTTACATACAACAAACAAGTTGGGAAAAATTTAGATGGTAAAATGAAATGGTTTCTTTCTTGTCTGGGAGAGACTCCTTGTTCTGGAATGGTATTTCACAGATAAATATGGTGTTTCTCTATGATCTTCCTTTTGGGTTTTTGGTAGTTGAATGGGGAAGGGTGTATTTCAGCACACACTGAAAACTGCTTGTCTTGTAGGAAGGATTATAATACACCAAACAGGCCAGGCGCAGTGGCTCATGCCTGTAATCCCAGCACTTTAGGAGGCCGAGGCGGGCAGATCACCAGAGGTCAGGAGTTCGAGACCAGCCTGACCAACATGGAGAAACCCCATCTCTACTAAAAATACAAAATTAGCCGGGCATGGTGGCATATGCCTGTAATCCCAGCTAGTAGGGAGGCTGAGGCAGGAGAATCGCTTGAACCTGGGAGGTGGAGGTTGCGGGGAGCCGAGATCACGCCATTGCACTCCAGCCTGGGCAACAAGAGCGAAACTCCATCTCAAAAATAATAATAATAATAATAATAATACACCGAACACTGTGTAAAAGTGGCATTTTCACCTCACACCTAAAATCCCACCACTTTGGGAGGCCAAGGCAAGAAGATCACTTGAGCCCAGGAGTTCAAGACCAGCCTGAGCAACATAATAAGACCCTGTCTCTACCCCAAATTTAAAAAAAAAAAAAATTAGCCGGGTGTGGTGGTGAGCACCTGTAGTCCCAGCTACTGGGAAGGCTGAGGTGGGAGGACCACTTGAACCCAGGAGTTCGAGGCTGCAGTGAGCTATGATTGTGCTAGTGCACTCTAGCCTGGAGACAGACTCTGTTTCCAAAAAAGAAAGAAATAAAGTCGTATTTCGAGACTTCCTCAGAAATATGTTAGATTTCCCAAAATGCAGTAAGTTAAAAAAAAGTTTAGCTATTTTAACTTGTTATTTGAACATTTACAAGAATATGCACACATCTTTCAGCCTTAAATAAATAAAAGATTGATTTTTGAAAATAGAGACCTGTTTTCTAGGTATGGTAAGTGGAATCTGCTCAGAATCACTGGATGCTCTTTACTAATTTCCCACATTATGACCACTTCTTTTTAGTTATTTCTCAAGCAATCAGTAAATGATATATTCATCAAACTTAAGAGAGTAAACAAAATGTATCTCTTCCTAAGAAAAACAACTGATTGCTTCTTTAGCCAGTTGGATTACAGCAGGTCAGTGAGATCATAGCAAGTAGCCTGATTATGTTGTACTGATATTCATCACAAGAAATGAACTAATCTACACAAATCTTTTGCTGCAAAATAAATAAACTCCTTTGGTGGAACATTATCACAAGATCAGAATATGCCACTTTGTCAAGGATGGAATGAACACAGCGTAGCTTTACTGTAACAGCAGGAAACCATTATTTTGTGGCTCACAGCAGTCTTTCAGTTGATGTTTTCTCTCAGGATGAAACCCAGATCCAAAATGCCATCAAAAGTACCCACAAACCGGGTGCGGTGGCTCATGCCTGTAATCCCCGCTACTCAGGAGGCTGAGGGCAGAGGAATTGCTTGAACCCGGGAGGTTGAGGTTGCATTGAGCCGAGATCATGCCACTGCACTCTGGCCTGGGCGACAGAGCGAGACTCTGTCTCAAAAAAAACAAAAACAAAAACAAAAAACAAAAACGGAAAACAGTAACCACAAATGAGCTCTCTGATTAGAGCCATTGATCATTAAATTAGCTAGAAGCCCGAGAATTTGCTATGTTTCAGCAAAGTCATGTAAGTCATGTGAAATATTTCATAATACAATGTAATGAAAGAATCAAGTAAAGTCATAACAATGATATTGCACTTTTTTTTTTTTTTTTTTTTTGAGATGGAGTCTCGCTCTGTCGCCCAGGCTGGAGTGCAGTGGTGCGATCTCGGCTCACTGTAAGCTCCGCCTCCCGGGTTCACACCATTCTCCTGCCTCAGCCTCCCGAGTAGCTGGGACTACAAAGATGCCCGCCACCACGCCCGGCTAATTTTTTGTATTTTTAGTAAAGACGGGGTTTCACCATGTTAGCCAGGATGGTCTCGATCTCCTGACCTCGTGATCCGCCCGCCTCGGACTCCCAAAGTGCTGGGATTACAGGCGTGAGCCACTGCGCCCGGCCTGATATTGCACATTTATTGAGCTCTTACTATGATCCAGACACTGAGCTATGCCCTAACATATATTATCTTTTGTCATTCATACAATAAACCTAGAACAGTTTACTCATGGTTTCTTCCCCAGTTCCCTATATCATCGATGAAGGAACAGGAGCTGATTGTACCAAAACACTTATATGGTAAGCTTGATCAATGTATTTGATTTAGTATCTATGCTGGGCTGAGAAAAACATGCAAAGCAGTACCTACAAATAAGAAAACAGGAAGTAAGCTGGGCATGGTGGCACATGCCTGGAGTCCCAGCTACTTGGGAGGCTGAGGCTTCCCACGACCGCCCCTCACATTCATTAGTTCGCTAGATCAGATCGGAGAACTCGGGAAAATGGCGTACTTACAAGACTGCAGGTTTACTACAAGGGCCAGAACTCAGGAAGAGCCGGATGGAAGCGATGCACGGGACAAGGTCTGTGGGAAGGGGCGCGGAGCTTCCATGCCCTCTGGGCGCGCCACCATTTCCAGGACCTCCGTGTGTTCACCAGACCGGAAGCTCTGGTTTTTACGGAGGCTCATTACTTAGTCATGATTGATTAAACCACTGGCCATTGGAAATTAATGCAATCTCCAGCCCCCAGTCCTCCCCTGGAGGTGGAAGTTGGAAGCTGGGAAGCGGGCTGTGGACACGATTTGTAATGAATGCAAGACACCGGTGTTGGGCTGCTTTTTTTTTTTTTTTTTTTTTTTTTGAGACAGAGTCTCGCGCTTTTCGCCCAGGCTGGAGTGCAATGGCGCGATCTTGGCTCACTGCAAACCTCCACCTCCCGGATTCAAGGAGTTCTCCTGCCTCAGCCTCCCGAGTAGCTGGGATTACAGGCATGCGCCACCATGCCCGGCTAATTTTTTTTTTTTTTTTTGTAGTTTTAGAAGAGACTGGGTTTCACCATGTTGGTCAGGCTGGTCTTGAACTCCTGACCTCAAATGATCTGCCCGCCTCGGCCTCCCAAATGCTGGGATTACAGGTGTGAGCCACCGTGCCCGGCCTGGGCTCTTTCAAACGGAGCAAGGTTCAAGTTTGTGCCTACAAAGGGGGCCAAAACAGGGTTATCTAGGAGGGAGGAGGTCGATCTGGTAGCAAGAAAGAACTAGGGTGGAAGGTGAGTTTGGGAGGTGTCCGCAATAGGAAAGGAAACGCGCTGGAGTGGGTACAGTGGATGGAGGGGTGACAGGCTTTGAGGGGCTGGCAGCAGCTGAGGTCCACAGTGCCACGTGTACCGAGACACTGAGAGGAGCAGAGTTCTCCTCTTTTGTAGTAAGGTAAGCCGGCCGCCTGACCTGGATGGCTTGAAACCCAGCCCCCCGCCGCTGCCACCACCCACCTCCCCCATCCCCACCCGAATGAGGCGGGCGCCCTGGGCGAATAGCTATGACGCCATCCAGCCTTAACCAGGTTAGTGCGGAACGTGGTGGCGCGCCTGCAGCCCCAGCTACTCAAGAGGCTGAAGCAGGAGAATTGCTTGAGCCCAGGAGGTTGAAACTGCAGTGAACCATTATTGCGCCACTGCACTCCAGTCTGGGCAACTGAGCCAGACCTGTCTTTTAAAAACAAAGGGAAAAAACACACACAAAACCAAGGCTGTGATCCTATGATCTTTAGCCAATCTGACTCCACCCCGTTTCAAACAGTCTAAAGATTATTTTAAAAAATATATTTCATACCGTCTTCTCTCTATAGCCTCCATGTCACCCCATCCCTTCAAAAAACTTAGTAGAACCTAACAGAACCTTAGGGTTTCAGCGCTTACTGAATTTTAGACATCAACAAGTCCAATCACGTGTAATGTCTGATTTCCTGCTTAAAACCCCTCACTTTAAGGTTGCATCATTAAACATCTCCAAGTATGAGAAATGTACCACCCTCTGACATAGCTTTACAGTAGAATGAAATCTCCATAAGTTCTGTGTCCTACTCTCTCTCCAGGGCCTAGAATACATAGTAGGTGCTGAATAAATAATTCATTTAATTTAGTTTTTAAATGTTTAACAACTATAATCTTTAGGAAATTCTGCCTTACATTGAGCTAACATTAGCGCCCCTCAATTTTTTGAAGCCAGTTTGAATAGTTCCCTCTTCCAAATGCCAGCCCTTGGGCATTTGAAAAAATTGTTACCCTGCTCTTTCTTTTCCAGGATAAATAGCTTCCACCAGTTTGCTCAATGCTCCTCACATGATATAGTTTCTCTCCATCCGGTTCCCTCTCCTCTGGACATATTTCAGTTTATCATTGTTTCTCTTAAACTGTAATTCCCAGAAAAGAACACAGTACCCCTAGGTGCTGTCTGATCAGTTCAAGTAGAATTGGATAAACACTCCCCCAATTCTATTAAGACAGCCCAAGGGCAAAGTTACTTTTTTTTTTTTTTAGCTGTCTCATCCCGTTGTTGACTCACATGGAGCTCAAGGTCAAGGAGAAAGGTTGTGTTTGGGCAGAAATTTAGGTTGTTTAAATCACAGACCAGGTCTTCACAGGGCACTAATTGTGATGCCCTTGGTGAATGGTTCAAAGGAAATGTATATGAAAAGTGGTTGTGTGGGACCCCGCTGGGGTACACTACATTTACTTCCTTTTCATGGTGAAAAGGCACTAAATAAGCCATTAGTCAATATTACGTATCTCTTTAATGTAGAATTATGAAATCCATTTTAAGGAAATAATTCAGGGCCTGCAATTTCTGCCTAGACACATTATCTGCTAGGAAAACCTGTTGGAGAAGATTATTTGCTTTGCATGGCAACTGGCATAAAGTTCAGGGCAGGTGTTGCTTAACAAGTGAATGCTGACCAGGCAGGGTGGCTCACACCTATAATCCCAGCACTCTGGGAGGATTACTTGAGGTCAGAAGTTTGAGATCAGACTGGCCAACATGGTAAAACCCCATCGCTGCAAAAAATACAAAAATTAGCCAGGAGTGGTGGTGGGTGCCTGTAATCTCAGTTACTCAGGAGGCTACAGTGGGAAGATCCCTTGAGTCCAGGAGTTTGAAGTTGCAGTTAGCTATGATTGTGCCCCTACACTCCAACATGGGAGAAAGAGTGAGACCCTACCGCTAAAAAATAACAGTAAAAATAAAACGCAAGGAAGAAAGAAAAGGAAAAAACATGCTTTGTCTGATTTTGCCTTGTTAGAGAAAATCTGTGATGAGAACAAAAGATACAGAAATTATTCTAAAAGTAGAATTTTTAAAACAAAATTTTCTTGTATCAGATGGTTTTTTACTGTGTTCCTTCCAAGTTCCTTGTCAGAAATAAACTGCCTATTAGGTACGATGGCACATGCCTGTAATCCCAGCTACTCCAGAGGCTGAAAGGGAGGATCTCTTGGGGCCAGGAGTGCTAGTGCAGCCTGGGCAACATAGCAAGATCCCATCTCTATAAAAATAAATAAAAAGGAAAAGTGCTTGTGTTATGTTTCAGTGAAGGTATATTGTATTACTGGTATAAGTGTCAAGACATTTTGTGACTGTTTTCTTGAATTTGAATACCTGGAGATGTACTTGGCTTTTGAATTGTCTAAAGTATTGAGACCATAGACAGTGCAGATATGTGCCTATATCCATCCTTTGTATGACCCACCATTCTTTTTCTTTCTTTGGTGAGACGGAGATTTACTCTTGTTGCCCAGGCTGGAGTGCAATGGCGCCATCTCGGCTCACCGCATCCTCCGCCTCCCAGGTTCAAGTGATTCTCCTGTCTCAGCCTCCCGAGCAGCTGGGATTACAGGCATGTGTCACCAGGCCCAGCTAATTTTGTATTTTTAGTAGAGATGGGGTTTCACTGTGTTGCCCAGGCTGATCTCGAACTTCTGACCTCAGGTGATCCGCCCGCCTCAGCCTCCCAAAGTGCTGGGATTACAGGCATGAGCCACTGCGTCCGGCCGACCCACCATTCTTAATGGCCTTTAGAAGGTCACTTTCATTTCCCTCAAGTACAAGACCTTTGTTTCTGGGACAGGGTGATTAATATCAACTATGAAAGAAAGATTAAGTAAATTAAAATGACTTACTATACAGCTATTGGTATATACTCTTCATGTCCAGAAGCAATTTACAATATGTCAAGAAGTGTCTCTACAGTGGTTCTTGCCCTCTCATTTCTACCACTGGTTAGAGAATAGGTATGTGGAAAAGATGTCATAGGGCCGGGCACGGTGTCTCACGCCTGTAATCCCAGCACTTTGGGAGGGCGAGGCAGGTGGATCACCTGAGACCAGCCTGGCCAACATGACAAAACCCCATCTCTACTAAAAATACAAAAATTAGCCAGGTGTGGTGGTGGGTGCCTGTAATCCTGGCTACTTGGGAGGGTGAGGCAGGAGAATTGCTTGAACCCAGGAGGCAGAGGTTGCAGTGAGCTGAGATTGAGCCACTGCACTCCAGCCTGGGAGACAGAGCAAGAGGCTCCATTTCGGGGGAAAAAAAAAAAAATGCCGTAATACAAAATAGGCTAAGAATAAAGAAAAGAGTGCTTAAAATATGTTTTCTATTTGAAGGTCATGTATTTTACCATTGAACCAGGATCTTTTCCCTTCCCTCCTTTGCCTCTTTCCCTCCCGGCATTCTTTCTTGCGCATGTGCTCGCACTCATGCTCACTCTCTCTGTCTTCTTTCTCTCTCTTTAAATGAGACAGTCTCACTCTGTTGCCCAGGCTGGAGTGCAGTAGTGCGATCTTGGCTCACTGCAACCTCCACCTCCGAGGCTCAAGCAATTCTCTTGCCTCAGCCTCCGAGTAGCTGGGATTATAGTAGGCATGTGCCACCACGCCCAGCTAATTTTTTGTATTTTTAGTGGAGATGGGGTTTCACCATGTTGGCCAGGCTGGTCTCGAACTCCTGGTCTCAAGTAATCTGCCCACCTGGGCCTCCCAAAGTGCTGGGATTACAGGTGTGAGCCATTGCACCCAGCCTCCCTCTCTCTCAAGGAAAAAAGAGGAGAAAAGAAAAGGGGGTTTGGGCTATATGCACAAATGCTCTCTCTCTCCCTACATTCTAGTTATGTGAACTTAAATATGAAGAACTAGTTGGGAAGTGGAAATTCTATTTCTTCTAAAATTCTACAGCTGTTCTGGGCACTGCTGATGTTTATAACCTTCCCTCACAGATGTTACATTTTATGAACTGTGACTCATTAGGGTGGTTCTAGCATCTTTAGATGGACAGAAATCCCCAAAGGCAGGATGATTACATAAGTCTGCTTCACTCAAAACCTGAAATATTTGAATAGAATATTTCCTGGGGGGAAAAGAAAGCAGTAAGACTTTGCCATACTTTCACGAATCAGAAACACTAATAATTTTTCTTTTCTGTGGGAGGAATGAGGGAGGTACAATATTCTTGTTTGGGAAGGTTTTGTTTTCATTTGCAGAATGTTTTTAATTTGTATAGGCTTTTTGGTTTGGACCTTGATCTATATTTTTGTTCCAATGTGCAAAAAACCATTTACTGGAAGACATTGTTTGAATGTCCACTCTGTGCAAGGGACCGGATTTGGTGCTAGTTTGAGGCATGGAGAGTAATAAAAGAGCTAGAATATACGGTGCTGCCATCTTTGAGCTTCTCAGTTAGGAAACACCAGGGGCAGAATCATAAAAGTTTAGAATTAGATGTCACCTGTATTTTCCACATGAGACACCTGGGGTCCCAATTGGGCCACTGACCCACCCAAAGTTACATAGTTAGTGATATTCAGAGCTACATTTTAGAACCATCTCTCCTAAGTTCCAGTGCTTTTTCAGCACACAGGACTGCCAAATATCCACGGACTTAAACAGGATCAAGTGTTACGGCAGGTCAGAACTAGGATAAGGCAATTGAGGCAAAATTTAACAGGGCACCAAAAGCCTCAGTAATTAAAATTAATGGAAAATAATCCATGATTAACAAAATATCAAATTTTTAAACAAAGACAAGGTCCTACGCTGCTCTTCCATAACCCAGCTTCGCCTGTCTCACCCTAACGTCAACCCTCCATCATACAATCTGAACTTTTGGGTGGATCAAGGGGGAAAACCAACATGGAAAATATTCCACTGGCTGGAATCCCTAGATGTGTAGAGTGAGCTGTCCAGGTGTTCGAAGATGGATCACAAACCTTTGTGCACAACAGTGTATTGAGAGAAAATGGCTGTCATTTGTTTTAATTAAAAAGTGATGGCAGTTTTGAGGGTAAAACTACAAAAAGAAAGTGAGACTGGGTTGAGCATGGTGGCTCACACCTGTAATCCCAGCACTTTGGGAGGCCGAGGTGGAAGGATTGCTTGAGCTCAAGAGTTCTAGACCAGCCTGGGCAACATAGCAAGACACCATCTCTACAAAAAAAATTTTATAATTACAATGAAATTTTTTAAATGAAGCTGAAGAGTAAAGGGGAAACTCAAGATGTGATAGTGGGTCATAACCTCTACAGGGCACTGCTCCCATAATGAACCCCATTCCATTCAAGAGCACTGCTAGGCAGAGCACAAAATGGAATCCCCAGAACCCTACAAAGGGGTTTAGTTGGAGGGCTTTGATTACAGCAAGATACTGGGTTAAAATTTTTCTTTCCCTGTTTAATTTTCTTCTCTCTCATCCATGTCCTGTGCCTGAAGTGTTAACCAGCACCTGGATTTGCACCATTTGAAAGTACCCTTGCCCTTAGAAAACCCAGAAGAAAAAAACCTAGAAGCAATCACACTGGGTCCCAGAAGAAAGGACAGGCCCTTGGACAAATGCAGTCCTACAGGTTCACATAGGAGTCCTATAGGTCACCAAGAGAGACTGAAAGGGCATGTGGGACTTAACCAGCTCTGGAGCAGTAAAGAATATGCATTTGGGCCGGGCGCAGTGGCTCACGCCTGTAATCCCAGCACTTTGGGAGGCCGACGCAGGCAGATCACGAGGTCAAGAGATTGAGACCAGCCTGGCCAATATGGTGAAACCCCGTCTCTACTAAAAATACAAAAATTAGCTGGGCGTGGTGGTGCGCACCTGTAGTCCCAGCTACTCGGAAGGCTGAGGCAGTAGAAATCACTTGAACCCAGGAGGTGGAGGTTGCAGTGCGCCGAGATCACGCCACTGCACTCCAGCCAAGGCAACAGAGCAAGACTTGGTCTAAAAAACAAACAAAAAAAGAATATGCTTTTCCTGAGTGTCCTCTCTTCATTTATTCCTCAGAATCCAGCTGCCAGAGGCTGGATGAGAGTTGGTTTACATCTGGCAATTTGGTTCTTGTAAAGTCATCCTGCAGTGACTTTAACAACAGAGTCAGAACCAGCCCGAGGAACAGAGCAGACTCTGGGCAAATGTGGACTTCTGACGTAGTACTAAAATAAAGCTATGATAAAAGCTCAAAATTAAAAACTGTTCTTACAAACTGGCTGCTCCACTGGGCCTGGAGGTGGAGGTGAGAAGAGGGGAGTGGTGAGGAAGAGTCTGAGAAAGAATCAAAGTCGCTTTCTTTTCCATGCATCGTTCTGGGCTTCCTCCTATCAAGTCATCCTCCTCTGCAGGGAAGAATGGTTTATTTTGTGTTTTGTTTTGTTTTTTCATTCAGCCACAGGTGCAGCTCTAGAAAAGGAATGTAGATTTATTCTCTAAATTCAGCATCGCTCTCTCCTGGTTTAAACACTATTTATTTATTTATTTATTTTTATTTTTATTTATTTTTTTGAGACAGAGTCTCACTGTCGCCTAGGCTGGAATGCAGTGGTATGATCTTGGCTCACTGCAACCTGTGCCTCCAGGGTTCCAGCGATTCTCCTGCCTCGACCTCCAAGTAGCTCGGATTACAGGCGTGTGCCACCACGCTCAGCTAATTTTTGTATTTTTAGTAGAGATAGGGTTTCACTGCGTTTGCCAGGCTGGTCTCAAACTCCTGAACTCAAGTGATCTGCCCACCTCAGCCTCCCAAAGTGCTGGGATTACAGGCATGAGCCACCACGCCTGGCCTGGTTTAAGCACTTTTGAAGAAGGATTCTTGTGCCCCAAATGCCTGGTGGTTAAGAACATAGGCATTTACCAATTTAGATAAGAATGCTAATCATGCCACTGAATAGTTTTTGGGGTTTTGTTTGTTTGTTTGTTTTTGAGATGGAGTTTCACTCCTGTTCCCCAGGCTGTATTGCAATGGTGTGATCTCGGCTCACTGCAACCTCCGCCTCCCAGGTTCAAGGGATTCTTCTGCCTCAGCCTCCCGAGTAGCTGGGATTACAGGCATGCGCCACTGCTCCCAGCTAATTTTGTATTTTTAGTAGAGATGGAGTTTCCCTATGTTGGTCAGGCTGGTCTCGAACTCCCAACCTCAGGTGATCTGCCTGCCTCGGCCTCCCAAAGTGCTGGGATTACAGGCGTGAGCCACTGCGCCTGGCCTCTGAAGAGTTTTTATAAATTCTTTAATTTTCTTGATTTTCAGCTTCCTAATCTGTAAATAGAGAATAAGAGCTCAAAAACGATATCCATTATCATAGAGTCTTGCCCTTGAAGGATGATGTGAAAAGTCCACTTAGTGCATGAGTCAGTGCCTTCTGGAGTATCCCCAGCCAGCAGCATCCAGGCTGTGATCAAACTCCCTTAGTGCCCACCCAATGCAATGCATTCTGCTTGCTTGCTTGCTTTCTTGGTAGACTTTTAACTTTCTGGATATTAAACAGATGCAACGTCTTGCTTCTAAGTCAAAATTTTCTTGACTATTATGCCAACATTTTCTGCCCTAGCATCTTCAAGTATCTGAAGATAGTCATGAAACTCCTTAAGTCCTCCTTTCTCACTGGTTCCTTAAGCATTCCAACAAAGACTAATTTCAAGTCCCCTCCATCACCCTGCAGAGTTCTTTCTTTTGCACTGCTTTTGTTTTCCAGTGGTCTCTCCAATGTCCATTTTGCAGAACTCAACAAACTGTTCCAAATATAGATTGGCCATGAGAAAATAGTGTTGCAGTTGCTACCTTTGTTTTCATTACCATAAAATAATTTAAAATGTCTATGATGCGTCGGGCATGGTGGCTCATGCCTGTAATCCCAGCACTTTGGGAGGCTGAGGCGGGCAGATCACGAGGTCAGGAGATCGAGACCATCTTGGCTAACACAGTGAAACTCCGTGTCTACTAAAAATACAAAAAAAAATTAGCCAGGCTTTGTGGCTGGTGCCTGTAGTCCCAGCTACTTGGGAGCCTGAGGCAGGAGAACGGCGTGAACCTGGGAGGCAGAGCTTGCAGTGAGCCGAGATTGTGCCACTGCACTTCAGCCTGGGCGATAGAGCGAGACTCCGTCTCAAAAAAAAAAAAAAAAAAAAAAAAAAAGTCTATGATGGCCCAGTGTGGTGGCTCATGCCTGTAATCCCAACACTTTGGGAGCCTGAGGCGGACAGATCACTTGAGGCCAGGGGTTCAAGATCAGCCTGGCCGACATGGTGAAACCCTGTCTCTACTAAAAATACAAAAATTAGCCGGGCGTGGCTACTTGGGAGACTGAGGCATGAGAACTGCTTGGACCTGGGAGGTAGAGGTTGCAGTGAGCCATATTACGCCACTGCACTCCAGCCTGGGTGACAGAGCGATATTCTGTCACCAAAAAAAAAAAAAAAAAGCCCATAACGAATGTCTTAAACCATTAAATCATCATAATAATGAATCTGGCACCCACATTGTTTAGTTGTGGTCAACGAGCAAGTCTTTTAACCTGTGCTTTATCTTTTATGTCTACATCTTATCCTATACTCCTTTGTATCTCCTCCTAGGAGAAAAAAAGGCACAAATATTTTCAAGCATAATCTGTACGAATGAAAGGAAGTTCTAGAATTGTCCTCCTCCCCCTCCTTTTGCTGCTGTGTTGAAACAGCATTACTGTTGCTACAAAAACAAGTTTCCCTTCCCTCCCCTTCATTGAGTTCATGTATTACCTCTCCGGATAATGAACAGTATTGTTTTGTGAAGTGGCTGCAATCTCAATATATTCTGCAAGGTCCCTGATTACTGTTCCCTCCCCTTTAGGAGAAAGCCTTCTCTTTCTTTAAGAGAGGAAGTATCTTGATGTAAATTAAAATAAGAATACATTGACCACCAATTCAGTTTCCACCCTAAACTGGATATTCTCCCTGGACTTCTATCAATGTCACTGACAATGAGTGATTGAGAACCAAAACATCTTCAGTGCCAAATAATGATGAAATAGAAAGCAGAGATACAGGAGTACAAATTTCCACCATGTTCCCCAGTGGAAATTTTGGAAGGCTATCTTGGCCTGCAGAGAATTCAGGTCATGATTAAATATTCT
The DNA here is from genome assembly GCF_000001405.40 of Homo sapiens. Taxonomy (NCBI): domain Eukaryota; kingdom Metazoa; phylum Chordata; class Mammalia; order Primates; family Hominidae; genus Homo; species Homo sapiens. The sequence continues at coordinate 206,193,771 of NC_000002.12, read as the reverse complement.
AGTCTCAGACATAGTCATTTTTAGCCTTTAAAAAATATTTAAACCATGGGTAATATCTATTTATGAGAAGTTTTATAATCTGGTAGGTACCCTGCTATGATGCTTGCTTCCAAAATCAGTCCTTTGTTACGTTACGATACATAACATTGCCCAGAAGACACTAAAGAGGATGCAAGCTTTAGTTCTGACTCTTTATATGGATGAACATATCTGCAACATAAACTAAACATTTCAGATCTCTAACAGTTGTCCAGTCACATGCCCTACAAATGTAAAGTTACAGAAGTCCTGTGCCATCAAGGTTTCCAAATTCAGTGCCCATATTCTTCCTGATAAAAAGTTACTTGTATACACAGAAATCTCTTTTTAAGAAAACACAGCTGGGGCCAGGTGTGATGTAATCCCAGCACCTTGAAAAGCTGAGCCAGGTGGATCACCTGAGGTCAGGATTTCAAGGCCAGCCTGGCCAACATGGTGAAACCCCGTCTCTATGAAAAATACAAAAGCTAACTGGGCATGGTGGCGGATACCTGTAATCCTAGCTACTCAGGAGGCTGAGGCAAGAGAATCACTTGAACCCAGGAGGTGGAGGTTGCAGTGGGCCAAGATCGTGCCATTGCATTCCAGCCTGGGTGACAGAGCAAGACTTGGTTTCAAAAAAAAAGAAAACACAGTTGGCCCTCCATATCTGAGTTTCACAGACGAAAAATATTCAGAAGAAAAAAAATCAATGGCTGTATTTGTACTAAACATGCCCAGGCTTTTTTTCTTATTGTTATCCCCTAAACAATACAACAACTATTTTTATAGCATTTACATTGTATTAGATGTTATAACTACTCTAAAGAGGATTTAAAGTATATGGAATGATGTGCATAGGTTATATGCAAATACTATACTATTTTATATCAGGGACTTGAGCATCCTTGGATTTTGGTATGTGTGGGAGGTCCTGAAACCAATGTCCTGTGGATACTGAAGGATAACTGTACTAATTTGGAGATTTCTCTCTACTATGATCAAGATTTTCAAACATTACATTGCTGATTACATTACATCGTTACATTGTGATTCTTTCCAAGACTTGAGATAAAGTTTGGGAAGAAGTTACCACTTGTTTCAGTTTATGAAATAGAAAAAAAAAAAAGTGGTAGAGCATGAGATAAAGACCTAGACTGTATCCTTATAGCAAAGGTAAACAAGGAGTTTTTGTTTTGCTTTGTTGTGTTTTGTTGTTGTTGTTTAAGAGACAGGGTTCTCACTATGGTCTTGAAGCCCTGACCTCAAGCAATCCTCCCACCTCAGCCTCCCAAAATGCTAGGATTTCAAACATGAGCCACCATGTCCAACCAAATAAACAGAAAAATAAAAATAAAAATAAAAAATAATAAAATATAATTGAATCAAAATTCAAATAAAATTTATTTTATAAAATAAAATAATAAAATAAAAAATAAAAAAAAAATAAATAAATTTTTTTTTTTAAAGAGAACGCCAGTCCCGGTAGCTCATTTTTGCAATCCTAGTACACTGGGAGGTTGAGGTGGGCAGATCACTTGAAATCAGGAGTTCGAGACCAGCCTGGGCAACATGGTAAAACCCCATCTCTACTAAAAAATACAAAAAGTAGGCCTGGCGCAGTGGCTCATGCCTGTAATCCCAGCACTTTGGGAGGCCGAGGTGGGAAAATCACGAGGTCAGAAGTTCAAGACCAGCCTGGCCAACATAGTGAAACTCCATCTCTACTAAAAAAAATACAAAAAATTAGCCAGGTGTGGTGGTGTGCGCCTGTAATCCCAGCTACTCAGGAGGCTGAGGCAGGAGAATAGTGTGAACCCGGGAGGCAGAGGTTGCAGTGAACCGAGATCGCGCCATTGCACTCCAGCCTGGGTGACAGAGCGAGACTCTGTATCAAAAAAAAAAAAAAAAAAAAATTAGTTGGGCATGGTGGCACATGCCTCTGTGGTCCCAGCTGCTGCGGGTGGCTGAGGTAGAGGATTGCTTGAGCCCTGGGAGGTCAAGGCTGCAGTGAGCCAACATCACACCACTACACTACAGCCTAGGTGACACAGCCAGACCCTGTCTAAAAAAAAAAAAAAAAAGAAAGAGAAGTAAGAGAAATATAGTACTATACAGTATAATATTTTCTCACCACTCTTAACCAGATATGGTGATAAACATGGCATTTTGGGGCTAGACACAGGGGTCCCCAACTCAGATGCCTTCAGAAGGCAGACATATAATAATGTGTGAACTCCATGCAGATTCAGTATTTTTTTTAACAAAGTCCACAAAACAAAACATGTTTTTGAATCTCTACTTAAAATCTTCTCACCCTTCTCATGAAGTAACTCAAAGAAGTCCCACTCTCTCTCTCTGCCTTCCCCTTTATTCTCTACTGCTTTTAAAAGTCCTAAGCTAAAACTTGTAGGTAATGATCAATACCTACAATTATCGAGCATGCTTTGTGTGCCAGGCACTGAGCTAACCACTTTTTAAGGATTTCCCCATGTGAACATTACAGCAACCCCATGAGTTAGGTGCTATTACTATTCCCATTTTAACAAGTAAGGAAACAGATTTCTTGGTAGCAGGTAATTTGTCCATGATCCCACAGCCAGAAACAGGAAGGACTGGGATTTGAGAGCAGGCAGTCTAATTCTACAACCCATAGACCACGATATTGCCTGATATTTACATTATACATCTGTGTTAATTATCTTAAAGTCTTGCAAAGGAATTAAGCCTAAAAGTTTCTTCCTAACCTAAGGATAATCATTCACCCCCAGCAATCAACAGAGCCATACAGATTATACAAGTTAGAACACTAATTTCTGGGTGGAGCATTAAAACAACAGGTACATAAGTAGGCGTTGACTTCCGGTACATGTGCTGTGTTCTCTTTTCAAACTGTCAAAGTGAAGCATGGGGGCTGACATGCAGATCAGGCTGCAAATGCCTTTTATGACAAGAATTCGATCTCAGCATCGTGAAAATAGGTATCATTAATTTCCATTTGATTCAATTATTCTTTGAAAAGGAAAAACTTTCTTTCTTTCTCCCAATCTCGCTGCCTTTAAAACTGATAAAAACATTTGTATCCCTAAAATTAGTTCGCTTTTCTGTTCAAGGTTTTCAATGCCAACTCAAGAAAAACGTTATTGTGAAGATTATATGCAATTCAGCTAAGCTTCCTGAAAGATTCTATTCATTTCTCAAATCAATGTCTTTCAAATACATCTCCCTCATCTCAATTCTCTCACTGTCTAAGGACCTTCCATCTTCGACTTCCATTGTGGTAACAGGCTCCTGAATGATTGTCTTACTTCCATTCAAATTCTTTTCCAAACCATCTTGCAAACTGCTACCAGATGATCTTTACAAAAACAAATATTCTGTCACATCACTCCTTGCTACAAACATTTTTACATGCTTTGGGAGCAATGGAATAAAATCCAAACCCTTAAGCATGACATTCAAAGGCCTTTGTCATCAGAACACTCCCATTTATGTTGTCCCTTCTCGAGCCAAATCAGAATACTTTCATTCTTCCTAATACACCAAAGAATATTGTCATTTGTCTTAATGCCTGGCATTAAGTAATAAATGACATGGGAACTACAGCTAGGCAAGCTGCATCTCTATTACAGGATAAGCTATGCCAGGGGTTGGAGTGTGAGGGTTGTTCTACCACCTCCCAACTGGCAGCAGCAACAATATCACCACCCAACCTTCAATTTCCATCTAACCTCCCTTTGCTTCCCTTGGGTGAATAAACAGGGTCTCTTTTTAACGTGTTGCTGTGCCTCAACGCCTTCCAAGCAGAGATCGTTCATCTGAATGGCAACAAAATACTCTACTGATGCCAAACATCTTGAGTACATTCTGGGGTGTAGTATAGTTTATGTTTGACAGTGGAAAATACTGAGCAATGTCCCAAATACCACCCCCTGGGGCAACACACACATATACATGTTTCAAAAAATCTTTCTTCCCTAAGAAGACAGCCCTTGAAAAACAGCTTGCTGACCATATGTTTGCTAGGTCATGGATCTGTGGTTTTTACTGGAGAATTTCTCTCTTGTGTCCATCAATTCTTTCTATTCATTCTTTTCTTTTCTTTTTTTTTTTTCTTTTTAGATGAAGTCTCACTCTATTGCCCAGGCTGGAGTGCAGTGGCACCATCTTTGCTCATTGCAACCTCCACCTCCTGAGTTCAAGCAATTCTCCTCCCTCAGCCTCCTGAGTAGCTGGGACTACAGGCACGCACAACCACACCCACCTAATTTTTCTATTTTTAGTAGAGATGGGGTTTCACCATGTTGGCCAGGCTGGTCTTGAACTCCTGACCTCAAGTGATCTGCCTGCCTCAGCCTCTCAAAGTGCTGGGATTATAGGCGTGAGCCACCGCTCCCTGCCTTTTCTATTCCTCCCTGTTATCCGGTCAGAAGCAAAATACATGTTCCCCCAAGGGCCCCTGTGGTGTTAACAGGAGACACATTCAGAGCTTGAGTTCTTTTTACCAGAGTGTGTGAGGAACTCTACACAGGCAACCTACGTAGACAGAGTTCACAATATCAAGTCCTTCTCTCTGTTCAAATCAGCTTAGAGCCTAAACTGCCTTAAGATTCTGTGAGGTGTACATTTTTGCAGTGATCCATGAAAAACCTATCTAACTCAACAATACAGAACAAAATTAAACCTCTCTTCATTCGCCAAATGTTCTGCCAGAAGGAATCTTTGTGTTTTGTCCAGGTAGATGAACAAAATGTTTCCCTCTATAGCCAAACCTCATCTAAAGCCACATTTTAAAGTTTAATGTTACACAGTTCTACCAGGTGTCCTTCCCCAAAATCATCTGGATTTTATAGACTGTTTATTATTACACTTTCTGCCAGAACTCTTGCAGTAAAATTTATTTATTCAGAAAAGAGTTTCAGCTTTGCCATCTATTACACCTGAATAGATCAGACACTAGATTGTTTAATTCAATAGGTAGTTCTATGCTCCACAACCACATGATTTGCCATTTGAGTATCTAGGTGGAAGTAACCCAGGAATGTGATAACGTGGGTCCTCCAAGCAGCTGAATCCCTGCAGTAAATATGTCCCTTCACTTTCTTTGGAACATAAACCAGAGACTTCATAGAGGTTCTCTGAACTTTGCTTCACACCAAGCATTTTTCACACATTTTTAAGAGACTTGGGTGGCCCTACATATATCCCTGTTCACAATACAGCTTGGAGGTTAAGTGGCTACACAAACTTTTTATGATCATAGAGACCTTTATTAGTCTTCATTTCAGTCAGAATTATTTATTTGCCTTTCAGCAGCACATATGGTTTAAGACAAATACAGTAGCTATTTCTTCTTTTCTGTCAAGTCGAAAAGCCTTATCCTGGCATTGTTATTGTGCTCTTCCAAACTGAGAAAACTACATGGACATCTCAATGGAAAGTCACTGCCATCCAAGACCACTTGATCCTGCGTGTTTAATGATCCTCTTTATTTTAAACCTGGATTTAAAGACCTAATGCTGCTGGGTGTGGTGGCTCACACCTGTAATCCCAGCATTTTGGGAGGTCAAAGGGGATGGAGCACTTGAGGTCAGGAGTTCAAGGCCAGCCTGTCCAACGTGGCAAAACCTTGTCTCTACTAAAAATACAAAAATTAGCCAGGTGTGGTGGCACACGCCTGTAATCCCAGCTACTTGGGAGGCTGAGGCACAAAGAGCACTTGATTTTTCATACTTGATTCTCGAGTGAGAATTGCTTGAATCTGGGAGGTGGAGGTTGCAGTGACCCAAGATTGCGCCACTCCACTCCAGCCTGAATGACAGAAAGAGACTCTGTCTCAAAAATTAAAAAAAGAGACCTAATATCCACCTACTATCTGTCTTCATTTTTGGTTACTGCCCACCACAGCTTCTTTCTATTGCCCAGACATCCCTCCTATTCACCTCTGATCCTTCATTCACATCCTCCCATCATCTCTCAAAAACTACTTGTATATATGCATATGTATATATGTGTGTGCATGTATCTATGTTTATCTTCACACGGCTAAGTTGAGGAAAAATTTCCCCCATTTTCTTTTTGTGTCTCTTTTTGTCCTTTCTTTCTTATCCCACCAAAAATAAACAGAGAAATACAACACAACATGATTGATTATACAGTGTAATACCACTTTTTAATAATTTAAAGAAACATCTCTATAGGCCCTTAAATTTAAGTCGGCAGAAATGCTCAAGGTAGTAAGCTTTCTTTGTAAACACATTTTTCCTTTGAGAGCACCGATATTACTTTGAGATTGCATTATCACACAGTTCATTTTCACGATCTAATCTCCACAGATTGGGTCTGTCAATTCCTACCTGTAAGCTGTGCTCTGCCCCAAAGTTGCGCTCAACCATGTTTCTAGTTCAAAGTATAACTTAGCAGACACCTGACCCACTTCTACTTCATTCTTTTTTTTATTTTATTTTTTGAGATGGAGTCTCATTCTGTTGCCAGACTGGAGTGCAGTGGTGTGATCTCAGCTCACTGCAACCTCCGCCTTACTGCGCCTGGCTAATTTTTGTGTTTTTAGTAGAGATGGGGTTTTCCCATGTTGGCCAGGCTGGTCTCGAACTCCTTACCTCAAGTGATCTGCCCGTCTTGGCCTCCCAAAATGTTGAGATTACAGGCATGAGCTACTGGGCCTGGCCTTCATTCTCTTTTTTGGAAAAAAATGTATTCTTATTTTCATAGAGGCAGGGTCTTCACTGTGTTGCCCAGGGTGGTCTTGAACTCCTGGGCTCAAGCAGTCCCCTCGCCTCAGCCTCCAAAAGTGCTGGGATTACAGGTGTGGGCCCCTGTGCCTGGCCTACTTCATTATCTAATCAGGGTAACTGGGTTACTGCCTAGTGAGCTATGATTCTGCCACTGCTCTCCAGCCTGGGTGACAGAGCAAAACCCCTGTCTTAAAAAAAAAAAAAAAAAAAGGCAGCAGAGTCTTACCAGCAGCACCTCTTTAACCCACCATAGTCAACTGCAAAACCTCCTTCATGTTAAGTCTTCATGGCTAAAAAGGGGATTTCCTAAATAGCTCCCTAACCATTGCTGGGGTAAGAGTTCCTCCTCAAAAGGCCAGCTTCTTTCCCTTTCTGTCCCCTCTAAGGGAAGCTCCCCTCTCCCTCCTCCAGTGAGCTTCTGAAGCCATAACCATTGTGAGAAATAGCTCCTACCTCAAAGACTTCTTATAACATCTTGTCACAGGAGGTGAGCACTGCCAGGGCTCCACCACAGTGCTCAAAGGTAGGGCCTAGAGAAGTTATATTAGTTAGGATACATGTTCAGCTGCTTTAACAAAAGCCCATTCCGGCCGGGCGCGGTGGCTCACACCTGTAATCTCAGCACTTTGAGAGGCCGAGGCAGGCGGATCACAAGGTCAGGAGATCGAGACCATCCTGGCTAACACGGTGAAACCTCATCCCTACTAAAAACACAAAAAATTAGCCAGGCATGGTGGTGGGCACCTGTAGTCCCAGCTACTCAGGAGGCTGAGGCAAGAGAATGGCATGAACCTGGGAGACAGAGCTTGCAGTGAGCCAAGATTGCGCCACTGCACTCCAGCCTGGGTGACAGTGTGAGACTCCATCAAAAAAAAAAAAAAGCCCATTCCACAGACCCACACGGTTTTGTGAGAAAAAAATAGCCCAAAAGGATTCCAGGAGAATATTTTCACTTAGTAATCCAAAGGAGGTGGTCCAGAAAAGTAGGGCAGCTCTGTTCCACGAGGTCACCCAGGGGTCCAAACTTCTTTTTGTGAAAAACCATGTTTTCTTCATTTACTTGGTGCAAGGTGGCTCATCACTGCATCTATATTCTAGCCCATGAGAAGAGGAGGAAAGGGGATGTATAAGGCCTTGGACTCTGGTACAGAAGGCTCCAAAGTCTGGGGGTTATATTGGACTTCATTAAGAAAACTGTTGGTTCTGTCTACAAAATATACCTAGAATCTAATCATTTCCCATCACCTTCACTGCTACCACCTAATCCAAGCCACCGTCATCTCTGGCCAGGATTATTGCAATAATTTTCTATCTGGTCTGCCCATTTCTTACTTGTTTGCCCCACCATTATACCTAACAGTCTATTCTCAACACAGCAGAAAGAGGGATCTTTCTATAACAAAAATCAGATTGCTTTTCCCCTTTGCGAAAATCATTCAAAGGCTGAAAAGCATCTATATGATGTAACCTCCTACATTCTTGTTGAATTTTTTTCCTTCTTTTCTTCCTCTTGCTCGGTTTTCTCATCCTGCCCTAGACATACTGGCATCCTTATTGCTTCTAGAATATGTTAGACATACTTCTGCCATAGCAGTGGTGCCTGGAACACTCTTGCTGGAAATATCCACGACTAATTCCCTCACCTCTGTCAAGCCTTTGCAGTTATTTTTTCAACGAGTCTTTCTCAGACCACCTTATTGAAAGCTAAAACCAGGCTGGGTGCAGTGGCTTAAGCCTGTAATCCTAGCATTTGGGATGCTGAGGTGGGCAGATCACTTGAGGTCAGAAGTTTGAGACTAGCCTGGCCAACATGGTGAAACCCCATCTGTACTAAAAATATGAAAATTAGCTGGCTGTGGTGGCTCACGCCTGTAATCCCAGCTACTTGGAGGCTGAGGCAGGAGAATCGCTGGAACCCAGGATGTGAAGGTTGCAGTGAGTCGAGATCATGCCACTGCACTCCAGCCTAGGCAACAAAGCAAGACTGTCTTAAAGAAAAGAAAGAAAGAAAGAAAGTTAAAAACCACCTTCTATTCCCTTTATCCTTTTCAATTTTTTCATCTTTCTGTAGTACTTACCATCTTTTAATATACAATGTAATTTTATAATATTACTTTTTTACTATCTATCCCTGCCTGGTAAATATAAAATCTAAGAGGGAAGAAATAGTTGTCTGTCTTATTTAGTGAAGTATCTCAATCAGCTAGAATAGTGCCTGAACAATGTGAGCAATTAACAAATATTGGCTGAATGAATGAGTGATCGGGATTCAGAAATGGTGGTTGCCACTCCTGAGTTAGTCTTATGGGTTGGATGGTAACCCTCCTCCCCCACCAAAAAAAAGATATGTTGAAGTCCTAACCCCCATTACCTCAGACTGTGACCTTATTTGAAATGGGGTCTAGGTTGGGCACGGTGGCTCACACCTGTAATCCCAGCACTTTGGGAGGCCGAGGCGGCTGGATCACGAGGTCAGGAGTTTGAGACCAGCCTGGCCAATATAGTGAAACCCCGTCTTTACTAAAAATAAAAAAATTAGCCGTATGTGGTGGCGCACATCTGTAGTCCCAGCTACTCAGGAGGCTGAGGCAGAAGAATCGCTTGAAACCGGGAGACGGAGGTTGCAGTGAACCGAGATCATGCCACTGCACTCAAGCCTAGGCAACAAGAGCGAAACCTGTCTTAAAAAAAAAAAAAAGAGAGAGAGAGAGAAATGGGGTTTTTACAGAGGCAATAGAATAGAAAATAGAATGAGGTATTAGGGTGGGCCCTAATTCAAAATGACTGGTGTGTTTATATAAAGGGGAAATTTAGACAGTCACACAGGGAGAATGCTATGTGAAGATGTAGGCAGAGATCAGCGTAACACATGTACAAGCCAAGGAAGGCCAAAGTTTGCCAGCAAACCACAAGAAGCTAGGCAAGAGCCATGGAAAAGATGTTCCAGGACAGCCCTCAGAAGGAAACAACCTTGATTTCAGACTTAGTCTCCAGACTGTGAGACAATACATTTCTGTTGTCTTAGGCCAACCAGTTTCTGTTGCTTTGTTACAGCAGCCCTAGGAAATGAATACATTTAGTCTCTAGATATTTGGGAAGGTTTAAATGAGGTCTGGAAACTTACTTAGATCTGGAAGTACCTGAAAACTGTAAAGCAGTGGCCAAACAAGTTATAATAGGTAAACAAGAGTATGTCTTCAAAAGTTAACTGTGTCTACTCAAGGACTCAGTAGGACAGTTGCTAAGTTCTGCCGTTTCTCTTTTCTCCACTCTATCCCTACCCCTCACCATCATCATCAAACAAAAACATCTGCTGTAAGTCTTAGGGGAATTCCTAAGCTCCTATTTCCCATAAAGGATTCAGGTGAGCATCAACCAGCTGTTCTTGAAGCTTTTTCTCCAAGGCTGAACTACACCTTAAATCTAATGTGTTCATCTGCTTCCTGGAAGATTAGGAACCTCTCTGGTGCAGGGCTTTCTGTTTGAAGGTGTTCTATTCAGATAGATCACTCATCCTCAAGGCATACACACACACACGTAAACATACCAGTATCCCACCCTCCAATCCCCTGCCCCAACAGAATGCGGAAGAAGACGGTTGCCTTCAACAGGCCCTGCGATGATCACACTGTCCCAGCAGGGTCAATAATGACATTGGAAGGGGAGGCTCCTGACTTTTGGTGAGGATAGTGGTTAGAAGCTATTAGGGGTCTTCCATGGGCTTTTCTTTGTTTGGGGAATGAGATTCTGTTTAGGGTTTTATAAGGTGATTCAGACCACCCCATGGGCCATATGGCTTCTGAATTGCTAACAGCCTAAAGGAACAGATCATAGGCACCTGTAAGGTAAGGATGTCCTAGTACACAGAAAAGACAAAGTTTTAGACTAAGCTGGGAAGGATCTGACACTGGGGAGAGTCAGCCACCAGAAGGAGTAAGTGAGAGGGCAGAGTGAGATCCCAGGCCTGAAAGAATGGGGCAGCATGACAGGAGCCAATTCTTGCTCACTGGAATAGGACACACGAAGGAAGGGATTTGGTGTCCAGGAATAAGCCAAGATCCTGATGATAGAACTGTGGGTCAGCCAGGTGCGGTGGCTCACTCCTGTAATCGCAGCACTTTGGGAGGCTGAGACGGGTGGATCACGAGGTCAGGAGTTCAAGACCAGCCTGGCCAAGAAGGTGAAACCTTGTTTCTACTAAAAATACAAAAAAAATTAGCGGGGCATGGTGGCAGTTGTAATCCCAACTATTCTGGAGGCTGAGGCAGGAGAATCACTTGAACTCGGGGGACAAAGGTTGCATGAGCCGAGATCACGCCACTGCACTCCAGCCTGGGTGACAAAGTGAGACTCCATCCAAAAAAAAAAGGAACTGTGGGTCAAGGTTGGAGAGAGTCTGGCAGTGACCCTGACTTAGGGGTGAACTCACAAAATCTCACCTGAAGTTTTAAAATTATCTTTGGTTTGGAATGGGAGCCAATCATTTCTTAAGCATCTGTTAATCACCTGTGATATATTAAGGTGTACAAGGCACTGGGGGTACAGCCATGACAGTCCTTATTCTCAAAGAGTTCACAGTCTAATAGAGAAGAAATTAAAAATAAATTAATGACAACATAACGTGTTAAGTGTGATAAGACAAGTATGACAGAAGGGGGAATGCTGTAGTGGTTAAGAGCTCAGGCCATGGGTCCAACAGATCTGACTTTAGATCCTGACTCTGCAATTGCAGGTTGTGTGATCTTGAGTAAGTTACTAAGCTTCTATAAGCTTCAGTGTTGTTTGTTAAAAATGAGACCAATAATAGTACAGTTGATCCTTGAACAACATGGGTTTCAACTGTGCAGATTCACTTAGGCATAGATTTTCTCCCTCTGCCCCTACCACCCCGAGACAGCAAGACTCACCCATCTTCTTCCCCCTCCACAACCTACTTATTGTAAAGATGATGAGGATGAAGCCCTTTATGATGGTCCACTTCCACTTAATGGCTAGTAAATACATGTTTTCTTCCTTATGGTTTCCTTTTTTTTTTTTTTTTTTTTTTGAGGTGGAGTTTTGCTCTTGTTACCCAGGCTGGAGTGCAGTGGTATGATCTTGGCTCACTAAAACCTCCACCTCCCAGTTCAGGCAATTCTCCTGTCTCAGCCTCCCAAGCAGCTGGGATTACAGGCATGCACCACCATACCCGGCTAATTTTGTATTTTTAGTAGAGACAGGGTTTCACCATGTCAGTCAGGCTGGTCTCGAATTCCTGACCTTAGATGATTCACCCACCTCGGCCTCCCGAAGTGCTGGGATTATAGGCGTGAGCCACTGCTCTCAGCCCCTTATGATTTCCTAATAACATTTTCTTTTCACTGGCTTACTTTATTGCAAGAATACGTATATAATACATAAAACATACAAAATATGTGTTAATTGATACTTTATGTCATTAGTAAGGCTTTTGATCAACAGAAGGCTATTAATAGTTAAGTTTTGGGGGAGTCAAAAGTTATATGCAAGTCAAGTTTGGTGGTATGTTCCTGTAGTCTCAGCTACTTAGGAGGCTGAGTTGGGAGGAATCCTTGAGCTCAGGAATTTGAATCCAGCCTGGGCAACATAGTGATACTCGTTTCTAAAAAAAAAAATAATAGGGCCAGGCATGGTGGCTCACACCTGTAATCCCAGCACTTTGGGAGACTGAGATGGGCAGATTACTTGAGGTCAGGAGATCAAGACAGCCAGCCTGGCCAACATGGTGAAACTCTGTCTCTACTAAAAATACAAAAATTAGCCAGCATGGTGGCAAAAGCCTGTAGTCCCAGGTACTTGGGAGGCTGAGGGAGGAGAATCACTTGAACCTAGGAGGCAGAGGTTGCAGTGAGCCGAGATCGCACCACTGCACTCCAGCCTGGGCATCAGAGTGAGAGAGTTGGTCTCAATAATAATAATAAGTCCGGGCATGGTAGCTTATGCCTAAAATCCCAATACAACACTTTGGGAGGCCAAGGTGGGCGGATCACCTGACGTCAGGAGTTCAAGACCAGCCTGGCCAACAAAGTGAAACACCATCTCTACTATAAATATAAAAATTAGCAAGGCGTGGTGACAGACACCTGTAATCCCAGCTATTAGGGAGGCTGAGGCAGGAGAATCACTTGAACCCGGGAGGCGGAGGTTACAGTGAGACGAGATTGTACCACTGCACTCCAGCTTGGGCAACAGGGCAAGACTCTGTCTCAAAATAATAATAATAATAATAATAATAATAATAATAATGGGCTGGGCACAGTTACTCACTCCTGTAATTCCAGCACTCTGGGAGGCTGAGGCAAGAGAATCACTTAAGGCCAAGAGTTCAAGACCAGCCTGGGCAACATAACAAGACCCCATCTCTACAAAAATAAAAATATCAGCCAGGCATGGTGATGTACTTCTGTAGTCCCAGCTACTTGGGAGGTGGAGGTGGGAGAATGACTTGAGCCTAGGAGTTTGAGGCTGCAGTGAGCTATGATTGTGCCACTGCGTTCTGACCTGGGTGACAGTGGCAGACTATGTCTCAATAACAACGAAAAGTTTTATGTAAATTTTTTTTACTGTGTGTGGGGTCAGCGCCTCTAGGCACCCCCCATGTTTTTCAAGGGTCACCTGTACTTACCCACAATGTAAGATCTTTTTTTTTTTTTTAAGAGACAGTTTCTCACTTTGTTGTCCAGGCTTGTCTCAAACTCTTAGGCTCAAGCAATCCTCCTGCCTTGGCCTCCCAAAGCACTGGGATTACAAGTGTATGTAAGATTCTTATGAGGATCAAATTAGATCATACATGTCTGGCATCTAGTAAATTCTCAATAACATTGACTATCATTTTATTATAAATTGTTTTAATAATAACAATAATAATTATTATAATTATCTGCAGGAAGGTAAGTCAGAAAATGTTTCTAAGAAAGGTGGCATTTGAATTGAATATTGAAGAACAAAAAAGTTGCTGGGCTAGGGTTGGGAGGAAGGGAATAAATTGCTTCTGTTTTTTGCCCTGCCGGATTTCTCAGAAGGTTTTAGGTAGGATGATGAATTCAGCGATAGTCAAATTGAATTTGAGATGCCTGTGAGCAACACAGGATGTTTTGACCTCTTTATTCTAACCCTACTATAATCTAAAATTTTACATACTTGCCTCATGTATGATTGTAACTCCATGAAATGAATATAACTATTAATCTTTTTTCTGCTTGATCTTCATTCAATACTACAGATAGAAATAGCACAAAATAAAATGGAAGAAGACAGAGTTACACACAGTATACTTTTGTGCTGATTGAAAAACTGACATTCAAGTCTTCTTAACCCAGAAAAACTGGTCTTGATAAGAAAAAAGGCAGAGGGGCAGGGCGCGGTGGCTTATTCCTGTAATCCCAGCACTTTGGGAGGCCCAGGTGGGTGGATCACGAGGTCAAGAGATCGAGACCATCCTGGCCAACATGGTGAAACCCTGTCTCTACTAAAAATACCTGGAGGCTGAGGCAGGAGAATCACTTGAACCCGGGAGGTGGAGGTTGCAATGAGCCGAGATGGCGCCACTGCACTCCAGCCTGGTAACAAGCAAGACTCCGTCTCAAAAAAAAAAAAAAAAAAAAAAGGCTGGGTGCGGTGGCTCATGCCTGTAATCCCAGCACTTTGGGAGGCCAAGGTGGGCGAATCACCGGAAGTCGGGAGTTCGAGACCACCCTGACCAACATGGAGAAACCCTGTCTCTACTAAAAACACAAAAATTAGCTGGGCGTAGTGGCACATGCCTGTAATTCCAGCTACTCGGGAGGCTGAGGCAGGAGAATTGCTTGAACCCGGGAGGTGAGGTTGAGGTGAGCCAAGATCACACCATTGCACTCCAGCCTGGTCAACAAGAGCAAAATTCTGTCTCAAAAAAAAAAAAAAAAAAAAAAAAAAAAAAAAAAAAAGGGACAGGGAGCGGGCACAAAATAAAACTTACTTTGGTAGAAATTATAAGAGACAAAATTTGGTATGGGCAAAAATAAAGTAAAACTGATTAATAAATCCAATCTTTGGCCAGGCACTCTGGCTTACACCTGTAATCCCAGCACTTTGGGAGGCTGAGATGGGTGGATCACTTGAGATCAGGAGTTTGAGACCAGCCTGGTCAACATGGTGAAACCCTGTCTCTACTAAAAATACAAAAATTAGCCAGGAGTGGTAGCCAGCATCTGTAATCCCAACTACTCAGGAGGCTCAAACAGGAGAATTGCTTGAGCCCAGGAAGCAAAGGCTACAGTGAGCCGAGATCGTGCCATGCATTCCAGCCTCTGTAACGGGAGGTTGTCTCAAAAAAACAAACAAACAAACAAACAAAACAAAAATAGAAGGCTGTCTCAAAAAAAAATCTAATCTTTGTCATAAATTATTATGGAAAAGAATTATTTCAATAAGATAAAAATTTAAATAAAGCTTAATTGCATTCTGTAGGAAATTAATATAGAAATTAAGTGGTCATAATCAAATTTAATCCAAAAGCTACCTTTTGGATGAGAAGCCATCCATATTGATATAATTCTGATTACTATGTTTGCTTTCATAAACATGGACTCAAAACATCCTTGGATGCAAAATCTCAGGTCAAAATCTCCAGTGACATCCAGATGGATTGGTCTAGGAAATAGTAGGAACTCTTTATCTAGAGTTTAAGAAGTCAGGGCAACAACAAATCCAGATTTTTCAGGAAAAAATTTGTTTTGAGGTGGGGTCCTGCTCTGTTGCCCAGGCTGGAGTGCAGTGGCTTGATCATAGCTCGCTGCAGCCTCAAACTCCTGGGCTCATGCAATCCTCTTGCCTTGGCCTCCTGAGTAGTTGGGACTACAGCATGAGCCACTAGATCTGGCTATTTTAAAAATTTATTTTTTGTAGAGACAGGTTTTTGCTATATTTCCCAGGCTGGTCTCAAGCAATCTCCCTGTCTCAGCCTCCCAAAGTGCTGGGATTACAGGTGTGAGCCACTGTGTCTGGCTGAAATACAGATTTTGAAGCTATCACTCTGTAAGTATTAATCCGTTTTCTTTTGCATCTGCCATAAAATAATAATGCATAGTAGGAATCTAATAAATGCTTGTTGAATTCTCTCTAGTCAGCCCTACAAGCATTACGAACTGAAGAATTATAACCGTAGAGTCATTCATTTTAATTTAGCAAGTACTAAATACTTTACAGAAAGGAACTCTCATGCTGGGAGAATGATAATCAGAGTGAAACTGAGGCTCACCAAGACTTGAACATATGGAGTATAACCACAAGTCCTATCAAAAAATATACTATATTTGCTGGGTATAGTTGCTCATGCCTATAATCCCAGCACTTTGGGAGGCTGAGGTAGGAGGATCACTTGAGCCCAGGAGTTCAAGACCAGCCTGGGCAACATAGTGAGACCTCATCTCTACAAAAAATTTAAAAATTAGCTGGGCATGGTCATGAGCACCTGTGGTCCTAGTTATTGGGGTGGCTGAGGTAGGAGGCACTTGAGCCTAGGAGGTCAAGGCTGCAGTGAGCCAAAAGCATGCCATTGCACTCCAGCTTGGGCAACAGAGTGAGACCCTGTCTCAAAAAAAAGAAAAAATAATACTATGTCTGGTCCATAACCTGAAATATTTTTATCTTCACGTTCCTTATCATTCACTGAACTTTTATTTTTCTTTTAAAATTTTTTCTTTCTTTTTAAATTTGCTTCTACAGATTTCTTCATTCTCCATTTAGCAAGGTCATGGAAGATTTGGAGGAAACATTATTTGAAGAATTTGAAAACTATTCCTATGACCTAGACTATTACTCTCTGGAGTCTGATTTGGAGGAGAAAGTCCAGCTGGGAGTTGTTCACTGGGTCTCCCTGGTGTTATATTGTTTGGCTTTTGTTCTGGGAATTCCAGGAAATGCCATCGTCATTTGGTTCACGGGGTTCAAGTGGAAGAAGACAGTCACCACTCTGTGGTTCCTCAATCTAGCCATTGCGGATTTCATTTTTCTTCTCTTTCTGCCCCTGTACATCTCCTATGTGGCCATGAATTTCCACTGGCCCTTTGGCATCTGGCTGTGCAAAGCCAATTCCTTCACTGCCCAGTTGAACATGTTTGCCAGTGTTTTTTTCCTGACAGTGATCAGCCTGGACCACTATATCCACTTGATCCATCCTGTCTTATCTCATCGGCATCGAACCCTCAAGAACTCTCTGATTGTCATTATATTCATCTGGCTTTTGGCTTCTCTAATTGGCGGTCCTGCCCTGTACTTCCGGGACACTGTGGAGTTCAATAATCATACTCTTTGCTATAACAATTTTCAGAAGCATGATCCTGACCTCACTTTGATCAGGCACCATGTTCTGACTTGGGTGAAATTTATCATTGGCTATCTCTTCCCTTTGCTAACAATGAGTATTTGCTACTTGTGTCTCATCTTCAAGGTGAAGAAGCGAAGCATCCTGATCTCCAGTAGGCATTTCTGGACAATTCTGGTTGTGGTTGTGGCCTTTGTGGTTTGCTGGACTCCTTATCACCTGTTTAGCATTTGGGAGCTCACCATTCACCACAATAGCTATTCCCACCATGTGATGCAGGCTGGAATCCCCCTCTCCACTGGTTTGGCATTCCTCAATAGTTGCTTGAACCCCATCCTTTATGTCCTAATTAGTAAGAAGTTCCAAGCTCGCTTCCGGTCCTCAGTTGCTGAGATACTCAAGTACACACTGTGGGAAGTCAGCTGTTCTGGCACAGTGAGTGAACAGCTCAGGAACTCAGAAACCAAGAATCTGTGTCTCCTGGAAACAGCTCAATAAGTTATTACTTTTCCACAAATCAGTATATGGCTTTTTATGTGGGTCCTCTGACTGATGCTTTCAGATTAAAATTGTTTCCAAGATAGAGAGCCGACTCCACTTTCATAGTTATTGTTTCTGGTCACTATATAGGCATCACATTTTTGTGTGGATATGAAACTTAGGAAGGATCCTCTTGACTCCTTGTGATGTGGCAATAAATTTTTTTTAAAAAACTGAAAATACTTAGGAAGGATCCGCATAATTTTTTTCTGCAACTTAAATGAAATGCATCATTCTTGTTAATTATACCATGGTGAATTAATCACTTTTGAAGCAATATCAGTTATTTTTTGAATAATAACTTTTCTAAAGCCTTAAGTCTTAATATTAAATATATGATTAGCCAGGCACGGTGGCTGACACCTGTAATCCCAGCACTTTGGGAGGCCAAGGTGGGGGGATTACCCGAGGTCAGGAATTCGAGACCAGCCTGACCAACATGGAGAAACCCCGTCTCTACTAAAAATACAAAATTAGCCGGTCATGGTGGTGCATGTCTGCAAACCCAGCTACTCGGGAGGCTGAAGCAGGAGAATCACTTGAACCTGGGAGGCAGAGGTTGTGGTGAGCCAACATCACACCATTGCACTCCAGCCTGGGCAACAAGAGTAAAACTCTGTCTCAAAAATAAATAAATAAAATAGATAAATAAATATATGATTAACTAATTTTAAAAATGTTAAAATGTATTCTTAAATTCATTTTAATTTTGTACAATAACCTGCTAGACACATTTTTAAAATGCAACATGTGTACTTAATTTCTTTATGTAATCTATGTATATACATTTATGAATTAAAGTAATTGTTGGTTATCTTAAAACATCTGTTCTAGTTAATGATTTGGGAGATTTTTTCTTCTTTCTCCCACTCTCTCTGTTTTTTATAGTAGGAACAGCCTTTATTGGTTGCAATGGGAAGTGGAAGAGGAGGGGATATGACAGCTCATGTTCCTGGGACAGTGTCCACAAATACCGTCGCCACACTCCAAAAACCCAGTTAACTAATGATGCTTAATAAACTCCTCCTAAACCTAGTTCTTAAAACAGTTTATACTTTTGATATAATTCTCACAATTCTGAGGGTCAGGAATTCAAAGAAGTCAGAAAAGAGGTTCATCTCTCTCTGCTTTGCAATATCTGGAGCATCAGCTGGACTGAGATGATGCAAATCGAAGCTGGAAGCTGCCTAAGACATCCCCTTCCCTCCCTCCCTCTCCCCTCCCAACACAGCTATTCCACCATGGCATTTCAGGGTCGCCAGACTTCTAATGTGGCAACTCAGGGCTCCAAGAGGCCAAGGTGGAAATTTCTAGTCCTGTTAAAGGCTATGACTGGCACAGGTACAGTATCACTTCTATTGTATTGTATTGGTCAAAGCAGGCATAGACCAGCTCATGTTCAAGGGGAAGAGACACAGATCCCCATCTCTCAACGGAAAGAATGTCAAAAAAAATTGCACCAATCTTTAATCCTCTACGGTATCATTATAAACAGAAATGCTTTTAGAAAATTCTGGGTATCAGGTACCTATCAATGGTAGATTGGATAAACAAAGTGTGGTACATATACATCATGGACTACTGCACAGCCATAAAAAAGAATGAAATCGTGTCCTTTGCAGCAACATGGATGGAACTGGAGGCCATTATCCTAAGTAAATTAGTGCAGGACAGAAAACCAAATACTGCATGTTCTCACTTGTAAGTGGGAGCTGAGGCTGGGCTCGGTGGCTAATGCCTGTAATCCCCGCACTTTGGGAGGCCAAGATAGGCGGGTCACCTGAAGTCAGGAGTTCAAGACCAGCCTGGTCAACAAGGTGAAACCCCGTCTCTACTAAAAATACAAAAATTAGCCAGGTGTGGTGGCACGCACCTGTAGTCCCAGCTACTCGGGAGGCTGAGGCAAGAGAATCACTTGAACCTGGGAGGCGGAGGTTGCAGTGAACCGAGATTGCGCCACTGCACTCTAGCCTGGGCAACAGAGTAAGACTGTCTCAAAAAAAAAAAAAAAAAAAAAAAAAAAAAAAAAAAGCCTGGGCGGCTGGGTTCAGTGGCTCACACTTGTAATTCCAGCACTTTGGGAGGCCGAGGAGGGGTGGATCACAAGGTCAGGAATTCGAGACCAGCCTGACCAACATGGTGAAACCCCATCTCTACTAAAAATCCAAAAAATTAGCTGGGCGTGGTGGCATGTGCCTGTAATCCCAGCTACTCAGGAGGCTGAGGCAGAAGAATCACTTGAACCCAGGAGGTAGAGGTTGCAGTGAGCTGAGATTGAGCCACTGCACTCCAGCCTGGGCAACAGAGCGAGACTTGGTCTCAAAAAAAAAAAACAACCACCTGTTGGGGTACTGTGCTCACTACCAGGGTGAGAGGATTCATACTTTAAACCTCAGCATCACACAATATTCCCACGTAATGAATCTGCACATGTACCCCCACTAACTAAAATAAAAGTTGAAATTTAAAAAAAAAGGAAATGGCTATGTAAACGTGTATAAACTAAGGGTATATATGAAAACACTGACATTCAGATGGCAAACAGACCAGTCTAATTTCAGAATGATTTCAGAAAAATCATGGACATATTGATATATTTCCACCTTCTATTCCTATATTTATATAGACACCAGTGTAAGATCAATAAAGCATACCTTTAGGTCAGTGACCTCTTCATGGTGCAAATCTGTTGAATTTTAGACTACACATCCCTTCCAAATCACTCTTTCCCTAAGGTATATAAGCCCTGGGTCTTGCAGGTAATGGTGCGGGGATCCACCGTCTTGTCTCACCACTGTCCAAGACACAGATATGGCTTCTGTTCGTAAGTCTCTATCAAATGTTTCTTTCCAAGAAACTGGGTATGTCAGCCTCTTTAGCCTCTCAGCTTCCTCAGACTTTGATGGTTGAGGAAACTGCACAGCATGGAATGGGTTTAGAAAGTGAGATTAAACCTGCATTAAAAATCCTAAAATAGCCCTCTCCCGTCTCCCTCTCCCTCTCCCTCTCCCGTCTCCCTCTCCCTCTCCCGTCTCCCTCTCCCTCTCCCGTCTCCCTCTCCCTCTCCCGTCTCCCTCTCCCTCTCCCGTCTCCCTCTCCCGTCTCCCTCTCCCTCTCCCGTCTCCCTCTCCCGTCTCCCTCTCCCTCTCCCGTCTCCCTCTCCCTCTCCCGTCTCCCTCTCCCTCTCCCTCTCCCGTCTCCCTCTCCCTCTCCCTCTCCCGTCTCCCTCTCCCTCTCCCTCTCCCGTCTCCCTCTCCCTCTCCCTCTCCCGTCTCCCTCTCCCTCTCCCTCTCCCGTCTCCCTCTCCCTCTCCCGTCTCCCTCTCCCTCTCCCTCTCCCGTCTCCCTCTCCCTCTCCCTCTCCCTCTCCCTCTCCCGTCTCCCTCTCCCTCTCCCTCTCCCTCTCCCTCTCCCGTCTCCCTCTCCCTCTCCCGTCTCCCTCTCCCTCTCCCGTCTCCCTCTCCCTCTCCCGTCTCCCTCTCCCTCTCCCGTCTCCCTCTCCCTCTCCCGTCTCCCTCTCCCTCTCCCGTCTCCCTCTCCCTCTCCTTTCCACAGTCTCCCTCTCATGCTGGGCCAAAGCTGGACTGTACTGCTGCCATCTCGGCTCGCTGCAGCCTCCCTGCCTGATTCTCCTGCCTCAGCCTGCCGAGTGCCTGCGATTGCAGGCGCGCGCCGCCACGCCTGACTGGTTTTCGTGTTTTTTTGGTGGGGACGGGGTTTCGCTGTGTTGGCCGGACTGGTCTCCAGCTCCTAGCCGCGAGTGATCCGCCAGCCTCGGCCTCCCGAGGTGCCGGGATTGCAGACGGAGTCTCATTCACTCAGTGCTCAATGGTGCCCAGGCTGGAGTGCAGTGGCGTGATCTCGGCTCGCTACGGCCTCCACCTCCCAGCCGCCTGCCTTGGCCCTGCAAAGTGCGGAGATTGCAGCCTCTGCCCGGCCGCCACCCCGTCTGGGAAGTGAGGAGCCTCTCTGCCTGGCTGCCCATCGTCTGGGATGTGAGGAGCCCCTCTGCCTGGCTGCCAGTCTGGAAAGTGAGGAGCGTCTCTGCCCGGCCGCCATCCCACCTGGGAAGTGAGGAGCGCCTCGTCCCGGCCGCCATCCCATCTAGGAAGTGAGGAGCGTCTCTGCCCCGCAGCCCATCCTCTGAGATGTGGGGAGCGCCTCTGCCCTGCCGCCCCGTCTGGGATGTGAGGAGCGCCTCGGCCCGGCCGCGACCCCGTCTGGGAGGTGAGGAGCGTCTCTGCCCGGCCGCCCCGTCTGAGAAGTGAGGAGACCCTCCTCCTGGCAACCGCCCTGTCTGAGAAGTGAGGAGCCCCTCCGCCTGGCTGCCACCCTGTCTGGGAAGTGAGGAGCGTCTCCGCCCGGCAGCCACCCCGTCCGGGAGGGAGGTGGGGGTCAGCCCCCCGCCCGGCCAGCCGCCCCATCCGGGAGGTGAGGGGCACCTCTGCCCGGCCGCCCCTACTGGGAAGTGAGGAGCCCCTCTGCCCAGCCAGGAGCCCCTCTGCCCAGCCAGCCGCCCCGTCCGGGAGGGAGGTGGGGGGGTCAGCCCCCCGCCTGGCCAGCCACCCGGTCTGGGAGCTGAGGGGCGCCTCTGCCCGGCCACCCCTACTGGGAAGTGAGGAGCCCCTCTGCCCGGCCACCACCCCGTCTGGGAGGTGTACCCAACAGCTCATTGAGAATGGGCCATGATGACGACGGCGGTTTTCTGGAATAGAAAAGGGGGCAAGGTGGGGAAAAGATTGAGAAATCGGATGGTTGCCGTGTCTGTGTAGAAAGAAGTAGACATGGGAGACTTTTCATTTTGTTCTGTACTAAGAAAAATTCTTCTGCCTTGGGATCCTGTTGATCTATGACCTTACCCCCAACCCTGTGCTCTCTGAAACATGTGCTGTGTCCACTCAGGGTTAAATGGATTAAGGGCGGTGCAAGATGTGCTTTGTTAAACAGATGCTTGAAGGCAGCATGCTCATTAAGAGTCATCACCATTCCCTAATCTCAAGTACCCAGGGACACACACACTCTGCCTAGGAAAACCAGAGACCTTTGTTCACTTGTTTGTCTGCTGACCTTCCCTCCACTAGTGTCCTATGACCCTGCCAAATCCCCCTCTGTGAGAAACACCCAAGAATGATCAATTAAAAAAAAATAAAATTAAAAAAAAAATTTTTTTTTTAAAATCCTAAAATAAGGTAGAAAATAATAAGTGTCATAAGAGAGCCAAGGAGAAGTGCAGATTGTTCAGAGGAAAGAGATTCCATCCAACTGTGGAGGTGAAGAAACACTGGAAATCTGTATCTTTGTCTTTGGGGTTTCCCAAAGATCCACCCCTTATCCCAGTCTCTTCTGAAGATCCGCCTCTTATCCCTGTCTCTGCTAGAGTCTTTGTCTTATCTGACTCTGCTACTCACTACAAGTTTAAAAACATATTTCCATTTCTATAATTTCTCAATTTTCTTTTGAAAATTATGAAGGGAGCAGTCTTTTTGCCTGCCACCATCCACAGAAGATGTGGCTTGCTCCTCCTTAACTTCCACCATGATTGTGAGGCCTCCGCAGCTATGTGGAACTGTGAGTCCAACTCAACCTCTTTCTTTTGTAAATTGCCCAGTCTCAGGTATGTCTTTATCAGCAGCGCGAAAACAGACAAATACAGCAAATTGGCACCAGTAGAGTGGGTCACTGTTGAAAAGGTACCTGAAAATGTGGAAGTGACATTGGAACTGGGTAACAGGCAGAGGTTGGAACAATTTGGAGGGCTCAGAAGAAGATAGGAGAATGCGGGAAAGCTTGTAACTTCTTAGAGACTTGTTGAATGGCTTTGACAAAAATGCTGATAGTGATACGAACAATAAGGTCCAGGCTAAGGTGGTCTCGGAGATGAGGAACTTGTTGGAAACTTGAGCAAAGGTCACTCTTGTTATGTTTTAGCAAAGAGACTGGTGGCATTTTGCCCCTGCCCTAGAGATTTGTGGAACTTTGAACTTGAGAGAGATGATTTAGGGTATCTGACTTGCAGCAGTCCGTTTTCAGGCTGCTGATAAACATACCCATGACTGGGCGTTTTACAAAAGAAAGAGGTTTAATGGACTTACAGTTCCACTTGACTGGGGAGGCCTCACAATCATGGTGGAAGGCGAAAGGCATGTCTCACATAGGGCAGACAAGAGAAGAGAGCTTGCACAGGGAAACTCCCCTTTTTAAAACCGTCAGATCTTATGAGACTTACTCGCTATCACGAGAATAGCACAGGAAAGACCTGCCCCATGGTTCAATTACCTCCTATTGGGTCCCTCCCACAACACATGAAAATTCAAGATGAGATTTGGGTGGGGACATAGCCAAACCATATCATTCCACCCCAGCCCCTCCCAAATCTCATGTCCTCACATTTCAAACCCAATCACGCCTTCCCAACAGTCCTCCAAAGTCTCATTTCAGCATTAACTCAGAAGTCCAGAGTCCAGGCCGGGTGCAGTGGCTCACACCTATAATCCCAGCACTTTGGGAGGCCGAGGTGGGTGGATCACCTGTGGTCAGGAGTTCGAGACCAACCTGACCAACATGGAGAAACCCCGTCTCTACTATAAATACAAAATTAGCAGGGTGTGGTGGCACATGCTCCAAAATGATCTCCTTTGACTCCATGTCTCACATCCAGGTCATGCTGATCAAGAGGTAGTAGGTTCCCATAGTCTTGGGAAGCTCCGCCCCTGTGGCTTTGCAGGGTACAGCTTCCCTTCTGGCTGCCTTCACAGGCTGACATTGAGTGCCTGAAGCTCTTCTAGGCGAACGGTGTAAGCTGTCAGTGGATCTACCATTCTGGGGTCTGGAGGACAATGGCTCTCTTCTCACAGCTCCACTAGGCAGTGCCCCAGTAGAAACTCTGTGTGGGGGCTCCCACCCCACATTTCCCTTCTGCACTACCCTGACAGAGGTTCTCCATGAGGACCTGCCCCTCTGCCTGGGCATTCTGGTGTTTCCATACATCTGAAATCTAGGCAGAGGTTCCCAAACTTCAATTCTTGATATCTATGCACTTGAAGGCTCAACACCACATGGAAGCTGCCAAGGCTTGGGGCTTGCACCCTCTGTCTGAAGCCATGGCCCGAGCTCTACATTGGCCCTTCAGCCATGGCTGGAGCAGCTGGGACACAGGGCACCAAGTTCCTAGGCTGCACACAGCACAGGGACCCTGGGCCCAGCACACGAAACCACTTTTTCTTTCTAGGCCTCCAGGCTTGTGATGGGAAGGGCTGCCATGAAGACCTCTGATGTACCCTGGAGACATTTTCCCCTTGTCTTGGTGATTAACATTTGGCTCCCTGTTACTTATGCAAATTTCTACAGCTGACTTGACTTTCTCCTCAGAAAATGAGATTTTCTTTTTTATTGCATTGTCAGGCTGCAAATTTTCCAAACTTTTATGCTCTGCTTCCCTTATAAAACTGAACGCCTTTAACAGCACCCAAGTCACCTCTTGAATGCTTTGCTGCTTAGAAATTTATCCCACCAGATACCCTAAATCATGGGTAAAACATATCCATGACTGGGTATCACGAGAACAGCACAAGAAAGACCTGCCCCCATGATTCTATTGCCTCCTGCCAGGTCCCTCCCCACAACACGTGGAAATTCAAGATGAGATTTGGGTGGGGACACAGCCAAACCATATCATGGCAGAAGAAATTTCTAAGCAGCAAAGCATGCAAGGGGTGACTTGGGTGCTGTTAATGGCATTCAGTTTTATAAGGACGCAGCGCATAACAGTTTGGAAAATTTGCAGCCTGACAATGCAATAGAAAAGAAAATCTCATTTTCTGAGGAGAAATCCAAGCTGGCTGCAGAAATTTGCATAAGTAATGAGGAACCAAATATTAATCACCAAGACAATGGTGAAAAATGTCTCTAGGACATGTCAAAAAAACCTTTGCAGCAGCCCCTCCTATCACAGGCCCAAAGGCCTGGGAGGAAAAAGTGGTTTCATGGGCCGGGCCCAGGGTCCCCGTGCTGTGTGCAACCTAGGGACTTGGTGCACTGCATCCCAGCCACTCCAGCCATGGTTGAAAGGGTCCAGCGTAGAGCTTGGGCCATGGCTTCAGAGGGTTCAAGCCTCAAGCCTTGGCAGCTTCCATGTAGTGTTGAGCCTGTGAGTGGACAGACATCAAGAATTGAGGTTTGAGAACCTCTGCCTAGAACAGTGTTTTAGTGTTTAAGTCTCAATTTACACAAGGTAAAATTTACCCTTATGTGATATTTTCTTATCCCTCACCATATTTTCTTATCACCTCACCTCACCTCATCATATTCATGAGAATATGAAGCAAGGATTACACTGATGAAATAGGATTAAACTGTCTAAAAGCAGGGATGAAGAACCTTCCGTATTCTGTTACCAACACATCAACTGGCCTATGAAGACCCTGGCTTGTGTTCCTCCTCTGTCACTTACTAGTGACTTAGTATATTTACTGAATAATCATGGACAAATAAGCATATCTTTTCATAGTAATAGTCCATGAAATATCAAGCATTTCTCAATGTTGCTATAGACTTACTTTTAAAAACAAAGTTTAGGCTGGGCGTGGTGGCTCACGCCTGTAATCCCAGCACTTTGGGAGGCCGAGATGGGCAGATCACTTGAGGTTAGGAGTTCAAGACCAGCCTGGCCAACATGGCAAAACTTCATCTCTACTAAAAATACAAAAATTAGCCGGGCATTGTGGCGCACACAAGTAATCCCAGCTACTTGGGAGGCTGAGGCAGGGGAATCGCTTGAACCTGGGAGGTGGAGGTTGCAATGAGCCAACATCGCACCACGGCACGCCAGCCTGGGCAATAGAGCGAGACTCCATCTCAAAAAAATAAATAAAGTTTATAAAACATTTCATTGAATACATATGCCATAATTTAGACATTTCCATCTGTGAGGATTATAAGTCATCTGATCTCCTTGCTTTCATTCGTATCACCTCCAGATCAAAGCTGTCTTAACATTAATATTCTCTGGTTTGGAAACCTCATATAATGTGCCAGCCTGTAATTCAAATATGTCTACAGGCTGGCCCCATCCTATCTAAGATTCCAAACACACACTGCAAAATCTCACGAATTTGTCTAATTGCTTCCCAAATCTTTATATCTGATTCTTCCAAAAAACTTGTCATCAATTCTAGCCGTCTCTGACCTTCTGAACTTTTAGATTATTTGCTTAATCCCCAAACCAATGACTTTTATTTTTAACAATTTTATGTTTGAATTGCCTCCCTATACTAATTTTCTCTTCTTCTGTGTTTTTTTGTTTCATCTAACAAAGTGATACGGAAGGAATCAGTTTTGAGTTCCCACACTGCCCAGCCCTCTGCTAGGGATGCCGAACATGAAAAATATTGTTTCAGGCTGGACACGTTGGCTCATACCTGTAATCCCAGTACCTTGGAAGGCCAAGGTGGAAGGATCACTTGAGTCCAGGAGTTCAAAGCCTGGGCATCATAGCAAGACCCCATCTCTAAAAAAATTTTTTTAAATTAGCTGGGTATGGTGGCACATGCCTGTAGTCCCAGCTACTCAGTAGGCTGAGGTAGAATTGCTTAAGCCTAGGAGTTCAAGGCTGCAGTGAGCCGTGATCATGCCACTGCACTCCAGCCTGGATGATAGATTGAGACCCTGTCTCAAAAAAAAAAAAAAAAAGAAAAGAAAAACTTTCATAGTCATTATAATCATTTATGGGGCATGCAAAAAAAAAAAAAGTGGGCTCTTTTTTATCTTTGCTTCCTTCTACTCTAAAGCCAGAAACAGGAAAAAAAAAAATCTCTTTGGAAACCAGTGCCTTCTGAGACTATTTGTTTAAAACAAGTTCATGAGCCAGGCGCAGCAGCTCACGCCTGTAATCCCAGCACTTTGGGAGGCTGAGGAGGGGGTATCACAAGGTCAGGAGTTTGAGACCAGCCTGGCCAACATGGTGAAACCCCATCAAACTAAAAATACAAAAAATTAGCTGGGCATAGCGGCAGGCACCTGTAATCCCAGCTACTTGGGAGGCTGAGGCAGGAGAATCGCTTGAACCCGGGAGGCAGAGGTTGCAGGGAGCTGAGATCGCACCACTGCACTCCAGCCCAGGCAACAGAGTGAGACTCCACCTCAAAAAAACAAAACAAAACAAAACAAACCAGTTCATTCAATATATTGGCTCTCAAGAAAATGAGTACCAGGGTTTTCTACTGCAGCACTGCCCATAATAACAAAACATTAAAAGCAACCTAAGAATCCAGTCAACAGGAGACTGTCTAAATGAACTATGAGAAAATGAATTATGAAATGAGAACATGAATTATGCATCTATTAAATAAGGATGTACTAATAATGGGATATCCAAGGCATAATCTCCAAGGTGTTCATTTTTTTTTTTTTTTTTTGTATTTTTAGTAGAGACAGGGTTTCACCATGTTGGCCAGGCTGGTCTCAAACTCCTGACCTCGTGATCCCCCACCTCTGGGATTACAGGTATGAGCCACCGCGCCTGGCTCTTTTTTTTTTTTTTTTGAGACAGAATGCAGTGGTACAATCTCAGCTCACTGCAATCTCCGCCTCCCGGGTTCAGGCGATTCTCCTGCCTCAGCCTCCCAAGTGGCTGGGACTACAGTCGTGCGCCACCACGGCCAGCTAATTTTTGTATTTTTAATAGACACAGGGTTTCACCATGTTGGCCAGGATTGTCTGGATCTCTTGACCTTGTGATCTGCCCACCTAGGCCTCCCAAAGTGTTGGGATTACAGGCGTGAGCCACCACACCCGGCCCCAAGGTGTTCATTTTCAAAAGGAAAATGCAAGGTGCAAAAGTCTATGTGGTGTGTTACAATTAGTCTATGCATAAGCTTACAGTGGCTCTGCAAAGACCTAAGAACCTGTTAACACTGCTTTGATGGAGCGGAACTGGAGGCCTAGGGGACAGGAGAGACTTCATTGTACATACTCTTGAGTTTTGAACTGTTGGTATATTATCTTTTTTTTTTTCTTTTGAGATGGAGTCTCACTTTTGTCGCCCAGGCTGGAGTGCAGTGGCGTGATCTCAGCTCACTGCAACCTCTGCCTCCCGGGTTCAAGCAATTCTCCTGCCTCAGCCTCCCAAGTAGCTGGGACTACAGGCGCATGCCACCACACCTGGCTAATTTTTTGTATTTTTAGTAGAGACAGGGTTTCACTGTGTTAGCCAGGATGGTCTAGATCGCCTGACCTCATGATCCAGCTGCCTCGGCCTCCCAAAGTGCTGGGAATACAGGTGTGAGACACCACATCCGGCCATGTGTTTTTTAAAATATGAAGTTAAAAGATACCATCAAAATATTTTTTATTCAAGGGTGTAGAATCAAGATTTCAAAATGGTATGCCTCATCATTCATCACTGTAGGATTCTGAAGACATCTGTGGTTTGAATTGACCATTCTAAATTTTTGACCACCTTTAAACTAATTATTAATCATTAGTTTTCTCATCATAAACTTCTGCTGATAGTTAACATTTTGGCCAAGCTATTTGGAACTCAACCCCTTCACCATGTCAATAATTGCAAATTTTTATTACCATTCACCGAAGTTTATTCATGGTTTTGGTTTTTTGTTTTTTGTGTTTCTTTTGGCATTTTCATTATTCCCAAACTCTCTGGTTTTCCAGAAAATGTAGTGCTGCCCTCTGCTGGCTCTTATGATAATGACAACCTGAAAATGTCTCCCATGACTTTTAGGCTGTTGGATTATAAACATTGCTTAGAGATATTATTCAATGTATCTATCTGTTAAATAAATCTTCCTTATAATATAGTTTCCCACAGTCAAGGCAGTCACAACATAAAATCAGATGGAGAAGAAATAGCACTGTATAGTTCTATTAAAAAATTGACCTAGGGGCTGGGCATTGTGGCTTATGCCTATAATCCCAGCACTTTGGGAGGCCAAGGTGGGTGGATCACCTGAGGTCAGGAGCTCGAGACCAGCCTGACCAAAATGGTGAAGCCCCGTATGTACTAAAAATAGAAAAATTAGCCAGGCATGGTGGCGCATGCCTGTAATCCCAGCTACTCAGGGGGCTGAGGCAGGAGAATTGCTTGAACCTGGGAGGCCGAGGTTGCAGTGAGCTGAGATCACACCACTGCACTCTAGCCCAGGCAACAGAGTGAGACTCCATCTCAAAAAAAAAAAAAAAAAAAAAATTGACCTAAAATTTTTTGATCATTTGAGATCAGCAATTCCCAAGCACTGCTTTTGTAAAACTACTATTTAAAAAAATGTATCAAATGTTAGCCAGACCCCAAATTCCCTGTTAAGATTAAACGGTTTCCAATACTTGACCATCTCTTCACTCAACATACTACCCTCATCCCAGTATTTACCTGCAGCATGAGAACCAATCAGATTTCCAAATCCAAGTAAAATATTCCGCCTCTACAACCCAGCACCTATGAATCTTCACAGCAAAGTCAAGTTTTTCTGGGAAGCCTGGGAACCAGTTACCTATATAATCCCCCTCCCAGGACACAGTGCTACTCCAAATCACATTCCCAACACTTAAAAGATGGTTTCTTTACATCATGAGTCATTATTTTAAATTTGTAACCTGTTAAGTAGTTGTAAGTCATGCCAAATTCTGGGAAGCCCTCCCTCCTCTGGGTTAGGTGTCTTCTAGCAGTGTCACACATCTCACATCAAGTTCCCAGTGCAAAGATGCTAGGTTACAACAAATCACATCATCAGGCACTGCTAAGGACATCACAAGTGGGTAAAGTTGCACTACAATTTTTTTTCTTTTGACAGGACCTTGCTCTGGCACCCAGGCTGGAGTGCAGTCGCACAACCTTGGCTCACTGCAGTTTCAACCTCCTGGGTTCAAGAAATCCTCCCACCTCAGTCTCCCAAATAGCTGGGAATACAGGGGTGCACTACCATGTCCAGCTAATTTTTATATTTTTTGTAGAGACAGGATCTCTCCCCATTGCCCAGGCTGGTATCAGCCTCCTGGTCTCGATCCAGCCACTTCAGCCTCCCAAACTGCTGGGATTACAGGCATGAACCACCACACCTGGCCTGCACTGCAATTTTCTAACAACAATGCCAAACCAAATTTGGGGTATTTAGGAATCACATATTCATTTAATTCCTTCCCCCAAAATGAAAGGAATATATACACCACCCTCCTATGTAACATACTCAAGAGCCAAAGGTAATCTTTCAATCTTTTATTTAAATGCCATGATCCAGGATGGATTTTAGATCTTGTTGAAAGCAGCCACATCCATGGACTGCACATAGTCCTCAAAAGCAGTGATCTGCTCCTCCAGCATATCTGTTCCAACTTTATCATCTTCAACTACACACTGTATTTGAAGTTTCTTAATTCCGTATCCCACTGGAACTAGTTTAGCTAAAAAGAGCATTAAGAAAAATCCTAGTTAGAAAAGTCTTGTAGGAAAGGTTGAAACTGTAGGCAAATTCCAGATGTTAGTTTCAAAAAAAAAAAGGCAAAGCCTAAACTCACATGAGCCCCAGACTAAGCCGTCTGCTTGAATGCTTCTGACGCACTCCTCTAATTTCGCCATATCTGTCTCATCATCCCAAGGTTTCACATCTAGTAAGATGGAAGACTTGGCAACAAGTGCAGGTTCTAAAAACAATAAACAGCATTATTCAAATAATGAATTGTATTTTTTTCACCCTACTCCAAGACACAAACAAATCCATCTCAATTTGTTTTGAGACTATCTCCTTAGCCAAACAAAACTACAGATACATCTTGTGTCTGTCACACATATATACCCACTTTCTGTTTTGCTAAGAAAGAGGTGTTTGTGTTAACAGTTTCTTTCCCACAGAGGAATGCCACAACTGCTACCATAAGAACAGCTGCAGACCAGTAGCTGTGGAAGAACCTGTACAGGTTTTAAAATATTGACCTATTCAAGGAATGTGGAGGAAATTACTTCAAGGTCAAGCTTTGAAAAAGATTACTTACATTAACATGAAATGAAGTTAAAAACAAATGACCTACTTTTGGCTTTCTTTGATTCATATTGTGCAAGACGTTCTTCCCTTAGCCTCTTTGCTTCTTCACTTTCCTGTAAAGAAAAAAAATTAATCCACTTCAGAAAGCTGGTTGTTCCTCTGCTTAAAGCTAGTGGGGTCATCACAAAAAAGACTGGCTTAATCAGAAAAAAGCAAATCCATCACGAACTCAGCCGAAAGATGGTGATTTGATTTTATTCATCATGCAACCAGTCAGAATTTGAAAAAGGCATATAAATTAAAGCCAGGATTCAAATCCAGGCAATTTGGCTTAACCACATTGATACAATTGCTGATCGATGTATTCTTTTTTTTTTTTTTTGGGACGGAGTCTCGCTCTGTCGCCCAGGCTGGATGCAGTGGCACGATCTTGGCTCACTGCAACCTCCGCTTCCTAGGTTCAAGCAATTCTCTGCCTTAGCCGCCTGAGTAGCTGGGATTACAGATGCCTGCCACATTTTTTTGTATTTTTAGTACAGACAGGGTTTCACCATCTTGGCCAGGCTGGTCTTCAACTCCTGACCTCGTGATCCACCCGCCTCAGCCTCCCAACATGCTGGGATTACAGGCATGAGCCACTGCGCCTGGCCGATATGTTCTTTATAGAAGACGCCATACCTCCTCATCATCAGATCCAAAGAGGTCAATGTCATCATCATCTTTACTATCTGTAGCTCCACTTCCTGTAGTGTCTTCCACATCGGCAGGACCATATTTGCCCAAAGCTTTCTTCACTCCTGGCAGGCTTGAAAAACATTTAAATTCAACCACTATTGAGCTAGTATAACATCCTTTTCCAGAAAATACAAAATAACTTGTTTTAATCACTACTTATCACTAGATCCCTTTTGCAATCATAATTTACCCTTTCACATGCGCCCAGGTAAACACTGTCATATGTTCAACTCCTCACCCGACAAGCATTAGTACCATGTGAGACATTATTTTCAATACTCACTATGATTTACTCTTTCAGTATGAACATTTCTGTTTGAGATTTCATTAAGTATGCTCAGTTCCATTCTTAGTGAACTGGAGTCCACTTCCCCAAACTTCCACCCTTGTTGGCAGTTTCAGAAGAATGGCCAAGGACTGAATGAATGAGCCACCCTCTCACCCCAGAGGTGGGCCCCCCAGGTCAAGGTCGAGGCACATTGGCAGGGCAGTGTGGGGAAAAGTTGAATTGCTGCTGTCCATGTTCTACCTGTTCTGTGAAAAAATGGAGGGCTTCAGTCTCTTGGCCTTCTAAGGTTACAGAAAAATTTAGCTTACAATATCCCAACAAAACTAAAGTAGCCTGGGTCCAGTTTTGTCATGTGAACATCCTGATAAACTTCGAGAGCAGTCTTATTCTTCAGCTCTATACAAAGATGATTTTACCTGGCCTTTTCCTTTTCGTAAGACTTGATGTGATTATACCAACGTAGGGCATGACACAAGTCGGCAGGCGGTGGGCTGGACACGGCTTCAAATACTGCCACATCTGCTTGTGATGGCACATACCTGCCAAGGACACAGAAACATTCACACACACCTTTGAAAAACAAACGCCAGCGAATAAATAATAAATACCGTATGCATCACATTAATTAGTGGGCACTAACCCCAGCAGGGTTGCTTTAATGCTTTTCTTTTCTTATTAGCTCCTTCAAATCAAACCATATGTTTGGGTCACCGCGCTATCCTGAGAAATGTCTGCCACTAAGTAGACCTCAAATACTGCAATGTCTGGCGTTGCTCTATCTACAGCTTAACATGTATTAACTGGGCAGCGATGCGGAAACACCTGGCTGAATTAAGTGTAAATAAAGCACATTTTAACCTTTCCTTGCTCGTGAACCGCTCCCCGGAGGCCGGGCTCGCCCCACACGAGGGCCTTGGGAGACGGCAACGGGGCGCTTTCCCCTCCCTCTCGAAAGGGCCCCGGGCCCGGCCTCCCTCCCTCCCGCGGCAGCCGACACGCTGCGCCACGTGGCCCCGGCCCCGGGCGGAGAAACCTCCCCGCCACCCCGACTCAGCCCGTCCGCTCACCCCTCGATGTAGCTCTTGTCCGCCAGGTAATCGTTGAGCACCTGGAGGCCGGCAGGGCTTTTCAGGTCTCCGAAACCCATGGTGTCGGCTGTATCCGAGAGCTGGGGAGCAGCAGAAAGAGAGCGCGCAAATTGTGGGCGCCCCACGCTGAAGAGAGGAAAAAGGACCCGAAGAGACCGGAAAATTCCTTATATAGAGACGGAGGCGTTTCCCTCCACCGCGCCGGACCGAAGGTTAAAGGTCAAAGTACTTTTGCATTCCCACTTCTCCACGTACGAATTGGGGGCCCTGAATTAAATGGCCCACAAATTGTCCATGGACCTTTCGTTGCGTTTGGAAGTAAATTAATAAAATAGGCATGTCTTAAGTTCGTACCTCCACGGCTCCCGAAGATGACGGGAACCAGCCCTAGAAGCGCCGGAGATGACCGAAGACGCCCGGCCTCGAGGCTGGGGCCACTTCCGGCGGAACTGCGGGTCCAAGTTGTCCTTCCCGCCTCCGGGCTGGGCCGACCTCAGCTCCGCCCTCTGGTCGGCTGACGGAAATTGCCGACAAACTTGTCGAATGCAAGGATTCTAGTCCCTCCGGGCTTTCCGTTCTCCAGGCCCGGCTGACAGAGTTAGCCGAGGCCGCCATATTGAATAAGCGACCCGGCCTCCTAGGGGGTCGTCGTGGTCCAGACAGTTTAGCAGAACAGC
This sequence comes from Homo sapiens, assembly GCF_000001405.40. Lineage (NCBI taxonomy): Eukaryota > Metazoa > Chordata > Mammalia > Primates > Hominidae > Homo > Homo sapiens. The sequence goes on along the minus strand of NC_000002.12, from coordinate 206,159,361 downwards.
CTCCGCGGCTCCGGGGAGAAGGTGAGGTCTTGTATGGATGGGAAGGGTGAGGTGCGTCGGCCAGAGGCTTATTTATTGACGGGACTGTTTCCTTTGGCCCACGCGACGTAGTCTTCTGTTGTCCTTGACTGGGCGCCGCCTCCCGCCCCGCCGCCTCGGAAGCCCCTGAGAGCCGGCAGATGGGGGGCTTTTAGCCACGGTCTCTGGTCTGATGAAGCAGAAAAGAAGATGAGGATCAGGGGGTCCTCGGGAACGCTGTCACGAATGTAGGCTTGCAGGTGACCTTCCCTCTGCAGGGAAAATTCAGGACATTTCCCTCTCAGAGGAGGAGGCCGTTTTATTCCCCGGGAGAGGACCAGTGTCCGATGACTTAGGCCTTAAGACTAAGCCTTTCCCCCCAGATTTTTACACGCCTGATACAGTGCATGATTGTTTGGTCGCTGTTGTGTTAGCAATGGCTCACGCTTCTGTTTGTTGTCCTTGTTTGTTTGGTCCATTGACCACGTTGGACAGCATTTTTTTATTCCTTTAACTAACGGGAAATTGAGAAAAACGACTTTTGAAAAGTTAGCCCAGGATTGCATTGCAAATAACAAAACGTTGTTTACAGGTTATTGGGATCCAGTGCTTGAACTGTAAGGTCTTGGATCAGACACAACTCTGTTCACACACGAATTGACGGTATAGAAGTGTAACGTTAACTGTTTTTGATGAATAAACAAGTTATTTTTGTTTTGCGGAATATTCTTGTTTTCACCGACTTAAGGCTGCCAGAGCACCTGCACTTTTTAAATCCGGGAAAGTGGTCTCTACAAATTAACGACCAGAAATTAGAGATTCAGTTCACTTAACCGTTATTGAACATTTACTACGAGCCAGAAATGAGTCCGTAAAGAAGAATAAAATGGATGATATGCTGGGGGAATCGTAAATGTTAGATAGCCTGGTCAATGAAACTGAGAAAAGGCTTTTAAGCCAAGATTTGAAGGATAAGGAGGGGCCAGGGAAGAGCATTTCAGTCTGAGGTCACAGCCGGTGGCAAGAGGGGAGAGGCTGTGTGGGAATAGTGTGGAAGCTTGGTGACCTGTTAAGCTATTGAAGGCCGGAGGCGGTGGCTCACTCCTGTAATCCCACCACTTTGGGAGGCCGAGGCGGGCGGATCACGAGGCCAGGAGATCGAGACCATCCTGGCTAACACGGTGAAACCCTGTCTCTACTAAAAATACAAAAAATTAGCTGGGCGTGGTGGCGGGCGCCTGTAGTCCAGCTACTTGGGAGGCTGAGGCAGGAGGCTGGCGTGAACCCGGGTGGCGGGGCTTGCAGTGAGCCGAGATCGCTCCGCTGCACTCCAGCCTGGGCGACAGAGCGAGACTCTGTCTCAAAAAAAAAAAAAAAAAAGCTATTGAAATACTCCAGGCAAGGAGTGATGGTGGATTGGGATAGGGTGGTACCTTGGAAGGCAAGAAGTAAATGGATGGATCCATGTTGGAGAACGTGGAATAGCATAGTCCCTATATGGAAAAGTATCCAGTCTAGTTTAAGAAATGATTAGTCATTAACATTTTCCATCCAAAGAGATAATTATTTCTATTGCTACTTGGCATATCAATGTTCAAAGCACATATCGAAGTGTTGCAAATCTGTATTTCTTATGTTGGGCTATGCTTTGTTGCTGGATGTCAACAGTCTAGTTCTAGTTGATTTCCTATCCAAAGTGAGTACTATTTTTATATTGCATTGGAGATAAAAAAGTATTAAAGTTTTAAAATTGTATGAAATACTGATTGTTGATTTCAAATCTGTCAGTGCTCTAATGGAGTAAGTTTAGGTTTATATTTATGCCATCAGTAGTTTTTAATAGGACAGATGCTACTCTAGTTCTAGAACTTGGTGATAAGACTGTTTGGTGGTTATTTTCATAAGGGTCCTGTGCTAGGTCTTCAAAAAAGGGAAATGTCCAAATTCCTTGTCCTCAAGGAGCTTACAGTCTGGTAGGTACTAAAATTGATTACTAACCTACAGTTTAGTAAGTAAAACAAAAATATCTACACAGTGTGTACTGGTACTAAAGAAAAAGAGCTCAAAGAAAGAGTGCTTTAAAATTGGTTGTCTGCCAGGCGCGGTGACTCACGTCTGTAATCCCAACACGTTGGGAGGTCGACGCGGGTGGATCACTGAGGTCAGGAGTTTGAGACCAGCCTGGCCAACATGGCGAAACCCCTTCTCTACTGAAAATACAAAAATTAGCCGGGCGTGATGACAGGTGCCTGTAATCCCAGCTACTTGGGAGGCAAGAGAATTGCTTGAACTTGGGAGGCGGAGGTTGCAGTGAGTCAAGATCACACCATTGCACTACAACCTGGGTGACAGAGTGAGACTCTGTCTCAAAACACACACACATACTGATTGTCAGTGGCCAGTATTGCCTAAGTTGAATTCAGCTTTAACTGGCATTTGTTGAGCCCCTACTAATAGCTCATTGTCTAGGAAGTATTGTTTTCCTCCTGCTCTATAAGTAAAGAACCAGAAACTCATTTACCCAACATTACTCACTAGCAGGAAACAGATTGGATATTTGCAATTTCAGTATCACATATTCTTAATTAATGAAATTTATGAATGAAATTTCCTGTTGTACATCATCTATGATAAGTATGCAGAATTTTGTGCTTAAAACCTATGTATATGTACTATTATTCAATAATACTATTGCAACTATTGAAACTTTAATGTTGAAATTTTTTAATACGTTCTAATCACATAATTTGCCTTTTTTCTTTTTTTTTTGAGACAGGGTCTTATTCTGTCACCCAGGCTGGAGTGCAGTGGCATGATTGTAGCTCACTGTAACCTTGAACACCTGGGCTCAAGCCATGCTCCCAGGTCAGCCTCCTGTGAAGCTGGGACCACAGGCGCATGCCACCACACCCAGCTAATTTTTTTTTTTTTTTGGTAGAGATGGGATCATGCTGTGTTGCCCAGGCTGGCCTCTAACTGTTAGACCCAAGCCATCTTCCTGTGATGGCCTCCCAAAGTGTTGAGACTACAGGCGTGAGCCACCTCTCCTGTCCAATTTGCATTTTTTTTTTTTTTTTTTTTGAGACAGAGTGTTGCTCTGTCGCCCAGGCTGGAGTGCAGTGGCGTGATCTTGGCTCACTGCAAGCTCCGCCTCCCGGGTTCACGCCATTCTCCTGCCTCAGCCTCCCCAGTAGCTGGGACTACAGGCGCCTGCCACCACGCCCGGCTATTTTTTTGTATTTTTAGTAGAGAAGGGGTTTCACCATGTTGGCCAGGATGGTTTCGATCTCTTGACCTCGTGATCCACCTGCCTCAGCCTCCCAAAGTGCTGGGATTACAGGCATTTTTAATACCTTTAAAAGTTCCAAATGATTTTGGATGCTCAACCTATATGATCAAGTGAATAGAAGGAAAGTTCAGTGCTTAGCCTATATGATCAAGTGAGTAGGAAAAAAAAAAAACTCAAAAAGTTTAGAAGTTTTGGTGACTTGGCCGGGCGTGGTGGCTCACGCCTGTAATCCTAGCACTTTGGGAGGCCAAGGCAGGTGGATCACCTGAGGTCCGGAGTTTGAGACCAGCCTGGCCAACATGGCGAAACCCCATCTCTACTAAAAAATAAAAAAATTGGCCAGGCGTATTGGCTCACACCTGTAATCCCAGCACTTTGGGAGGCCAAGGCAGGTGGATCACCTGAGATCAGGACTTCAGGACCACCTTGGCCAACGTGGCGAAACCCTGTCTCTACTAAAAATACAAAAATTTGCCGGGCATGTTGATGGGCGCCTGTAATCCCAACTACTCGGGAGGCTGAGAATTGCTTGAACCTGGGAGGTGGAGGTTGCAGTGAGCCGAGATCTTGCCACTGCACTCCTGGGTGACAGAGTGAGACTGGGTGACAGCAAGACCCCTGCCTCAAAAATAAATAAATAGGCTGGGCACAGTGGCTCACTCCTGTAATCCCAGCACTTTGGGAGGCTGAGCTGACTGGATCATGAGGTCAGGAGATGGAGACCATCATGGCTAACACGATGAAACCCCGTCTCTACTAAAAATACAAAAAATTAGCCTGGCATGGTGGTACACACCTGTCCCGGTTACTCAGGAAGCCAAGGCAGGAGAATCGCTTGAACCTGGGAGGCGGAGGTTGCAGTGAGCTGAGATCGCGCCACAGCACTCCAGCCTGGGCAACAGAGCGGGACTCCGTCTCAATAAATAAATAAAATAAATAAATAATAAAAATACAAAAATTAGCCTGGCATGGTTGTGCATGCCTGTAGTCTCAGCTACTCTGGAGGCTGAGGCAGGAGAATCGCTTGAACCCAGGAGGCAGAGGTTACAATGAGCTGAGATCGTGCCACTGCACTCACTCCAGCCTGGGCAACAGAGTAAGACTCTATCTCAAAAAAAAAAAAAAAAAAAAAGGGCCGGGCACGGTGGCTCACGCCTTAACCCCAACACTTTGGGAGGTCAAGGTGGGCGGATCATGAAGTCAGGAGTTCGAGACCAGCCTGGCCAACATGGTGAAACCCTGTCTCTACTAAAGATACAAAAAATTAGTCGGGTGTGGTGGCGGGTGCCTGTAATCCCAGCTCTTCAGGAGGCTGAGGCAGGAGAATTGCTTTAATCCGGGCGGTGGAGGTTGCAGTGAGCCGAGATTGCACCAGTGCACTCCAGTCTGGGTGATAGGGCGAGACTCCATCTCAGAAACAAACAAACAAAAACAAATAAAAAGAAGTTTTGGTAACTTTTCTGTTTTGTGTGTCTTTAAGTCGTGGTGTTTATATAATCGACACCCATTTATTTCAGTAATTCAGCAAGCCTTTTAGAGCAGTGTCTCAACTTCAGCACTGTTGACACTTTGGATAATTATCTTTATTGTGGGGGACTGTCCTGTACATTGTAGAATAGCCAGCACCTTGTCCTCTACCCACTAGATGTCAGTAACTTCCCCTTGTTTGTGACAACAGTGTGTTCAGACATTGCTAAATATTCCCTGGGGAGCAAAATTGTCCTCAGTTGAGAGCCATTGTTTAAGAGCTTACTCTGTGCCAGCCTGGTGGATAGGTACTGAAGATAGAAAAATTCAAGGAATTAATGCAGTGAGGGCAGAACGGGCTTATAAACACATAATTGGAAATCTGTAAGATAAGTGTACCAGAAAATAGCAATCAAGACACCTCAAAGGCTTGGGCTGGTGAGCTATCTCAGAATATCTCAGGAACATTTAGTAGACAGCTATGCTTAGAACATGAAATGATAGAATGGGTATTGGTAGGAAATAAAAGCAGAAAAGACAACTTTATTTTACATAACCATTAATGATAAGCTCACTGTTAGTCTTGCAGTTTATTTTACTGTGTGGTAGTGCTTTAAGTTTGATCCTTTCTATGTCATTTTTTTTTAAATGGCAAAACTGCTCTCTGCATAGAATTAGAAAGTCCAAATGTATACAATAGCTGCTGCTGCTTAGCTCTTTGACATTGTACAAGTCAGTATCTCTGAGACTGAGAATTCTCATCTACAGACTAAGTGAAAATATCAGAACCTATGAGTGTTCAATGACATAATGTATGTGAAATAATTTAAAGCCATAAAACATTACCAAACAGTTGGTGATTGTTTTTTTCCCTACAATAATATAATTCTTTGTTTTATTTTTAGCAATATGTTAAGGATACCTGTAAGAAAGGCCTTAGTAGGCCTTTCTAAGTCTCCTAAAGGATGTGGTGAGTATTTTCTTAAATTTGCATTCGTGGATATTAGACCTTATTTTTGTAAATTTATAAGTCTATGGCATAGTTTATCAAAGACCCTAAACCCATGATTTTTTAAAATAAAAATAGAAACCGGCCGGGTGTGGTGGCTCATGCCTGTAATCCTAGCACTTTGAGAGGCTGAGGCAGGTGGATTGCTTGAAGCCAGGAATTCAAAACCAGCCTGGCCATCATAGTGAAACCCCATCACTACTAAAAATATAAAAATCAGCTGGGCATGGTGGGGCACACCTGTAATCCCAGCTACACAGGAGGCTGAGGCACAAGAATAGCTTAAACCCGGGAGGTGGAGGTTGCATACAGCCAAGATTGTACCACTGCACTCCAGCCTGGGAGATAGATCGAGACTCCATCTTGGAAAAAAAAAAAAAAAGAAGAAACAAATGATCTAAGTTGAATAATTTTCAAAATATAATTTTACTTTAAACAGTTTATAGGAATTATCATGGAATAGAAAGTATTAGGAACTACACACATCAATGCCAAAATGGAAAAATCACATTCTGTTTTTGAAAAGTGATCTTCCCATGAACATATTTTCAGTGACATTAAGAGTTTCAGTTTAAAGTTGGGTATGGTGGCTCACTCCTGTAATCTCAGCACTTTGGGAGGCCGAGGCAGAAGGATTACTTGAGGTCAGGAGTTTGAGACCATCCTGGCCAATATGGCGAAACCCTGTCTCTACTAAAAATACAAAAATTAGCGGGCGTGGTGGTGAGTTCCTGTAATCCCAGCTACTCGGAAGGCTGAGGCAGGAGAATCGCTTGAACCGGGGAGGTGGAGGTTGTAGTGAGCCAAGATGGCGCCACTGCACTCCAGCCTGGGTGACAGGGCAAGACTCCCTCTCAAAAAAAAAAAAAAAAAAAGAAGAAGAAAGAAGTTTCAGTTTAAACTACTCTGCTATCAAAAGTAGACAACCATAAGTTTGCATCCAGAGCAATACAGAGGAATAATAAGGAATGAAAAATTTTAGGTTTGTAGTTAGAGTCAATTCATCCATTATCATCTGCTATAATAAACTGTTAATCTGTTTTTCGCTTCAATATCTTTGATGGTCAGTTCGAACAACTGCCACAGCAGCAAGCAACTTGATTGAAGTATTTGTTGATGGTCAGTCTGTCATGGTGGAACCGGGAACGACCGTCCTCCAAGTAGGCATACATTCTAACTATTTTGTGTGTGTGTTCTGATTTTTTTAAAAATACTAATTTATTTCCTTTATACTGATTATTAGTAAATAATTCTTTAAAATAACTATACACAGCAAAGTTATATTAAAATTATTTCATTTTAAATCTTGGCACTTCAAAGTGAGCTATCATATATTTGTTTGTGGCATTTTTAGTGAATTATGGTAGTTCTTTTGTTTCACTTTTCATTCCAAATGAATACCCATTAAGAAATTTGAAGTCCGAGCGCAGTGGCTCATGCCTGTAATCCCAGCACTTTGGGAGGCCGAGGCGGGCGGATCATTCAGGAGTTCTAGACCAGCCTGGCCAGCACTGTGAAACCCCTTCTCTACTAAAAATACAAAAAATTAGCTGCGCATCGTGGCGCGCACCTGTAATCCCAGCTACTCGAGAGGCTGAGGCAGGAGAATTGCTTGAACCCAGGAGGCGGAGGTTGCAGTGAGCCGAGATTGTGCCACTGCACTCCAGCCTGGGCAACAGAGCAAGACTCTGTCTCAAAAAAAAAGAAAAGAAATTTGAAGTAACTTAAATTAGTTACTATAGGTAAGTTTGTGAAAAAATAACCTCCATTTGTTGTGGGCCTGCTTAATGCTTTTCATTTTCATATAACCTTTCTGTGGTTAGTAATATTCATAGGAATATATCCTACAAAGCAGGTAAATGGAGGGTAGCATGTGCTTACATTCATGCTCTAAATATTTCTTCATATTCCTCCAGAAATAATAAATTGGTCATAGAGAAGTCATGCTTCACTCCATTTGTAAGTTGTCACAGATCTAAATGTTCTTTGTTCATTTTAGCAGTCATTTCTAGACTATCTGCCAGTCACAGACATGAAAGCACAAAATATGATATAAATGTATGTTCAAGGTACAGTGAAAAGTTGTGGCAGGGATAGGAGGTAGTAGAAAGAGGTATTGGGTGCCTCAGGTCATCCCTGAGGAGGTGTTAAAGGATGAACAGGTGTGTTCATATTGTGAACAAGAACGACATGCTTGCATTTCCTATGGAAAAAGTTAAGGCAGATAGCTTGTCATATTTTGAAAGCTTCAAATAGTTTAATATTGATGAAACATAAGGTATAAGTAGAAGATGAGATCACAGGAAATCAAGTTATTGAGGAAGGGAAGGTCCAGTCATGAAATACAGTATCTGCTATGCAGAAGAGCTTATATTTTGATCCATCAGGAGTTTTGTTGCCTATTTAAACAGGGTGACAGCGACTGTAGAGGATGATCATTTGGAGAATAGCAAGACTGGAATAAGAGACAAGGAAAAAGCATTTTGTATTATTGGGACAGGATACTACAAAAGCCCTAAAATAGATAGTGTCAATGGGAATGAAAACAAGAGAGTAGATTCAAGGGAGAATGAAATGTAGACAGGCCTTCAGGAATGATGAAGACCCGAGGGATTTTTTCCCCCGTCGTACAGAACTTCCCAATATTGCTTTAACAGTGAGAAAAAAAAAACACAAAAGAAGTTTCAGTAGAGCCACAGACAAATAGTTCTTTAGAACTCAAAGAGACCGGAGGAATTCTTGTGGTTTTCTGCATTTGTTAGGTTATTTTGGAGTGTATAGAGGGGAGAGAAATCATTTGAATTTAAGCTGTCTGTGGAACATACACATGCAAATACCTGTAAATCTGAAGCTTGGAGAAGTGGAGGTCTAACATGGCTGCAGATTAAGGTTTGGACATAATCAGCATAAGGAATGTCAGCTAGGATGAAGGCTGGGACACTATCTGTCTTTTTCACTACTATACCTGCATCCTGCACAAAGGAAAGACTCAACACATTTTTGCTAACTAAATAGTTTAAACACTGGAAATTGATGAGATTGCTTTAGAATGAAGGCTGAGGATGAGGAACTAACTCTAGAGGAAATTTGAACATGTTTATAGACTAAAAGGAGGAAGAAATTGCAGAGCAGGGTAGGTGATAATTGGCAGAGCAGGGATAATCCCCCTTACTGGGCAAACAGAAACTGGGAAAACCTTCAGCCACAGTGGGAGGTGAGTCCTGGGTAGCATATAGGAGCCAAAGACAGATAGCCAGCTAGATAATGTGTAGTGAAATCTCTAATCCAAAGGAGGGGAGCGAGGCAAAGAAGAAGTCCAGGTATGAAACCACTGGGGACATTGTGGACAATGGTTCAAAATGGATGTGGGAAGTCAAGTCTTCAGCACAGTGGAAGGATACTTTATCCAGTTTCTTCCACATAAGGTGAAGTCACGCCAAGGATCCTGAGATCCTCTGAGGCAGCTTCAGAGGAGACGGGTTAGAATCAAAGGCAAAGAAAGGGACTGAAATAAGAATGAATTAAGATAGATAGATAGATAGATAGATAGATAGAAGTAATAAGATGCTGTATGTGTGTGTTTCAGCAATAACAGCAGTGAAGTCAGGTTATTCTAATGCTTTTTTTTTTTTTTTTTTTTTTTTTACTTCTAGGCTTGTGAGAAGGTTGGCATGCAGATCCCTCGATTCTGTTATCATGAAAGGTTGTCTGTTGCTGGAAACTGCAGGATGTGCCTTGTTGAAATTGAGAAAGCCCCTAAGGTACTTGATACCTAAAATTCTACACCATGCTGTAGAAGGTAGAAAACTTTAAATCTTGCAGCAAACTTTATTTAGAATCAATATCGTAGTGGAGAACCTAGCCCTCTTTACTTCTATCTATAAATTTAATTCTTTTGTACAATTGATTCTCTTCATTTCAAAACTGGAAACACATAGATAGAAGTGCTTTACAAACACATGTCATATAATTGTAACATATCTAGAAATTAAAGGTGATTTATAGTTGTCAGTATTTCCAAATGGCTGTATAATATATAACCAGGATGTAGAGTTGCCAAGTAGCACATTAAAAGTGCTGACGCCCTGCCATTTTTAGTAGAGAAAAGGGTTGCAGGGAAGAAGTTCACTTTCAGTAGTTTAATTTCATTTTGGTGTATGCAATTTTTTTATTCAATAGTGCCTGCTAATCAAAGCAGTTATTTGGTGTTCTGTTTCAGAGCAGAATAAAAAATTGCATTGACTATTAGAATAAACCTAAAAACCAGGATGTTTTATTTCTGAGATAAATGCAAAGTACTAGATCATCGTATTATGAATATGAAAACTTAACAAAATTCAGTTTTAAAAAATACCCTATTCTTTGCCTGTTATCAAATGTATAATTTAATGTTTTTATATAATTTAACATTTTTATATATTGAGTTGCTTGTAATCACAAATAAATACAAATACACATTTTTTTTTTTCATTGAAATCCCAGGTTGTAGCTGCTTGTGCCATGCCAGTAATGAAGGGTTGGAATATCCTAACAAACTCAGAAAAATCCAAAAAAGCCAGGTACTTTATTGTTATTCAATGTAGTACCCTTTCATAAAGCAGAAAATTGCACATTTTGGTATTTAGACCTTCCCATAGATTAAGAATTTAATATCAAACTCGGAAGAAGTTGGTGTGCTCAGCTTCTAGGAGCAATAGAAGTGAGTACTACATAGTAGAGAAGGTGAAGTCAGGAGTTTATGGTATTGAGCTTTAGGATCAGCATTAAAAATCCTTCTTTAGTAACTTGCTCAACTTGTGAAGAAGGGTGAATCTGGACTTACTAAGCTACTACTATACTATACTGGGATTGATTGTGTTTGTTTTTATTTTGAATTAATGTGAATATTTTCTGAGGACCATTCAGCAACTTTTGATCATTCGGTATTGTTAAAAGTTACAATTTTCTTTATTTTTTGAAACGAGGTCTCACTATGTTGTCCAGGCTGGGCTTGAACTCCTGGCCTCAGGTGATCATCCTGCCTCAGCCTCCCTCCCATAGTTCTGGGATTACAGACGTGAGCCACCAAACCTGACCAAAAATCATAATTTTCTATGTTCTCTAATGATACTTTATTCTAGGCTCCTCTAAGCATTTTCCAGATTGTGTGTTTAATACTACCAGAATGATACTCGGGAGGATCACTTGAGCCCAGGAGCTCGAGTCCAGCCTGGGCAACATAGCAAGACCCCGTCTCTTAAAAAAAATATTACCACAATGATAGATAATTGGCATTTCTGATATTAAATGTAAAATTACTATTAATTGTATAACAAATATACATCTATGAAGGTTGTTTAAATGGCCTATATGTGGGCCTGGCACAGTGGCTCACGCCTGTAATTCTAGCACTTTGGGACGCCAGGGCGGGAGGATCACTTGAGGTCAGGAGTTCGAGACCAGCCTGACCAACATGATGAAACCCTGCCTCTACTAAAAATACAAAAATTAGCCAGGTGTGGTGGTGGGCATCTGTAATCCTAGATACTCGGGAGGCTGAGGCAAGAGAATCGCTTGAACCTGAGAGGTGGAGGCAGGAGGCTGCAGTGAGCCAAGATTGTGCCACTGCACTGCAGCCTGAGCAACAGAGCGAGACACCATCTCAAAAAAAAAAAATAAAGTCTATAGGTCATTTTGAGTGCCAGCAGTTAATGTCAGTGTGTGTGTATTTGAGAGTCATTTTATATGTTACAATTTTCATACAGGGAAGGTGTGATGGAGTTCTTATTAGCAAATCACCCATTGGACTGTCCTATTTGTGACCAGGGAGGTGAATGTGATCTGCAGGTATGTAGTAGAATTCTGTCAATCTTTTTGGTTGTCTCAGATTTTAATTTTATTAGCAGCATGAGATTGACTCTTTCATAATCTACTTAAGGACCAGTCCATGATGTTTGGAAATGATAGGAGCCGATTTTTAGAGGGGAAGCGTGCTGTGGAAGACAAGAACATTGGGCCATTGGTAAAGACCATCATGACAAGATGTATACAGTGTACTCGCTGCATCAGGTAACTTTTTTTCCTTTTTTTTCTATTATAGAATATAATTGTATACTTAATAGTCACAATTTGATGAATAATAACATTGGAAAGAATGGCTACTTTTTTTGGGTGGGAGAAGAGGGATGCTGTTTCTGATATATGAATAAAATAAGTTCACTTTCATTTAGTACCAACTTCAGGTGGATTTAAAAATTAAAATCTATAAGCATTTGCTTTCACTCATAACTTGGTGAGTTGTACACATATGATTTGTACAAGTTTCTGCCTGTGTGTTACACCTCAATTAAATGCAAACATTTCATTATTTTTTATTCTAGGACTGTGCTCACCTTTAAAAATATACTCATTTCTTTTTAGTGTTTGGAAAATCATCTCTTTGTGATCATGAATAAGAAAGGAAATAATTTTGCTGGACTTGACCATTGATGACACATTTTTTATCTTGTAGGTTTGCAAGTGAGATTGCAGGAGTAGATGATTTGGGAACAACAGGCAGAGGAAATGATATGCAAGTTGGCACATACATTGAAAAGATGTTCATGTCTGAACTGTCTGGGAATATCATTGATATCTGCCCTGTAGGTGCCCTAACCTCTAAGCCCTATGCCTTTACTGCCCGGCCTTGGGAAACAAGGTATCTTTTATTTTATGACAATTTGTTTTTTTGTCCTTAATTCATTACTATTCAAAAAAATATTAAGGTTCATTTTCTTCCTGGGTTTCAGTTGTTTTGGTCTGTTGACTTTGTTTGTTTATGTAAAACCCTTTAAATAGAAGGTAAGTAGTTAGAATGGATTGAACCTGTGCAAATTAACTGTAGTTTTCTTGGAAATTAATTCTAAAGTACTCAACCACAAAATTATTTTTTTCATGTGTTCTTCCAAAGAGTTTAATAGTGTTGACATTTTAAATGTATAGTCTCCCATGTTGTTGTTTATTAAGTTTTCAACTATGAGGAATGTCATTTAGCCAGTTTCTGCTAATAGACATTTAGCTTGTATATTTCTTTATGATTACAAATCTGTAAAAAATATTGCTGTTTACACATTTCTGTGTATATCTCTCATTCTCCTGATTAAACCAAGAAATGGAGTAGATAGATGCAAGAGGTGTGATTATTTTTAAGGTTCTTAAAACATAACAAATTATCATCCAATTTTAAACTTTATACTTTTCAACTTGGGATTTGGCTTTTTGTTTCTGTGTAATTTCTGTGTCCTTACTGAGAATCTCTACTTGCTGATTCGTGGTTGTCATACATCCCCTTCAATTTTTAAATATGATTTTCTTTGGTTCTTTCAACATATTTTAATATTCTTGGTTTTATTTTTAAGTGAGGCTTCTTAGGAGTTCCCCTGTGTCTGCATAGTTTAGTAGTCAGGTATAATTGTACTTCAAACACCGTGACCTAATAAGAGTTATGTTCTTTGCCAATGGATCTGTTTGTGGATGGAGGAGCATATTCAAAGTTGAGGCTGTTTTCAAGTTTGCCCAGCTATTACTTTGCACTGGGCCCTTTGGGTCTCAGAGTTATCCAGGAGTTTATGAATAGGTTGAGCTTTCTCTGGTTTCACCTGCACATGTAGCAGCCTCTGTTAGGAATGCTTGCCGCAATTACCACTACAAACTTAGGCTGGTAAAATCTTGGCTATCCTCAGCTACGATGACCTCCAAAGTATCACCTCCACAAACAAGTTTGCCTCGTGCTCCAAGTTAAGTGAGTTGTCTCCATCTGTACCAAAGAAGTTCTCATCTTCACAGCCTGCCCCGGCCTCGAAGAAATTCCATTTTGAGGGGGTGGAGAGGAGCATAGGAGGAGCACTGAGCCCAGCCACCAGTTTTTCAGTGCATAAAAGCTTCCCACATTGTATGTGTTTAGATTTCTAAACTGCTGAAATGGTGGGTTTTGTCATTTTTGGCCAGCTTTACTTTTGCTTTTCAGTGGGAAGGTTTTTTGAGCTCCTTAATCTCCCATAGACAGAAATCCTGCCCCTCTTGTTGAATCGTCCCAGATTTGGCTAGTTGGAGCCCCTTCAAACTAGCTTCTGTGTCAGATAATAGTTTTAAAGCCTTCCTTACTGTGCCAGGAATTTATGTGTTCAAATGTGGGTGTGCCGGGAGCAGTGGCTCACACCTATAATCCCAGCTTTTAGGAGGCCAAGGTGGGAGGATTGCTTGAGACCAGTAGTTCAAGACCAGCCTGGTCAGCATAATGAGACACCGGCTCTACAAAAAATTTTTAAAATGTGGTGAGAGGATAGTTTGAGCCCAGGAGTTCTAGGCTGCAGTGAATTATGATCATGCCACTGTAGCCTGGGCAACAGAGTGAGACCCCAGGGCAAAAAAAAAGGTGGGGGGTTCTTTTATTTAATTGCAGTTCCTCTAAGCTTCATTTTTTAAAGTAATTCAGAAAGGGAATTAATTGTAAAAAAAATTTTTTGGTAAACCAGGTAACAGAAACTTTCTTTATTCCCAAAAGCACCATAGTAAACACCGTATGTGTTTCTCAGAAAGACAGAATCCATTGATGTAATGGATGCGGTTGGAAGTAATATTGTGGTTAGCACAAGAACTGGAGAAGTGATGAGGATTTTGCCACGTATGCATGAGGACATCAATGAAGAGTGGATCTCTGATAAAACCAGGTATATGCTATATTGTTTTCCTTAACTTTTACAGTTTATTTAAAGGAAATTTTATAATAATTTTGAAGAATTATCTTTTATATTTGCAAATTAGTTACTGAATATAGACTACTGGAATCTGAGTTGCTTATATAATGTGATAATACTGACTTTAATAGTCCTAGGTCAATCCCTGGATATTGTATTTACTTTGAGAAAGATATTTTTTCCTCCCACATGGAGAAATTCAAGTAGATTGATACATTCTCAACTTATTTCAGTTTGTTCATTAGAGAAAAGAAGCTAGGCTGGGCGCAGTGACTCACACCTGTAATCCCAGCACTTTGGAAGGCCGAGGTGGGATGATTGCTTGAAAAAGAAGCTGAATAGAAGAGTTTGCACAATATAATTTTGATAAAATATTTAGAGATACTCATGCTTTGTAAATAAAAATGATTTGACTTTTTTAGCTGTCAGATTTTTTTGTGTTGTAATTTTAAGATTGTTCAGTTAGCTGAAAGTATAAGAAATCAAACTTTTTTTTGTATGATTTAAGGGAAGAAATCAAACTTTCAGATGGTATTTTAGTTTTAGGTGAAGTTCATAAAATCTATTAGTTCATCTCTAAAAATATCTGGAATAATTACTTGTATCTAGGTGTTTAGATATTTGACACTTTAACCAGTACTGTATTTAAATAACATTTCTTGTTGATTTAACTTGAAAATTATAGTTACTTCTTTAGCAAGATTCCACAATGGTGTAATTTCTGTTTTCTAGATTTGCCTATGATGGGCTAAAACGTCAAAGACTTACCGAGCCAATGGTCAGAAATGAAAAAGGGCTTTTAACCTATACTTCTTGGGAGGATGCGCTCTCTCGCGTAGCTGGAATGGTAAAATTTGAAATAAATAGTGTTAAATAGTGTTTGTGATTATCAAGAAACATCTTTGCCATGAAGGGGGGGATGTATATTTCTTCCCTTTTTTACTTTTACCAAGATTATGATTTAATCTCCTTCCATTTTACAGACATCTACTGAGGACATATGCTAGATATTATGCTATTAAGGGATATAAAGACCAGAGACACATCATTCCTGCATCCTACAATCTTGTAGTAGAGAAAGTTGCACAATTCAGCAATTATTATATGCAGCTATGAGTAATTATATAAGGAGTAATATGAGTGAGAGCACGTAGGAGGAATGCCTAACTAGGACAGGCATATCAAGATGCCTTCCTTGGAGGTTGCAGTGAGCCGAGATCGCACCACTGCACTCCAGTCTGGGTGACACAGCGAGACTCCATCTCAAAAAAAAAAAAAGCTGCCTTCCTACAGAAGGTGATTCTTAAAGAAGAATCTGAGAATGAATATAAGCTTGCCAGAGTACAAGTGGAGGGAATAGTTTTCTTGTTAGAGAAAGACAACATAAAGCACTAGAGGGAAAGGCAGATACTTCAGAGGAGGTCGCATTTAAGGTAACTATAGTTCCACTTCATTCTCCAGACCTCATTTTGAAGTGCCTTTGTTCCTAAATATAAAACAGCTTCCTTCTAAGTTGATGTTATTAGCTGTGGCCCCACATAACACCTCTGCAGCTTTTCACTTTTAGATTAATTAATAATTGTTGTACAACTTTTTTTGTGTTTTTGAGATGGAGTTTTGCTGTTGTCGCCCAGGCTGGAGTGCGGTGGCGCGATCTCGATCTCGGGTCACTGCAGCCTCTGCCTCCTTGGTTCAAGCAGTTCTCCTGCCTCATCCTCCCGAGCAGCTGGGGATACAGGCGTATGCCACCATGCCCAGCTGATTTTTGTATTATTAGTAGAGATGGGATTTCACCATGTTGGCTAGGCTGGTCTTAAAGTCCTGACTGCAGGTGATCCGCCCACTTCTGCCTCCCAAAGTACTGGGATTACAGGCATGAGCCAGTGTGCCTGGGCATGTTGTAAAACTTTTAATCAGAAGTCTGTTAACTTTTTTTGTACTTGAAAACAAGTACTGTTTTATTTTCTGAACATTTCATTGTGGTCTTTGCTGCGTGTAGGTTTCTTGGTGATGCCCTTTTCATCTGTTTCTAGTTGCAGAGTTTTCAAGGCAAAGATGTGGCAGCAATTGCAGGTGGCTTGGTGGATGCTGAAGCCCTGGTAGCTCTCAAAGATTTGCTTAATAGAGTGGACTCTGACACCTTATGCACTGAAGAGGTCTTCCCCACTGCAGGAGCTGGGTGAGAAATATGAAGCTAGGATCTAGGCTTTCCTTTCTTTTTTTAGTTACAAGTTATGTATAAAATGTGACAACCTGGATTCTCCAACATATCCCCCAGTTTATTTTCATATATAGACCAAGATCAAACCAGAAGTTGTAGGAAATAGAGGAATCCACTTATCACTAAGTATCTCAGGCACAGTGGCTCACGCCTGTAATCCCAGCACTCTGGGAGGCCAAGGCAGGCAGATCGCCTAAGTGCAGGAGTTTGAGACCAGCCTGGCCAACATGGCGAAACCCCGTCTCTACTAAAAATACAAAAAAATTAGCCAGACGTGGTGGTGTGCGCCTGTAATTCCAGCTACTTGGGAGGCTGAGGCAGGAGAATTGCTTGAACCTGGGAGGTGGAGGTTGCAGTGAGCCAGGATCACGCCACTGCATTCCAGCGTGGGAGACAGAGTGAGACTCTATCTGAGAAAAAAAATAAGTATCTGAAATGTTCATTTAATTTAGAAATACTTCATAAAATTTTTTGTTTGAGAAGGCAATGGGTTTGATGATAGGAGAATATTTCATGGATTCTCTGTATGTCTTAATTTTAAAGTAAATTTGCATTTTATATATTGTATTTCTAGCACAGATTTGCGTTCCAATTATCTTCTTAATACTACAATTGCTGGTGTGGAAGAGGCAGATGTTGTTCTTCTGGTTGGTACAAACCCACGTTTTGAGGCACCACTGTTTAATGCTAGAATTCGAAAGAGGTTGGTAATAGTATTTATTCAAGGTTTAAAAATATTTATGTAATTTTTTTGTTTTATATGTGAAAAATGGCATCTTCCTAATAGTGTTAGTGGTAGTGAGACTCCAAAAGATAACTGGAAGACAATTTTTTTTTTTTTTTTTGGTGGGACGGAGTCTCACTCTGTCACCCAGGCTGGAGTGCAGTGGCAGGATCTCGGCTCTGCAAGCTCCGCCTCGAGATGGGGTTTCACCATGTTAGCCAGGATGGTCTCGATTTCCTGACCTCGTGATCCGCCCGCCTCAGCCTCCCAAAGTGCTGGGATTTCAGGTGTGAGCCACTGCACCGAGCCTTTTTTTTTTTTTAATTTTTTTAATTTTTTAGATTTTTAAAAAATTATTTTTATTTTTATTTTTTATTTTTTTGTCTTTGAGACAGAGTCTCGCTTTGTCGCCCAGGCTGGATTGCAGTGGTGCGATCTCGGCTCACTTCAAGCTCCGCCTCCCGGGTTCACGCCATTCTCCTGCCTCAGCCTCCCGAGTAGCTGGGACTACAGGCGCCCGCCCCTGCACCCAGCTTATTTTTTGTATTTTTAGTAGAGACGGGGTTTCACCGTGGTCTCGATCTCCTGACCTTGTGATCCGCCCGCCTCAGCCTCCCAAAGTGCTGGGATTACAGGTGTGAGCCACCGCGCCCGGCCTTTTTAATTTTTTAGAGATGGAGCCTTGCCATGTTGCCAGGCTAGTCTCGAGCTCCTGGGTTCAGGCCATCCTCCCACCTTGGCCTCCCAAAGTACTGGGATTACAGGCATGAACTGCCACGCCCAGTTGCAACAATTTCTAATAGGTCCGTTTTCTCCTCTCCTTGCGAGTCTTTTAAATTTACTTTATTAGCTTTTTATTTTGAAATAATTCAAGATGCTTGAAATGGTCTTTGTATACCATTTTGTATATTGTTCACATAGATTAACTGATGTTAACATCTTGCCATATTTGTATTATGATTCTCAGTGTGTGTGTATATATATATATATATATATACACACTACATATATATGTGTGTGTGAATCTAATTTTCTGAATCATTTGGAAGTTTCTGGTGGACATGGTGCCCTTTTATACCTAAATTCTCAGCGTGGATTTCCTGAGAACAAGGAGCATTCTCTTAAATAATGAAGAAATTTAGGCTGGGCGTGGTGGCTCACGCTTGTAGTCCCAGTACTTTGGGAGGCTGAGGCAGGTGGATCACCTGAGGTCAGGAGTTTGAGACCAGCCTGACCAACATGGAGAAACCCATCTCTACTAAAAATACAAAATTAGCCGGGCATGGTGGCGCATGCCTGTAATCCCAGCTACTTGGGAGGCTGAGGCAGAAGAATCGCTTGAACCTGGGAAGCGAAGGTTGTGGTGAGCCAAGATCATGCCACTGTACTCCAGCCTGGGCAACAAGAGCAACACTCCATCTCAAAAAAAAGAAATTTAGTTTTTTTGGTTTCTGAGATCTCAGTTTCGGGTCACTGTATCCTCTGCCTCCTGGGTTCAAGCAATTCTCCTGCCTCAGCTGCCTGAGTAGCTGGGAATACAGGCATATGCCACCACGTCCAGCTAGTTTTTGTGTTAGGGGTCTTGCTCTGCCACACAGGCTAAGGTATATTAGCATGATCACACCTCACTGCAGCCTTGACCTCCTGGGCTCAAATGATGCTCCCACCACAACCTCCTGAGTAGCTGGGACTGCAGGCATGCACCACCATGCCCAGCTAATTTTTTAAAATACCTTTTGTAGAGACAGGATCTCCCTATGTTGCCCAGGCTGGTCTTGAACTCCTGAGCTCAAGTGTTCCTCCTGCCTTGGCCTCTGAAAGTGCTGGGAGTAATAGACATAAGCCACTGCATCCAGCCAGAAATTTAGTTTTGATACAATATTATTTCATAAGCCTACGTTTATATTTAAATTTCATTGATTTTTTTTTTCATAATTTCTTTTATAGCAATTTTTTTGTTTCCTCAGGATCCATTCTGGAGTCATACATTACAATTAGTTTCATGACTCTTCTGGTCCCTTTTTTGACTTTTTTTTTTTTTTTTTTTTAAGAACACAAGCCAGTTATTTTCTAGCATGCTTTCTGTCTTTTAAATTTACATCTTAGAGATTTATAAAGAGGGTAACCATATAGTTTATTGTCTAAACTACGGGAGTGAAAGAGGGAATTAATAATTACATCAGGATAACAGGGAAAAAAAAAAGCATTATCTCAGACAAACCAGACTATATAGTCATTGCACTTATGACTTTTTGGAGGAACTGGAGCCATAGTTCCCTGCTGTGGAGAATAAATGTCAATAACATGGTATATTTTCATGAATTATGAAAATGTTTAAATATCCTTAATGGATAATTAAGAGATAATTGACCCTGTCATGTAAATACTGCAAAATAAAAATTACAGATTAATTCTAAAATTAAAATTTTTTTAGGCCGGGCACAGTGGCTCATGCTTATAATCCCAGCACTCTGGGAGGCTGAGGCGGGTGGATCACCTGAGGTCAGGAGTTCAAGACCAGTCTGGCCAACATGGTGAAAGCCTGCCTTCTACTAAAAATACAAAAATTAGCTGGGCGTAGAGGCAGGTGCCTGTAATCCCAGCTACTCCGGAGGGTGAGGCAGGAAAATTGCTGGAACCCGGGAGGTGGAGCTTGCAGTGAGTCGAGATTGCGCCACAGCACTCCAGCCTGGGTGACAGAGTGAGACTCTCTCTCAAAAATAAATAAATTAATAAATAAATAACTTTTATAGCTGGCTTACTAGCATTTCTTTCTTTTTTTTTTTTTTAAATTTTTTATTTTGAGGTGGAGTTTTGCTCTTGTTACCCAGGCTGGAGTGCAGTGGCCCGATCTCAGCTCGCTGCAACCTCTACCTCCTGGGTTCAAGCGATTCTCCTGCCTCAGCCTCCCAAGTAGCTGGGACTACAGGCATGCGCTACCATGTCCAGCTAATACTGTATTTTTAGAAGAGATGGGGTTTCACCATGTTGGTCAGGCTGGTTTCAAACTCCTGACCTCAATTAATCCACCTGCCTTAGCCTCCTAAAGTGTTGGGATTTACAGGTGTGAGCCACTGCGCCTGGTCTGGATAGCATTTCTACACAGCAAATTAAATCACTGAATTGCCTTGGCATGCCTTTTTGCAACACTGTTTTGAAAGGTACGTAGTAAATCATATCTGTTAAATGTATTGTCTGTGCTTTTAACATTTTGTAATAGTAAATAGATGTATCACTTAGGATTGATGAGACCAGTAACTGCTTAGCTTAGTTATTTACTTCTTAAAATGTTGTTTTTATTTCAGCTGGCTGCATAATGACTTAAAAGTGGCCCTTATAGGCAGTCCAGTGGACCTCACTTACACATATGACCACCTGGGAGACTCCCCCAAAATTCTTCAAGACATTGCTTCGGGAAGCCATCCATTTAGCCAGGTGCTCTCAACTTATGTGTATCTACTCTTGTTGATTTTTAATTATTATTATTTAAACTTAACTGTTTTTGTAATAATCCTATGTAAGTGTTAAAACTTACACCAGGTTGGGCGCGGTGGCTCACGCCTGTAATCCCAGCACTTTGGGAGTCCGAGGCAGGTGGATCACCTGAGGTCAGGAGTTCAAGACCAGACTGGGCAACACGGTGAAACCCTGTCTCTACTAAAATACAAACCAAAGTTAGCGTGCGCCTGTAGTATCAGCTACTTGGGAGGCTGAAGCAGGAGAATTGCTTGAACCCAGGAGGCGGAGGTTGCAGTGAGCCAAGATTGTGCCACTGCACTCCAGCCTGGGCAACAGAGCGAGACTCTGTCCCACCCCCAAAAAAACTTACACCAATACAGAAAAGAACATGAGGAAGAAAGTAAAACATTACCTAAAATTCCACCACCCCAAAACAGGTATTGATAAAACATCATAATCTCTCCATTTATGTAGAGAGCAAAGCAAGATGGATGAATAGTCAAACAAAAATGAGATCATACTGTACATGCAGTTTTTATTTGCCAGAGTTTAATTTTCTTGAAATTATCTGAAAAGAAATCAAAGTAAACCTGAAAGAATTGCACTTTTAACTTCATTTAAATCTTTCTTTATTACAAAAGGAGTTATTCCTTAAAATTTTACCAGTCCTTCTATTTTTGTTTCTGAGGTACATGTTTTTTTCATTTGAGTTCTTTCTTTAATTCATTTTGTTGTTGGCTTTATTGTTTTGCTTTTCCCCAAAGGTGGCTCATGGTTGCCTGTATTCCTTGAGTTCTTGCTTGCTTGAGAATGTCTATTCCTGAAGAGACAGCTTGTCAGGATGTGAAATTCCAGGGTCAGACTTTTTTTTCCCCCCTTTCTGAGCTTTATAGACACTGCCTTTTGTTAGTGAAGAAGCATGTAAACTTTATTCCTCCGCCCCGCCCCAAACCCTGTCCTGATTATCTTTTTTTTTCTTTTTCCTTGGCGGGGAGACGAAGTCTCGCTCTGTCACCCAGGCTGGAGTGCAGTGGCACGATCTTGGCTCATTGCAACCTCTGCCTCCCGGGTTCATTCTCCTGCCTTAGCCTCCCGAGTAGCTGGGACTACAGGCACGCACCACCACACCTGGCTAATTTTTGTATTTTTAGTAGAGACGGGGTTTCACCATATTGGCCAGGCTGGTCTCCAACTCCTGACTTTGTGGTCCACTCGCCTTGGCCTCCCAAAGTGCTGGGATTCTGATTATCATTCTTGAAATTCAGTAACTTCACCAAAATATGTCTTAAAGGTGAAGACATCACTATAAGACTATAGGACAGAATGTACTTTCAGTCTAAAGATACAAGGTTCTCTTTATTTTAGAATATATGTGTGGTGGTGGAGGTGATTAAAAAACTAAGGAGTTGGCCGGGCATGGTGGCTCACATCTGTAATCCCAGCACTTTGGGAGGCTGAGGTGGGTGGATCACCTGAGGTCGGGAGTTTGAGACCAGCCTGACCAACATGGAGAAACTCCGTCTCTATTAAAAATACATAATTAGCTGGGCATGGTGGTGCATGCATAATCCCAGCTACTCAGGAGGCTGAGGCAGGAGAATCGCTTGAACCTGAGAGGTGGAGGTTGTGGTGAGCCAAGATTGCACCATTGCACTCCAGCCTGGGCAACAGGAGTGAAACCCTGTCTCAAAAAAAAAAGAAAAAAAGAAAGAAACTAAGGAATTTCCGGCCAGGTGCAGTGGCTCACACCTGTAATCCCAGCACTTTGGGAGGCCAAGGTGTATGGATCACCTGAGGTCAGGAGTTCGAGACCAGCCTGGCCAACATGGTTAAACCCCGTCTCTACTAAAAATACAAAAATTAGCTGGGTATGGTGATGGGCACCTGTAATCCCAGCTACTCGGGAGCCTGAGGGTGGAGAATCGCTTGAACCCAGAAGACGGAGGTTGCAGTGAGCTCAGATCATGCCACTGCACTCCAGCCTGGGCGACAGAGCGAGACTCCATCTCAAAAAAAAAAAAACAAAAAAAAAACCAACAACTAAAAACTAAGGAGTTTCTGTTTGTCACACAAGGGGGTCTGGAGGTAGGCACATTGAAAGCTGATGCAGGCTGGGTGCGGTGGCTCATGCCTGTAATTCCAGTACTTTGGGAGGCTGAGGCGGGCGGATCACAAGGTCAGGAGTTTGAGACCAGCCTGACCACCATGGTGAAACCCCGCTTCTGCTTAAAAAAAAAAAAATACAAAAATTAGCCGGTTGTAGTGGCC
Organism: Homo sapiens; assembly: GCF_000001405.40. Lineage (NCBI taxonomy): Eukaryota > Metazoa > Chordata > Mammalia > Primates > Hominidae > Homo > Homo sapiens. Next base: position 206,136,192 of record NC_000002.12, on the reverse strand, counting down.
TGTAATCCCAGCTACTTGAGAGGCTGGGGCAAGAGAATCACTTGAACCCAGGAGGCAGAGGTTGCAGTGAGCTGAGATTGCGCCATTGGACTCCAGCCTGGGTGACAGAGTGAGACTCCATCTCAAAAAAACAAAAAGAAGAAAGAAAAAAAAAAAAAAGCTGATGCAGTTGTCCAAGCATATCATCAAAGAGAGCCTGCCTTCCTGCTTTGCTGTCGTCAGTGCATTTGCTTGCTCACATGTGATTGTGTGTGTCCTTCTCCTTGTGGTTCCAAGATGGTTGCTTCACTTACAGTCTCAGGTGTAGGGAAGAAGGTGATGTGCAAGAGGATGAAGTAGCAAAGCACAACTTGTTTATTTTGAATAGAAAAAAAATTATGATTAAAAGATCAAAAATATTAAAAAATATTCCGTGAAAAGTCTTCCTTTCTCCTCTCTAATTCCCATCCCCATGTGATAGGTGACTACTATTTTGAGAGAACGTTTCCTTTTCTTTTTTTCTTTTTTCTTTTTTTTTTGAGACAGAGTCTTGCTGTGTCCCCAGGCTGGAGTGCAGTACGGTGGCATGATCTCGGCTCACTGCAACCTCAGTCTGCCAGGTTCAAGCGATTCTTGCCTCAGCCTCCCGAGTACCTGGGACTACAGGCGCACGCCACCATGCCCAGCTAATTTTTTTATTTTTAGTAGAGACAGGGTTTCACCATGTTGGCCAGGATGGTCTCAATCTCCTGACCTCGTGATCTGCCCGTGTCGGCCTCCCAAAGTACTGGGATTACAGGCGTGAGCCACTGTGCCTGGCCTGAGAACGTTTTGTTCTATAATAGATTTAAATACATTTTTCATTAATTCTGTTACCTTCATTAAGAACTCTTGATGTGGTGGCTCACACCTGTAATCCCAGCACTTTGGGAAGCCAATGCAGGCAAATCACCTGAGGTCAGGAGCAAGACCAGCCTGGGCAAAATGGTGAAACCCTATCTCTACTAAAAAATACAAAAAAACCCCAATTTGCTTGGCATGGTGGCGTGTGCCAGTAATCTCAGCTACTTGGGAGGCTGAGGCAAGATAATAGCTTGAACCTGGGAGGTGGAGGTCACAGTGAGCCGAGATCATGCCACTGCACTCCAGCCTGGGCAACAGAGTAAGACCCTGTCTCAAAAGAAAAAAAAACAACTCTTGACAATGCAGTTGTCGAATCTTCTTTTCTATATATGTATTTTTAAGGTCTCACTATGTTGCCCAGGCTGCAGTGCAATGGCAGAATTGTAGCTGACTGTAGCCTCAAACTCCTGGGCTTAAGCAGTCCTCCCACCTAAGCCTCCCCTGTAGCTGGGTCTGCAGGCATACACCACCATGCCCAGCTAATTTTTATATTTTTTTGTATAGATGGGGCTCATTGTGATGCCCAGTCTGGCCTCAAACTCCTGGCCTCAAGCAATTCTCCCACCTCAGCCTTCTAAAGTGTTGGGATTACAAGCATGAGCCAACCTTGCCTGGTTTTTCATATCTGTGTTTTTTTCCTTTTTCCATTTGTTTTGTATCCTGTACCCTGTCTTTCCTGTCCTTGTATTTAATCATGTTTTCTTTCTTTTCTGTCTTTTTTTTTTGTTTTTGAGATGGTCTGGCTCTGTCACCCATGCTGGAGTGCAATGGTGCTGTCTTGGCTCACTGCAGCCACCACTGGGACCACAGGTGCACACCACCATGCCTGGCCAATTTTTTGTAGAGACGAGGTTTTGCCACGTTGCCCAGGCTGTACTTGAACCTGTGGGCTCAAGTCATCCACCCACTTCGGCCTCCCAGAGTGTTGCGATTACAGGCCTGAGCCACTGCACCTGGCCTGTTTAGTTTTTTATTGTTTCTGGAATGGTATTTATTACTTGTTTGTCTTCCAGTTCTATCCTGAATTCAATGATGAAAATCTCCTTACTATATAATACTCTACAGTGTTGCTTCTTTGAGTTTTTAAGTGAGAAAGAGTGTGTTATTTTTCATTGTCTTTGAGACTATTAAAAACTATTTCTCTCAACTATTCACATTTCCTTGGCAAATTCCTCTTGTGATTAATGTATTCCTCTTTATAATATATCAGCATAATTTCCATGCTGATTCTTTGATTGTGGCCAGCTATTTATTGAAGAATGACACAAAGGATGGGTGGGAGAATGAGACGTGTATTCTATAACTTTACACGTTTTGTTTTGTTTTGTTTTTGAGACAGAGTCTCACTCTGTTGCCCAGACGGAGTGCAGTGGCACAATCTTGGCCCACTGCAACCTCCGCCTCCCAGGTTCAAGCAATTCTCGTGCCTCAGCCTCCTGTGTAGCTGGGGCTACAGGTACATAACACCGCACCTGGTTAATTTTTTTGTATTTTTAGTAGAGACGGGGTTTCGCCGTGTTGGCCAGGCTGGTCTCGAACTCCTGTCCTCAAGTGATCCACCCACCTCAGCCTCCCAAAGTGTTGGGATTACAGGCGTGAGCCACCGTGCCCAGCCTATAACTTTACATCTTATTTGCCCATCTTCTGTGAAATTTGTAGTTTCCTTTACTCTTGGGATGCATTCTCCTAGTTTTTGTCATTTAGAGTTACTATGGTTTAAAACAAAGCCTTAAAATTGTAGGTATTTAACATTGTGATCTGGTGATCATTGCTTTCCCTGCCTCCTCCTCCCTATCTGTGGCATGGTAAGTAGATGGAAGATAGTAGGCATGATACTTAAGCATAGTTTTTCCTATTCTTTAATTAACATCTGAATCTCTGGAGAGAAGTTCCCCAATTTTTCTGGGACCTGCCCATAGTTATTCTGACCACAGGATAATTTGCTAGGCTTTTTATTCTGAATAATTACTTTTAGAAAACGTGTTTTAGCTGATACTCAGGCATATTTCACAGTAGCATTGGCAAGATGCTTTGGATTAAACTAAATCTGGTTGTATATGTGTGTCTGTATGTTGGGCTAACAAATTGAAGACATTCATGTTACACCTAAGACTTGGGACAACCTATATTATAGAGGCAAATATGGTTTGGTGTTCAGCTTACTTGTAATATTTTAAAATCAAAGTTGTTTTTTTTTTTAAATAGGTCCTAAAGGAAGCTAAAAAACCAATGGTGGTTTTAGGCAGTTCTGCACTCCAAAGAAATGATGGAGCAGCAATTCTTGCAGCTGTTTCTAGCATTGCACAAAAGATTCGGATGACTAGTGGTGTTACTGGTGATTGGAAAGTTATGAATATCCTTCATAGGTTTGTTGAGTAATTGCTTTATATACTATAAATTCAAGTAATGTTGTGTATATGTATGTGTTCCTGATACACTGTTAAATTTAATTTACAAACAACATTTAGCAACATTATCCCAGTTACACATGTGAAATATAGACCTTTACTCTGTGTGAGAAGAGCCCGAGATGATAAGGAATATTTAAAATATTTGAAATAACAGTGAGTGTTGAGAAAAAAAGTGAAGTACTATAAAAATTGTTATATTAGTTACACCTTGGTTCAAAAATTGCAACAAGTTCTTTAATTAAATGATAAAAATGTAAGCTAATATGAGAATTCAGCTAAAGGATTTCTTTCTTTCTTTTTTTTTCTTTTTAATTATTTGGCTTTTTGTTTTGAGACAGGGTCTCAGTACAGTGGCATGATCATAGTCCACTGCAGCCCTGACTTCCTGAGCTCCAGCGATCCTCCCACCCCTGCCTCCCAAGTATTAAATGGCTGAAGCTACAGGCGCATGCCACATGCCCAGCTAATTTTTTGTTTTTGTAGAGATAAAGTCTCACTATGTTGCCCAGGTTGATCTCAAACTCCTGGGCTCAGGCGATACTTCTGCCTCAGCCTCCCAAACTGCTGGGATTATAAGCGTGAGCCACTGCACCTAGCCTTTATTTCAAACCATATCAATAATGCAGGTTTAATTTAGGTAAGTTGAAAAGAGACAGATATGTGCAGAAATGGAACTGATCCTTATTCTACAATGTGTAGATAATTATTACTATTTTCATGCATTTTCTTCTAGTTTTTTTCTTTACCCTGCGTAATATTTTATTTTATTTTTTTGAGACCAGAGTCTCACTCTGTTGCCCAATCTGAAGTACAGTGGCATGATCTTGGCTTACTGCAGCCTCCCCCTCCCAGGTTCAAGCGATCCTCCTGCCTCAGCCTCCCAAGTAAGCTGGGACTATTGGCATGTGCCACCACACCTGGCTAATTTTTTTATTTTATTATTATTATTATTATTATTTTTGAGATGAAGTATTGCTCTGTCACCCAGGCTGGAGCACAGTGGCACGATCTCGGCTCACTGCAACCTCCATCCCTGAAGTTCAAGCAATTCTCCTGCCTCAGCCTCCTGAGTAGCTGGGACTACAGGCGCGTGCCACTATGCCAGGCTAATTTTTTGTATTTTTAGTAGAGACTGGGTTTCACCGTGTTAGCCAGGATGGTCTCGATCTCCTGACCTCAGGCGATCTGCCCACCTCAGCCTTCCAAAGTGCTGGGATTACAGGTGTGAGCCACCACGCCCGGCCTAATTTTTTTGTTTTTAGTAGAGATGGGATTTCACCATGTTCGCCAGGCTGGTCTCAAACTCCTGACCTCAGGTGATCTGCCACCCTCGGCCTCCCAAAGTGCTGGGATTACAGATACGAGCCACTTCACCTCACAGCTGTGTAATATTTTTTAGTTACATAGGTGAAATTATACTGTGAATACAATTTTGTGTCCTGGTTTCAATAGGTTTTCATTGCCAAATGAGAATTTCCTACTATGGTCAGAAATTTTTTTCTAGAAATTGTTTGTAAATAAAAATGTTAATGGCTAATTGATATCATGAATATACTATAAATTTTTTTAGCCATTTTCTTCTTTTTAACATGTATGTTGATGGTAGTTTTTAACTTCTTAAATAATACAGTGATTCACAGATACCTTTGCACTTGAAATTATCTTCTTAGGATATATTTCTAAAAGTAGAACTATTGGGGCACACAGGATAACCATTTCTGAGCCTTTCGAAGCATGCTTCCAACTTGTTTTAGGTCCTCAGAATGGCTACTATTTCTAGATAGTTAACAAATACCAAGCTAAACCAAAACAACAACCCTGCTATTCAAAGTATATTTATTCCAGACCTCTTCTTTAAAAGATTATTTTGTGCTTATAAGAGTAATATATATTCGTAGAAAAAATTTCTATAAGGTTTTGGTTTTCTCATTATGGTTTTTGCTGAATTACAGTTTAATGAGTGGTTTTCAATTTCTCCCTTTTCATTTTTGAAATAATCTGATTTTTCTTCTTTGAATATATATGACTTATCATGTTTTATGTCTTACTTTATTGAATAAGAATCAGACTTAAAGCAATTACAGTTGGCATAAAATTTCTAGAATTATTTCATTCAATACTATGTCATGGAGAGACAGAGCGTCCTAAGAATCTGACATTTCTTTGGTTGCCATTCTCAAAACAGTAAAAGACTGCTGTTTCTGGTTTTAGCATCTATTTTAAATGGGTAAGAATGGGATTTTTTGGCCAGGTGTGGTGGCTCACACCCGTAATCCCAGCACTTTGGGAGGCCAAGACAGGTGGATCACCTGAGGTCAAGAGTTCAAGACCAGCCTGGCCAACATGGTGAAACCCCATCTCTACTGAAAATACAAAAATTAGCCGGGTGTGGTGGCATGTGCCTGTAGTCCCAGCTACTTGGGAGGCTGAAGAAGGAGAATCGCTTGAATCCAGGAGGCAGAGGTTACAGTGAGCCGAGATCACGCCACTGCGCTCCAGCCTGGGCGACAAAGTGAGACTCTATCGCCGAGAAAAAAATAAAATAAAATAAAATGGGTTTTTTGACATTGTTGAAAGGAAATTATTCCAAAAATCACATTTAATTTTTTACATTGAAAATACTGCAGTTATGGTAAAATTCCATAATTGCTTTGCAGGATTGCAAGTCAAGTAGCTGCTTTGGACCTTGGCTATAAGCCTGGGGTGGAAGCAATTCGGAAGAACCCTCCCAAGGTGCTGTTTCTCCTGGGAGCAGATGGAGGTTGTATCACACGACAGGATTTGCCAAAGGATTGTTTCATTATTTATCAAGGTAAGTATCACCTGTGACACCAGAAACAAAAGAGAGTAGTACATTATGTATGTTAGAAACCATTTAGTAATATATTTAGTGAACTGAATGTTTTCCATTTGAGAATTTTGCCTCCCCCACTCCTCCTCCTTTTTTTTTAAACAAACCACAAGTGTTATTAGTTACATAATTGATACTGCTTTTAAGAATTATTACCTGCCGGGTGCGGTGGCTCACACCTGTAATCCCAGCACTTTGGGAGGCCAGTGCGGGTGGATCACCTGAGGTCAGGAGTTCAAGACCAGCCTGACCAACATGGTAAAACCCTGTCTGTACTAAAAACATAAAAATTAGCCGAGCGTGGTGGCGGGCGCCTGTAATCCCAGCTACTCGGGAGGCTAAGACAGGAGAATCACTTGAACCTGGGAGGCAGAGGTTGCAGTGAGCCAAGATCATGCCATTGTACTCCAGCCTAGGCAATAAGAGTGACATTCCCTCTCAAAAAAAAAAAAAAAGTTAAACCAAAATATATGAACTAAATCCTGTTCCTTGGGTGCCGTGGCTCATGCTGTAATCCCACCACTTTGAGAGGCTGAGGCAGGAGGATTTGTTGAGCCTAGGAGTTCTAGACCAGTCTGGGCAACATAGGGAGACCCTGTTTCTACAAAAAATTTAAAAATTAGCTAGGCGTGTTGCTGCATGTCTGTGATCCCAGCTACTTAGGAGGCTGAGGTGGGAGGATCACTTGAGTTCAGGAGTTTGAGGCTGCAATGAGCCATGATCACGTCACTGCACTCCAGCCTGGGTGACAGAGCAATAAAAAATGTTATTTTTAATAAAATTAAAAACAAAATAAACTAAAATCCTGTTTTTAGTCCTTTAAGAAATAATCATTGTTGAGTTTTGATATGCGTACTTCATAACATCTTCATACGCATATACAAATGTGCACAAATTATATTAAACTATATATTATTCTACGATTTTCTTACACTTGATTCAGATGTTTCTAAAGGTCTTCTTTTCTGAATAACTTTTTTCTTCTGCCAGTTGTTATTAATGGGTGGCAGTGTTTCCAAATTTTTCTGTAGTTTTTCGTTTATGCCTTTTTCAGTATTACTGTCATATTCCTGTCTTTGCATCCTCCCCCATTTCAGTCTACTTTACCAAATTTCACAAACTGGTACATCTGAGCAGTTCTACTTTGTAAGCATCAGTATACTTACTTGGCTATTTTATATGTGTGTATTATATTATACATATTTGTATTTGCATAAAATAGTCTGAGAAGATACTTTTTTTTCTTTAAAAAAAAAATTTTTTTTTTTGAGATAGAGTCTCACTCTGTCACCCAGGCTGGAGTGCAGTGGTGTGATCTCGGCTCACTGCAGCCCCAGCCTCACGGGTTCAAACGATTCTCATGCCTCAGCCCTCTTGAGTAGCTGGGATTACAGGCACACACCACCACATTGGGCTAATTTTTTTGTATTTTTAGTAGAGATGCAGTTTTGCCATGTTGGCCAGGCTGGACACAAACTCCTGGCCTCAAGTCATCTGTCCACCTTGGCCTCCCAAAGTGCTGGGATCACAGGCATGAGCCACCACACCTGGCCCCCAAATGCTTTAACAATAATTTTCTTTGGGGCCGGGCGCGGTGGCTCATGCCTGTAATCCCAGCACTTTGGGAGGCTGAGGCGGGTGGATCACAAGGTCAGGAGATCAAGACCATCCTGGCTAAACACGGTGAAACCCTGTCTCTACTAAAAATACAAAAAATTAGCTGAGTGTGGTGGCAGGCACCTGTAGTCCCAGCTACTTGGGAGGCTGAGACAGAAGAATGGCATGAACCCAGGAGGCAGAGCTTGCTGTGAGCCAAGATTGCACCACTGCACTCCAGCCTGGGCGACAGAGCGAGACTCCATCTCAAAAAAATAATAATAATTTTCTTTGGGAAGGGAGTTGAATTAGGGTTGAGGTGGGCTTTAATTTTTATTACTTCACTACTGTTTCATTTTAGTTTTAAAAACTTTTGTGACTTTACAAAATGGGATTTAAAATGATATATACTATCTTCATGTACAGTAGAAAATCAGTTTTTAATAAAATTTTGGTTTACCATTTTCCATCTTTGTGCAGGACATCATGGTGATGTTGGGGCTCCCATAGCTGATGTTATTCTCCCAGGAGCTGCTTACACAGAGAAGTCTGCTACATATGTCAACACTGAGGGTAGAGCTCAGCAGACTAAGGTAGCAGTGACACCTCCTGGCTTGGCAAGAGAAGACTGGAAAATTATAAGAGCACTCTCTGAGGTATAATTTCTGAGTCATTTCTTAGTGATGCTACTAAAGGCATATTTGATATTTTAGCCTGTTAGAATGATTTTCAAAGTCAAGGAAGATGCCAGTCTGAAATGCAGAGATGATTTGAATAATTTCTATAGAAAACATGTATTCAGAAACAGGAATTCAAGGTTACAGTGAGCTCTCATTGCACCGCTGCACTCCAGCCTGAGGGACAGAGCAAGACCCTGTCTCTTAAAAAATAAAGGAACTTGAAATTGGTGCTTTTATTTTATTTTATTTATTTTTGAGACAGAGTTTTTCTCTGTTGCCCAGGCTGGAGTGCAGTGGCGTGATCTCAGCTTACTGCAACCTCCACCTCCCGGGCGCAAGCTTCCTGAGTAACTGGGATTACACGCATGTACCACCAAGCCTGGCTAATTTTTATATTTTTAGTAGAGATGGGGTTTCGCCATGTTGGCCAGGCTGGTCTTGAACTCCTGGGCCTCAAGCAGTCCTCCCACCTCGGTCTCCCGAAGTGCTGGGATTACAGGTGTGAGCCACTGCACCTGGCCTGAAATTGGTGCTTTTATTGTTGAAAATTGTTGACTTGTCTTTTGCCTGAAAATACATCTGTTAGCTCTTTATTGATGTAAAAGTAAGCATCCTGACTTTTAAAATAATAACACATTGTAAACTTTATGTATTTTAATAACAGGTTAGCAAAAACATTTGGATTTAGCATAGTATTGTCTCTTCATTTCATAGAGTCACTAATGTACTGACAGCTGTGAATGAATTAGAATTTTTGATATTTGTGTTCCCTGCTTAACTGCTTCCTTCATAAATGTATGTCTACTAATGGACACCAATAGGTTTTTCAGTAGTGCTGCATTATTTCACCATAGTTACAATTATCTATTATTTGATATTTTTAAGTATTAAAGCTTTTTGTTGTTTTTGGGGACCTGACATGTTGTAGATTGCTGGAATGACTCTTCCATATGATACTCTGGATCAAGTAAGGAACAGATTGGAAGAAGTCTCTCCTAATCTTGTTCGATATGATGATATTGAAGGGGCTAATTACTTCCAGCAAGCAAATGAGCTCTCAAAGGTAACAGCTCGCCTATGAGCAGTTTTCATAATGTTGTATCTACTGGTGTAACAGTACTAGTTTTCCATATTATTGTTGATCTCTTCTTTTTTGTGCAGCTAGTGAACCAGCAGCTTCTTGCTGACCCACTTGTTCCACCTCAGCTAACTATAAAAGACTTCTACATGACAGGTATGTAATTGTCAACATGACTCTGCCAAATACGAAAGGTAAGAAGTAATCAGATCACCTCATTTGGTGTTATAATTCCAATTTGTGATTGATAGTGTTTGCAATTCTTAATCTTTGAAGGTTTTCAAACATTGGAACTAACGTAAGCATATTTTCTGATTCTACTCTAGTTTTTTTGTTTCTGAAATGTAAGCAAAGTTTGAAAATCCAAGCAATTAATAGATTTTAAATATAAAATTTTGCTGTTGTAAGGAAAGTCACTGTGTAGCAATTTATGGTGAATTTTCCAAAGTGGCAAATAACTGCAGGTTTTTCTGAGAATTATAGGTGGAAGAATCAAAACATTTAAATGTGAAACATGTTAAACAGTGCTTCTGATGTAAATTGTTAGGAATGTTTTTAAGGAATGCAGACAAACTGAAACTTGTTTATTGCAGATTCTTAGAACAGTTGATACAACATCTAGGTTATGAGGTAGTTAATAGTTGATAGATTATTTTGACTAATTTTCTATCTAAAAGCACATAGAACTCTTAATTTTTTTATATAGTTTGTATCTAAGATTTTTTAAATAAGTATTTTAGTTAGATAATAAAGATTACCTTCATTGTAAAATAATACCTATGCTCAAAAGCACAACAAAAAATCACTTCTATGGTATTTATCTGCGAACTTATGAACACAAAGAAGGAAACAACAGACACTGTAGTCTACTTGAGAGTGGAGAGTGGGAGGAGGGAGAGGTGCAGAAAAGATAAGTCTTGGGTACTGGGCTTAATTCCTCGGTGATGAAGTATTCTGTACAACAAATCCCTGTGACATGAGTTTACTGGTGTAAAAAGCCTTCACATGTACCCCTGAACCTAAAAGTTTTTTTTTTTTTAAAAAAAGAAAAATCACTACCCTCCCACTATCAAGAAATAACTATAATTATTTTTAACATTTTAGTCACTCTTCCTCCAGGGACATACATATGCATTATACACATATATATTATATTAATTAACTATTGTTATTTATATGTAATTATTACTGTTTACATGTACGTGTGTGTGTGTGTGTGTGTGTATAATTTTTGAGATGAGATTTTACTCTGTCACCCAGGCTGAAGTGCAGTGGCACAATCTTGGCTTGCTGCAACCTCTGCCTCCTGAGCTGAAGTGATCCTCCCACCTCAGCCTCCTCGGTAGCTAGGACTATAGGCGCATACCACCACATCCAGCTAATTTTTGTATTTTTTGTAGAGATGGGGTTTCGCCATGTTACCCAGGCAGATCTCAAACTCCTGGACTCAAGCAGTCCACCCACCTCAGCCTCCCAAAGTGCTGGGACTACAGATGTGAGCCACCACCCCTGGCCTATATATTTTTTAGTGAAACAGAAGGTGAGATTAGGCCTGGTGCAGTGGCTCATGCCTGTAATTCCAGCATTTTGGGAGGCTGAGGGGGGCAGATGGCTTGAATCCAGGAGTTTCAGACCAGCCTGGGCAACATAGTCAGATCTGGTCTCTTTAAAAAAAAAAAAGTGAGATTATTCACTTGGGGGTTGATAGCTTTATTGAAATATAATTCATGTACCCTAAAATTTACTCATGAAGTGGACAATTCAATGTATTTTAGTACATATGCTGTTTTGTAACCTTTTTCAATAATAGTATTGTACACATTTTTCCTATATTTATTTATTTATTTATTTTTTTGAGACAAGAGTCTTGCTCTGTCGCCCAGGCTAGATTGCAGTGGTGTGATCTCGGCTCACTGCAAGCTCCGCCTCCTAGGTTCACACGATTCTCCTGCCTCAGACTCCCGAGTAGCTGGGACTACAGGCATATGCCACAACACCTGGCTAATTTTTTGTATTTTTAGTAGAGATGGGGTTTCACTGTGTTAGCCAGGATGGTCTCAATCTCCTGACCTCGTGATCCACCTGCCTCGGCCTCCCAAAGTGCTGGGATTACAGGTGTGAGCCACCGCGCCTGGCCTTTCCTATGTTTTTAATACTTTTCTATAATTTTTTAATGGCTGCATACTGGTGCACTGTCTAGCTGCTCTATAGTTATTTGATTGTTTCCAGGGATAGTTATTGAAAGCATGTGGCCAGTAAGGGGTTTATCGTTGGAATCTGTTGGTTACATATAATTATATATACTTGCATAGGGCCTTATAATCTTTTTTCCTCCTGAATATGTGCACCATTAAAGTTTTAGTATGTGCTTTTTAAAAAGTTGTATTATCAAAATGACATTTTCTTAATATCTTTCAGATTCAATTAGCAGAGCCTCACAGACAATGGCCAAATGTGTCAAAGCTGTCACAGAGGGTGCCCAGGCAGTAGAGGAACCATCCATATGCTGAAGCTTCTACTAGGATCCCAGTTTTGCCGCAGATAATTAATGGACAACTGTAGTGCAGTGATCCTTTACAGGTTTATTTCTTTGTAAAAAAAAATAATAATAATTTGAATCATGTAATATTTAAGGTTATACTATGCCTATTTGAAAATGATATTAGTTATCAACTTTGCAGTTTGAAAAACATGTATTGTGTGTAAAGGTTAAATAACAAAACTATGCAGATGCTCTTAAAAGCATTGATAACCTTTGTGACGAACATAAAGAGATCCTTAAATTATGAGTTGTTGGCTTATCTTCATAAATAATTTGTCTGTAAAATGGATGAAATGAAAAGAGGTTCAATTAAAACCTACTTTTTTCTAGTGCTAAAGAAAAGATTTAAGCACCTTGTCAAGCTGGGTAAATAGGAAAAATACATAATCATGCTCAGATATGTATCTAGGATAATTATAATTAATAATAATCATAGTAACAATGGCTAATGATAATTTAGCTTTATTATATGTGCTAAGCACTCTGGTTTTACATGCATTATCTTCTTTTGTTCTTGCTACAACCCTGTGAGATAGTAGTATTATCTCATTTTACTGATGAAGACTGAAGCCTAGGTATATTAAATAGCTTGCCCAAGGCCACACAGCAAAAGTCACCAACTCAAACCTACTTCTTATTTACTCCAAAGCCTGTTGTTCTTAACTGCAACATATTATTTCGTCTCATTAATGTTGATTCTATAGGTTGTTACTTCTAAAAATTAGTATTGAGTTTAATGGTGAACACATTTTTCTATTTTCTCTTGAATCTGCTTCTATAATGTCATGGTGATTTATGTGGCTTTTTTTTTTTTATAAGTTATACATGTATGCATGTATACTTATGAGACCTCCCTTGGAATGAGGGAGGTCTCAAGAGATATAATTTAGATTCTCATTGATGTTCTGTATTCATTATCCTAACACCATCTGTAGTGTTAAATCAACTAAATTATTTCAGCAATAGGAGACAAAACAACCAGCTTTCATAATTTTTAATTGTCAAAACCAAAAGGAATCAGAATAAGGATCACTGAGAATTTAAAAAAATAAAAAAGGAAGTAAAAATTTTACAATTAGGAGATAATTAAAAATAGATAATTTTTTTTTTTAATCTAAGGTTGGGTGTGGTGGCTTACACCTGTAATCCCAACACTTGGGGGGCCAAGGTGGGTGGATCGCTTGAGCCCAGGCAGTTGGAGACCAGTCTGGGCAACATGGTGAAACCCCATCTCTACAAAAAATACAAAAATTAGCTGGGTGTGGTGGTGTACACCTATAGTCCCAGCTACTCGGAAGGCTGAGGTGGGAGGATCACCTGACCCAGGAGGTTGAGGCTGCAGTGAGCCGTGATTGCGCCACTGCATTCCAGCCTGGGCAACAGAGCAAGACTTTGTTTCAAACAAACAAACAAAACTATGTTCACAATTTATTTGTTTTGTAATCCTTATTCTTTTCTGCTTTCACTAAAGACTCAGCCCAAGTATAGGATGCCCTTTTTCCCTTTGTTTTTTTTTTTTTTTTGAGATGGAGTCTTACTCTGTCACCCAAGGCTGGAATGCAGTGGCATGATCTTGGCTCACTGCAATCACCACCTCCCTGATTCAAGCGATTCTCCTGCCTCAGCCTCCCCGGTAGCTGGGATTACAAGCGCACGCCACCACACCTGGCTAATTTTTGTATTTTTAGTAGAGACAGGGTTTCACCAATTTGGCCAGGCTGGTCTTGAACTCCTAACCTCAGGTGATCTACCTGCCTTGGCCTCCCAAAGTGCTGGGATTACAGGCGTGAGCCACCGCGCCCAGTCTAGGATGTCGTTTTTCTGATACAACAAAGGATAAGGTTTTAGAATAATAGTATGTTACAATATCTTTAAAAACAGCAGGTGCAGTGGCTCACACCTGTAAGCCCAGCATTTTGGGGGTTCAAGGCAGGAAGATCAGTTGAGGCCAGGAGTTCAAGACCAGCCTGGACTGCATAGCAAGATCCTATTTGTACAAAAAAATGTAAAACTTAAAATTGCACAAAATTTGTCACCTGTACCAGCTTTTAGAACTGTTTATCTTATCCTCCTCAGTGATACATCATGAAGTTGTGTGCTTTGCCTAAAATGCCCAGTTACCTGAAATTGTATAAATTCTTGCCAAAAGTGTTTGAACTTAATACAAACTTCCCATCTCTTACCTCTTAGCACTGTGCTCATCTTGAGGGGACATAGTCCCAATTTTGTATTTTATATAATACTGTTAATGAATATGTGTAGACTTCATATGGTTGTGGGTAAGAGAATACTGCATTCAGATAGAAAAGATGCTATATAGCTAAGTTGATCCAGGATCCTTGGGCTACCTGCTAGGCAGCTTGTGGTGAACAATCATAATCTCTAAAAAATACCTTGTCTGGACCGGGCGCGGTGGCTCACACCTGTAATCCCAGCACTTTGGCAGGCTGAGGCGGGCAGATCATTGAGGTCAGGAGTTTGAGACCAGCCTGGCCAACGTGGTGAAACCCTGTCTCTACTAAAAATACAAAAATTAGCCAGGCATGGTGGCACATGGCTGTAATCCCAGCTACTGGGGAGGCTGAAGCAGGAAAATCGCTTGAACTGAGAGTCAAGGCGGAGGTCGCGGTAAGCCGAGATCACACCATTGCACTGCAGCCTGGGTGAAGAAACAAGCCTCCCTCTCAAAAAATAAATAAATAAATAAATAATACCTCCTCTGGGATAAGTAGTGCTCCGTCTGTCTCATGGGCACATATTAGTGTCGTAATGCCAAATACTAAGGTTATTGTAAGCATAAACATTGAAGATAATTGCTAGAGAAAAATAGACTGAAAAAGATGTAAGAAAAATACACGTAGATGAGAGTAACCTGTCTGGTGGAATCATGACATTCTAAGCAGTGAAGGAATCACCAATGAGAAAATCTACAAAGGCTCAAGATCAAGTCTCTTTAGGTGAATAAGGCAATCTAGAAAGACCTTGGAATAATAATACCATTTCCTGAGGACCTTCTAAATAAGTGCCATTAAAGCTTTAAATACATTAAGACTATTCTTCACAAAATCTCTGCTAATAGTAGGTATTAATTGAGACTCAAGAAATATCAAATAACTTATTTATGGCTACACAGCTAGATACTAATGGCAGGAGTGTTTAATTAGAAGTACTTTTACTATCCCAGGTTGCCTCAAATGAAAACATTTTGGACAGCAATGTAAGGTGAATAGCTGAGCATGATGGCACAAGCTATAGCCCCAGCTACTTGGGAGGCTGAGGCACAAGGATTGCTTGAGCAAATGAGTTGAGTCCAGCATGGACAACTGTATTCCTGCAGCCTGCTTGTATTCCTCTCCTCAAAGTGCTTTTTCCTTCTCTGCCACATGACTAGTCTGTGAATTTTCCAAACTTCTACGCTCTGCTTCCCTTTTAAATATGTTCCAACTTTAAGTTATTTCTTTGCTTCCATATCTGATTGTAGGCTGCTAGCATCAGCCAGGCCACATCTTGAATGCTTTGCTGCTTAGAAATTTCTTCTGCCAGATACCCTGATACCCTAAGTCATCACTCTTAAGTTCAAACTTCCACAGATTCCTAGGGCCTGGACACAATGCACCCAAGCTATTTGCTAAAGCATGACATAGATGTACCTTTATTCCTGTTCCCAATAACTTCCTCATTTCCATCTGAGACCTCATCACTCTGGACTTCACCATATGTCTATCAGCATTTTGGTCACAACCACTTAACTAGTCTCTAAGTTCCAAACTTTCCCTCATCTTTCTGTCTTCTGAGCCCTCCAGATTCTTCCAACCTCTGCCTGTTACCCAGTTCCAAAGCTGTTTCTACATTTTCCAATATGTATAGCAGTGCCCCACTGTCAGTACTAATCTGTTTTAATCTGTTTGCATTACTGTAAAGGAATATCTGAGATTGGGTAATTCTTGCAAAAGAGAGATTTAATTGGCTTACAGTTTCTGCAGGCTGTACACAAAGCATGGCACCAGCAGCTGCTTCTGATGAGGGCCTCAGGAAGCTTACAATCATGGTAGAAGGCAAAATGGGAGCGAGCATATCACATGGTGAGAGAGGGAGCAAGAGAGAGGAGGAGGTCCCAGACTCTAAACAACCAAATTTCACATGAACTAAGATCTCACTCATCACCAAGGTGATGGTGCCAAGCCATTCATGAAGGATTTGCCCCATGATTCTATACCTCCCACGAGGCCCTACCTCCAGCATTGGGGGTTACATTTCAACATGAGATTTGGAAGTGACAGCCATCCAAACCATATCAGCAACATAACAAGACCCCCAACTCTTAAAAAAAAAAGTTGAATATATATCCAAAAATATCTTGAATTCCATATGGAAAGCCTCCCCCCTCAAATTTGTAGTAAATTGTATTATAATGAATACATTAATTAAAAATATACTTGGCCTGGCACAGTAGCTCAAGCCTGTAATCCCAGCACTTTGGGAGGCCGAGGCAGGCGGATCACCTGAGGTCAGGAGTTTTCGAGACCAGCCTGTCCGACATGGTGAAACTCTGTCTCTACTAAAAATACAAAATTAGCCAGCCATGGTGGCATATGCCTGTAATCCCAGCTACTCACTCAGGAGGCTGAGGCAGGAGAATCACTTAAACCCAGGAGACGGAGGTTGCAGTGAGTCAAGATTGCACCGTTGCACTCCAGCCTGGGTGACAGAGTGAGACTCTGTCTGAAAAAAAGTAAAAATTAAAAAATATATTTGACAATACCCAGTACCAATTTATTGTTTGTTGTTGACATTAACATTTTCTTTAAGAGTATTTCTTCATCTGTAAAATGAGGATAAAAATTGTAAAATTGTACCTACTTCCAGCCTCATAGAATTGTTTTGATGATTACATCAGAAAGCTTGTAAAAACCTTAGGCCTGTTTCCTGACATATACTAAATGCCCCATGTGCTAACTGAGGATGATCATTGTAGGAAAATTTCATAGACTATGAGGGAAAGCCATGCCTAAAATAATCTCCAGCTTATTAAGAAGTGCATTCCTTTTTGTTTCTTTGTTTTATCTTAGATTGAGTCTCACTGTATTGCCAGTCTGGAGTGCAGTGGCGCAATCTCAGCTCACTGCAACCTCCACCTCCTGGGTTCAAGCGATCCTCCTGCCTCAGCCTCCTGAGTAGCTGGGACTACAGGAGCACACCACCACGCCCAGCTAATTTTTGTGTTTTTAGTAGAGGCGGGGTTTCACCATGTTGGGCAGGATGGTCTCAAACTCCTGACCTCAGGTGATCCACCCGCCTCAACCTCCCAGAGTGCTGGGATTACAGGCGTGAGCTATCCGTGCCCAGTCAATTTTTGTATTTTTAGTAGAGATGAGGTTTCACCATATTGGTCAGGCTGGTCTTGAACCCCTGACCTCAGGTGATTCACCCGCCTCAGCCTCCCAAAGTGCTGGGATTCCAGATGTGAGCCAGCGCACCCAGCCTGGCCATCTTTTATAAAAAGATGAAGATGTCAGAATTCCCTAATAAGATTCTGGCTCTGTTACCCAGACTGGAGTGCAATGCATGGCATGATCTCAGCACACTGCAACCTCCATCTCCTGGGCTCAAGCCATCCTCCCACTTCAGTCTCCCAAGTGGCTGGGACTACAGGCACACGCCACCACACCTGGCTAATTTTTGTATTTTTTGTAGAGACGAGGTTTCGCCATGTTACCCAGGCTGGTCTTAAACTCCTGAGTTCAAGTGATCCACCTGCCTCAGCCTCCCAAAGTGCTGGGATTACAGGCATGAGCCACTGTACCCGGCCCCTAATAAGTTTTAAATAACCAATATTTTAAAATATTTTAATAGTTACATAGCACTTTAGTTTGCTGATTTAATTTATCCCAAGGGACAAGGATGTTAATGAGAAAACTGACTAGATTTCAGATCACAGATTTTAAGAGAACAAGGATCTCAAAACCAAATACCCTCTGCTTAAAGTGTTTTTTGTGTTTTTCACTACTGAAAATGTTTAGAGATTGACTTACCTATTGCTGATACTCAAAACATCTGATATCTTAATATTTTTAAATAACTCACTAAAAGCATATGTTGAAAATGGCAATGTATAGTCTGAGACTGGTGATTAGACTGGACTAAAAGCATATGTTGGAAATGGCAAATATATGATCTGAGACTGGTGATTAATTTACAGTATTGGCACCTAAAGAGATACTGAGATGAATAACTTATTAATTTCCTTCTTAAAATCATAATTTTGGATCTGTAAAGGACTATACAAAAAAAAATTTTAGTATTATACCTGCATTTTATAATTGTGGAAATGGAGGCCAGAAAGAATAAGAGGCAAGTTAGGGGCAGATCTTGGGTTTGGATCAGCTCTTCTGATGCCTGGTTCTGTGACATTACAAAGCCTGAAATTCAGCTCCAACATCTATTAAACATTTGCAGAGTATCAGCTGGGTGCGGTGGCTCTCATAAGGCCAGGAGTTCAAGACCAGCCTGGCCAAGATAGTGAAACCCCATCTCTACTAAAAATACAAAAATTAGCCGGGCATGGTGGCAAGACACCTGTAATCCCAGCTACTCTGGAGGCTGAGTCAGAGAATTGCTTAAACCTGGGAGGCGGAGGTTGCAGTGATCCCAGATCGCGCCACTGCGCTCTAGCATGGGCGACAAAGCGAGACCCCATCTCAAAAAGAAAAACAAAATTTTTTTGCAGAGTATCTACTGTGTGTCAAGTACATTACCCAAGACTACAAAGAGAAATACAATTTAGCTAATGTCCTCAAGAAGCTAACAGTATACTAAAAGAGATATGTAGGCATCAATTATAGTAATGACATAACATATTCTAATAGAGGTAAGTACATAACACAGTGGGCATGTCTAGTTGTCTTTGTTTCTGCTGTTAAAACAGAATATCACAGACTGGGTGATGGGTTGATTGATTGACTGATTGAGGCAACTCTGTCACCCAGGCTGGGGTTCAGTGGCATGATCACAGTTCACTGCAGCCTCAACCTCCCTGGATCAAGCAATCCTCCTGCCTCAGCCTCCTGAACAGCTGGAACTACAGGTGTGAGCCACCATGCCCCACTAATTTTTATTTATTTATTTTTTTTTTCTGAGACGGAGTCTCAGTTTGTCGCCCAGGCTGAAGTGCAGTGGCACAATCTCAGCTCACTGCAACCTCCACCTCCCGGGTTCAGTTTTCCTGCCTCAATCTACTAGGATCTAGCTAGGATTACAGGTGTGCGCCACCATGCCCAGCTAATTTTTGTATTTTTAGTAGAGACGGGGTTTCACCATGTTGGTCAGGCTGGTCTCAAACTCCTGACCTCATGATCTGCCCACCTCGGCCTCCCAAAGTGCTGGGATTACAGGCGTAAGCCACCGCGCCCAGCTAATTTTTAAAAATATTTTATAGAGACAGGTCTCACTATGTTGCCCAGGCTCGTCTTGAACCCCTGGGCCCAGGCGCTCCTCCCACCTTGACCTCCCAAAGTTCTGGAATTACACATGTGAGCCAACACACCAGGCCCAGACTGGGTAATTTATAAAGAAATTTACTTCTGCCCACACCGCCCCGCCTCCCCGCGCGAGTGGCTGAGGCGTAGCGCTGCCATCCCCGCACCCCTGGGAACATGGCGCTGCGAGTGGTGCGGAGCGTGCGGGCCGTGCTCTGCAGCCTGCACGTGGTCCTGGCACCTGCCGCGCCCTGCCTATCGAGGCCCTGGCAGCTTGGGATGGGCGCCGTCTGGTTACTGTAATCTGCCTGAAGTTGGGACAAAATTGAACAAACAAGATGAGTTTGGTGCTTTGGAGAGTGTGAAAGCTGCTAGTGAACTCTATTCTCCTTTATCAGGAGAAGTAACCGAAATTAATGAAGCTCTTGCAGAAAATCCAGGACTTGTAAACAAATCTCGTTATGAAGATGGTTGGCTGATCAAGATGACACTGAGTAACCCTTCATAACTAGATGAACTTATGAGTGAAGAAGCATATGAGAAATACATAAAATCTATTGAGGAGTGAAAATGGAACCACTAAATAAGCTAGTATGAAATAACGCAACCCAGCAGAGTTGTCCTAAATTAGTGGTGGATAGAAGACTTAGAATAGCAACTTTTAGCATTACCCATGGGAAAAAAAAACTACTGTTAACACTGCTAATGAAAGAAGATGCCTTTTAACTTTCTAATGATTGTAGATAAACATAATATGTGTCTTTTTCACAACATCCTATGATTTTTAGACTAGGCTCTAGTATTCATGAAATTATCCATGAAATTATCCATGGTAAAAATTAGTTACAAAAATTACATAATTCAAAGATAATGTTGTTATTCTTAAGCCTTATATAATATTGTAACTTGTGTATGTCCATACCTGGACTTGGGATGAAATACTTAATGATCTTTCCATTGGAAATAACTGGGAGTGAAGAAGTTTTTGTTGCTTGTACAGTGTCAGATGAAGAACAACACTATCTTAATTTTGCAATACACTGCATTTGCTGGTGCTGTTTTTATATAGTGAAGCAACAGCTGTACAGCAAAATAATAAAATACTCACTTCTTCGTTAAAAAAAAAAAAAATTTACTTCTTACAATTCTGGAGGCCAGGAAGACCATGATCAGGTGCCAGCATCTGGGAAGGGCCTTCTTGCTGTCCTCCCATGGCAGAAGATGGAAGGGCAAGGGAGAGCTAACATGCTCCCGCAAACCCTTTTTATAATGGCATCAATCAAATATGAGGCCAGAGTCCTTGTGACCTAATCATCTCCCAGAAGGCTCCGCCTCCCAACCCTGTTGCATTGGGATTAAGTTTCCAACACATGAATTGTGGAGACAACACATTCAAAACATAGCATTCCACACCTTGGGCTCCCCAGATTCATGTCCTCACATGCAAAATAAATTCATTCCATCCCAATAGCCCCTAAAAAGTCTTAACTTGTTCCAGCATCAACTTTAAAGTCAAAGTCCAAAGTCTCATCTAAATCAGATATGAGTGAGACTCAAGGCATGATTCATCATGAGACAAAGGATGTACATTTGCAATGTTTGTCATGTCAGACAAAACAAAAATATGTAAATATCCATCAATAGGGAACTGCTGAAAAATTTTTTTGTATAATCATAAAATGAAACATGCAGATGTTTAAACCAATGAGCTAGATCTCAACGTGCTGATATGGAAAGTGCTTCAGAATGTATTAAGGACATAAATTAAGTGTACAATAATGTGTGTGTGTGTATATATGTATATGCTTACGTGTGTATGGAAAGTATCTCAGCAGATACAATAAAAACTTAATTGTGATTACCCCTGGATCAATTAACATGTGGTATAGTATAAGGAAATGAATTTTATACCTTGATCAAACATTTGAAAAATTTTACAATATACTGCTTTATAATTTTTAGAAACAACATATTGTGGCCAAGTGCGGTAGCTCACGCCTGTAATCCCAAAGGCCAAGGCGGGCAGATCACCTGAGGTCAAGAGTTTGGGACCAGCCTGACCAACATGGAGAAACCCCATCTCTACTAAAAATACAAAATTAGCCAGATGTGGTGGTGCATGCCTGTAATCCCAGCTACTTAGGAGACTGAGGCAGGAGAAACGCTTGAACCTGGGAGGTGGAGGTTGCGGTGAGCTGAGATCACACCATTGCACTCCAGCCTGGGCAACAAGAGCGAAATTCCATCTCAAAAAAAAAATTGTTTAAATGAAGAATCTGTAGGAAAACAAAATGTTGATAAAAAGTAGTCCAGGCACGGTGGCTCACGCCTGTAATCCCAGCACTTTGGGAGGCCGAGGCAGGTGGGTCACCTGAGGTCAGGAGTTTGAGACCAGCCATAGCCAACATGGTGAAACTCTGTCTCTACTAAAAATACAAAAAATTAGCCGGGCATGGTGGCATGCGCCTGTAGTCCCAACTACTCAGGAGGCTGAGGCAGGAGAATTGCTTGAACCCAGGAGATGGAGGTTGCAGTGAGCCGAGATCACACCACTGCACTCCAGCCTGGATGACAGAGTGAGACTCTCTCAAAAAACAAAACAAAACAAAACAAAAAAATACAAAAATTAGCTGAGCATGGTGGCACACGCCTGTAATTCTAGCTACTCAGGAGGCTGAGACAGCAGAATCACTTGAACCCAGGAGGCGGAGGTTGCAGTGAGCCAAGATCGCACCACTGCACTCTCGCCTAGATGACAGAGTGAGACTCTATCTCAAAAAAAAAAAAAGTAAAAATATAAGTATACAAAATCTTATGCATGGTATGTGTGGTAGGAAGACTCTAAAATGGCCTCAATGATCCCTGCCTCCTGGGATGACCTTGGGTAATCCGCTACCCTTGAGTGTGGGCTGAACTTACTTCTAATGAATAAGGATGTCGCTACTGAGATTAGGTTTTAAAACCTAATTCTACTGAGATTAGGTTTTAAAACCTAATTCTACTGAGATTAGGTTTTAAAACCTAATTCTTCTTGGGTTTCGTTTTTGGGTTCTCTATGGTTCTCCCACGCTTGATCACCACCTTCCATGTTCTGAGGTCCCATAGGCAGCTTCCTCCTTGGTCTTGAGGAATACTCTCATGCTCAGAGGGGCATCCTGTGGTAAGGAAGGGGCCTACCAGCAACCACGTGAGTGAGCTGAATCCTTTGGCCTCAATAGAGTTGAGATGACTGCTGCCCCAGCTGACAGCTTAACTGCAACCTGAAATATCTTCAGTCAGAAGCACCCAACCTCATGCTTCTGGATTTCTAGCACACAGCAACTGTGAGATAATAAATGCATGTTTTTAGTCACTAAGTTTTGGATTATTTTGTTATGCAATAATAGATGACTAATATATCCTGATTATAACTTTGCAAAAGCATATGCCAGGATGACCCCCATCCAATGACTGATACCTGTGGAGGTATAAAGGTCTAGCCATCTCAGCCCAATGAGGGACAATTCTGAAGGACCACTTTAGCTCCTGACCTCTCTGTGGGGTTGGCTGAGGCTGCCATTGAATCTGCATTGCAGCTCAACTTTTCCTTTTGCCCGCTCTTGCTTTTGTCCCCTCCCTTACACAGGTGTTGACTCCCAGGGAACGCCTTAATAAATATTCTGCATGCTAAACTGCTCTGAGTCTGCTTCCTAGGGAATCCAATCTGTGACAGCCGTCCTTAATATCTGTGTACCCCAGGTCGGTGTGCCAGAAAGAAGCGGTGAGGGAATGCAAGCGGAGAATGAGCACTTAACATTTTATTGATATGACTTGGAAATTGCATCTTCCATTCACATACCCTACACAGGACTTACAGCCACGTTCACCCGTAAGTGAGGAGGCTGGGAAATGCAGTATCTAGCTGGGCAGCTATCTCCCCAACTAAAACACACAGATTCTGAGAGGTGTTCCACTTACCTATTGCTGCACAACAAACTACCCCAAAACTTACTGATGTAAAACAACCATTTTGTTAGGTTCCTGAGAGTCCATGGGTCCAGAATACAGAAAGGGCACAGCAGTTAGGGGGGCAACTCTTCTCTGTTCTACAAGGCCAGGGCCTCAGCTGGATGACTGGAATATTTAGGGATGACTCAAACAACTAGGGACTGAAGAAGTTTGAACAGTTCTGGCTGGAGGATTCAGTTCCCACATGGCATCTTCACTCGTATGTTCAGCTCCTAGGCTGGAATGGTGGAATGACATGATCAGATGGGATTGCCTTCCAGAAAGGATCTTCCTGTGGCCTATTCAGCAAGTCAGCCTCTGGTTAGTTGGACTTCTTATAGGGTAGCTCAAGGCTCCAAGGGCAAGGTAATTCTTAGAGATCACAGAGGAAGCTGCGAGACTTTTTATGACTTAACCTCAGAAATTATATGACATCACTTCCATTGAATTTTATTGGTCAAGCCAGGCTCTGAACCCACCAGGATTCAAGTGGGGGAAACATACACCTCACCTCTTGATGAGAGGAGTATGAAAGAATTAAAACTGCCCTAACGAAAGAATAGATATTAGTTCTTGCTAGAGCCCTGTAGTATGTATCACAGTGGTAAAGAGGGACATAAAAAGAGAAAACAGGCTGGGCACCATGGCTCACGCCTGTAATCCCAGCATTTTGAGAGGCCAAGGTGGGAGGATTGCTTGAGCCCAGGAGTTGGAGACCAGTCTGGACAATGTAGTGAGACCTCATCTCTACAAAAAATTTTTAAAAAATTAGCCAGGCATGGTCGCATGTGCCTGTAGTCCCAGCTACTTGGGAGGCTGAGGCAGGAAGATAGTTTGAGCCTGGGAGTTCAAGGTTGTGGTGAGCCTTGATGATGCCACTACACTCCAGCCTGAGTGACACAGTGAGACTTTGCATCAAAAAAAAGAGAAAACAGACAATAATACATTAAAAATGAAACCTCTGTAATTTATCAATCTATAACTATTTTCTCATCACTTACCGCATACCAAACTCTACTGCACTTGTGTCCAGTATAAAGTTGGTGAGTCTTCTGTTGTATTTAGGATAGAGTTGAGGCCCTTCCCTTCGTTTCAAATTATTTAAGCTTTTATTTTATTATATCTTCCTGAGTGAGGTTCTTGCTCTGCCCAGGCTGGAGTGAAGTGGCAGGATCATGACTCACTGCAGGCTCAAACTCCTGTACTCAAGTGATCCTCCTGCCTCAGCCTCCCAAGTGGCTGGGACTACAGGCATGTACTATGATGGCCAGCTAATATTTTTGTTTGTTTATTTGTTGTTTGTTTTTTCTTTTCTTTTCTTTTTTTTTTTTTTTGAGATGGAGTCTCACTCTGTTGTCCAGGCTGGAGTGCAATGGTGTGATCTTGGTTCATTGCAACCTCCGCCTGCTGGGTTCAAGGGATTCTTCTGCCTCAGTCTCCCAAGTAGCTGGGATTACAGGTGTGCACCACAACACCCAGTTAATTTCTATAGTTTTAGTAGAGATGGGGTTTTGCCATGTTGGCCAGGCTGGTCTCAAACTCCTGACCTCAAGTGATCTGCCTGCCTCAGCTTCCCAAAGTGCTGGGATAACAGGCGTGAGCCACTGCCTCCAGCCTGTTTTGTATTTTTTGTAGAGACAGGGTTTCACCATGTTACCCAGACTGGTCTCCAACTCCTAGGCTCAAGTGATACACCTACCTCAGCCTCCCAAAGTGCTGGGATTACAGGTCTGAGCCACCATCCCTGGCCTTTTTAAGCTTTTAAATATAGTTCAAGAACCTTGGCACATAATTGTCCAGTCTCTGCTGCTATAGAGTAGTTAAGTACTAGGCCCAAATGAAGTAATATTCCTCAAATAACATATTTAGTATTATAGTTTCAGTAAAATGGTACTATAGTTTGAGTACAGGGGTGAAAGCCAAACTAGTTTTACAGTTTCTCCTGTTTCATTTCCGCTTTATGAGATTTACTGTATCCTTCAGCAACATAAGTAACCTCCCTGCCAGACTATGTACTGTACATTATTAATATAAATTATTTTCTGAATTAAAGAAAGTGTCAAGTCACAAGGCAAACTAAGACAGAAACTGAGCCTCTTGAGATCTTTAAACCCTTCCAAGACTTTGGGATTTTCTTCATGTTCCTGTGGGTAGGGGGACCTTGCCCCATTGTTGTAGAACAAAAGCATCTACTTTGCTGATGGGAAGTCCTGGGATAGTGTTGAAGTCTAAAAGAAACAAGAAAGCATGACTGAATTTCACTAATCTCAATTTTCCCTGCCAAGAAGAATAAAGGCCCTCCCAAGTTTGCCTGTTGGCTTCTTTTTTCTTTTCTTTTCTTTTCTTTTCTTTTTTAGACAGAGTCTCACTCTGTTGCCCAGGCTGGAGTGCGGTGGTGCAATCTCGGCTCACTGCAAGCTCCGCCTCCCGGGTTCATGCCATTCTCCTGCCTCAGCCTCCCCGGTAGCTGGGACTACAGGCGCCCGCCACCACACCTGGCTAATTGTTTTGTATTTTTAGTAGAGACGGGGTTTCACCGTGTTAGCCAGGATGGTCTCGATCTTCTGACCTCGTGATCTGCCTGCCTCGGCCTCCCAAAGTGCTGGGATTACAGGCGTGAGCCACCGCGCCCTGCCTGCCTGCCTGCCTGCTCGCTCTCTCTCTCTCTCTCTCTCTCCCCCCTCCCCTCCCCCACCCTTCCCTCTTTCTCTCTTTCTTTTTCTTTCTTTCTTTTCTTTCTATCTTCTTTCGAGTCTCACTCTGTTGCCCAGGCTGGAGTGCAGTGGCACGATCTCAGCTCACTGCAGCCTCAGCCTCCCAGGTTCAGGCAATTCTCCTGCCTTAACTTCCCGAGCAGCTGGGATTAAAGGCGTGGGCCACCACGCCTGGCTAATATTTGTATTCTTATTACTAATGAGACAGAGTTTCACCATGTTGGCCAAGCTGGCCTCAAACTCCTGACCTTAAGTGATCCGCCAGCCTCAGCCTCCCAAAGTGCTGGGATTATAGGCATGAGCCACTGTGCCCCACCTTTTCTTTTATCTTTAATTTTTTTTTTTTTTTTTGAGACAGGGTCTTGCTCTGTCACCCAGGCTGGAGTCCAGTGGCACGATCACAGCTCATTGCAACTTCAACCTTCCAAGT
The DNA here is from genome assembly GCF_000001405.40 of Homo sapiens. Taxonomy (NCBI): domain Eukaryota; kingdom Metazoa; phylum Chordata; class Mammalia; order Primates; family Hominidae; genus Homo; species Homo sapiens. Next base: position 206,109,546 of record NC_000002.12, on the reverse strand, counting down.
TCAAGTGACCTTCTTACCTCAGCCTTCCGAGTAGCTGGGACTACAGGTGTATGCCACCATGCTTGGCTATTGTATTTTTTTGTAGAGATAGGGTCCCATTATGTTGCCCAGACTGGTCTCAAACTCCTGGGCTCAAGTGATCTGCCTGCCACAGCCTCCCAAAGTGCTGAGATTACAGGCATGAGCCACCATGCCTGGCCTGTTTCTTTTTTCTTTTAAGACTGGGAGAAGGCCAGGCGCGGTGGCTCACGCCTGTAATCCCAGCACTTTGGGAGGCCAAGGCAGGTGGATCACGAGGTCAGGAGTTAGACACCAGCCTGACCAACATGGTGAAACCCTGTCTCTATTAAAAATACAAAACAATTAGCCGGGTGTGGTGGCGGGCACCTGTAGTCCCAGCTACTGGGGAGGCTGAGGCAGGAGAATAGTGTGAACCCAGGAGGCAGAGCTTGCAGTGAGCCGAGATTGCGTCACTGCACTCCAGGCTGGGTGACAGATCGAGACTGCCTCAAAAAAAAAAAAAAAAAGGCTGGGAGCAACCTAGCCTTGATCTGAGGTATATCGTTATGTGGATAAAGTTAAATAATAATAGAACATATGCCTTTCTGTAGCTCCTCCAGCTACAATTCCCATAAAGCATAAAGTGGAAATGTATTGTGTACTTAGCAGGAACTAAACAGCCACACCCTTTCATGGGATGGGGCTTATTTTGTATCTGCAAACCTGGGGGAAATGGAGTAAGGGAAGGTGTATGCGTGGGCAGCTGCATTCCCTTGGGAAAATGGGGTTATTCCTCCGTAACTCCTGTGTGTGTCCTCTGTGACCGTTACTCTCTCCTTGTTTATCCATCACTCTCCTAGCCAAGTGCATGTGTCAATCTTTTTTCAAACCTTTTAGTTCCATATGAGATGGGATGGGCTCCTTACTCCTTTTACTCCCCATATCTCTGATGGTTTTCCTCTAATGTGCTTACCTAATAATTTCCTCTCACATCATTCCCAGTCATACATGAAGTGCATCTTCTACAGGTTCATTGACATCGTGTGTATTATAGAAGTGATAAACAACTATTAAAAGTTTACTTTGTCTGCACATCCTTCATTTGGACTTGACTTATAAAATATATTGCCCTAGCCAGACGTGGTGGCTCATGCCTGCAATCCCAGCACTTTGGGAGGCTGAGGTGGGTGAATCACCTGACATTAGGAGTTTGAGACCAGCCTGGCCAACACGATGAAATCCCATCTCTACTAAAAATACAAACAAAACAAAACAAAATGCCGGTCATGGTGGCAGGTGCCTGTAATCCCAGCTACTTGAGAGGCTGAGGCAGGAGAATCACTTGAACCCAGGAGACAGAGGTTGCAGTGAGCCGAGGTCGCACCATTGCACTCCAGCCTGGGCAACAAGAGCGAGACTCTGTCTCAAAAAAAATAAATTAAAAAAAAAAAATATATATATATATATATATACACAGACACACATATATACATACACACACGTGTGTGTGTGTGTATGTGTGTGTATATATATATGTATATATATATATATCCCTTTGGTAAGACTGAAATAATTCTCATTTAAAAACAGGATATTAGGCCGGGCATGGTGGCTCACGTGTGTAACCCCAGCACTTTGGGAGGCTGAGGCAGGCGGATCACTTGAGGTCAGGGGTTCAAGACCACCCTGGCCAGCATGGCAAAAACCCTGTCTCTACTAAAAAAAAAAAAAAAATACAAAAATTAGCTGGGCGTCGTGGTGGGCACCTGTAATCCCAGCTACTCAGGAAGATGAGGCAGGAGAATTGCTTGAACCCAGGAGGTGGAAGCTACAGTGAGTTGAGATCATGCCACTGCATTCCAGCCTGGATGACAGAATGAGACTCTGTCTCAAAAAAAATAAAAAAATTAAAAAATTAAAATGGGGTATTAGGACAAATATCTTGTAAAGAATTGGTACCCCATATAAATCTGAGTGCCAGAAAAGATTTCAAATTATCTTTAATAATATATTTGGGTCTTGCCGGGCACCGTGGCTCACGCCTCTAATCCCAGCACTGTGGGAGGCTGAGGCAGGCAGACTGCTTGAGGTCAGGAGTTCGAGACCAGCCTAGCCAACATGGTGAAACCCCATCTCTACTAAAAAAATACAAAAATTAGCCGGGTGTGGTGGCACACGCCTGTAGTCCTAGCTACTCAGGAGGCTGAGGCAGAAGAATTGCTTGAACCCGGGAGGCGGAGGTTGCAGTGAGCCGAGATCGCACCACTGCATTCCAGCCTGGGCAACAGAGCAAGACTCCGTCACAAAAAACAAAACAAAACAAAATAAAATATATGTGGGTCTTGAGAATCCACATCTTATTCCACTTAATTTTTTGGTTGGAATTGATTCTTCCATTCATGTTTGTGGTTTAATTCAGTAAGTACATGTGTAACAATAGCAATTTTCAGAAAGAAAATGAAAAACACCCTAAAAAGGGGCAGAAACCTTTTATGCTTCTAATACAGTGACTGCAATTCTTCACAGCTTTACAATTCAGGTTACTAGGCAAGGACTGTGCCTACTTGAAATTGTACCCTGGGCAGTATTCAACATGCTCTTAAATGTGAACTTTCTGATGTTAACCCTAATTATTATGCCCCATCCTTACTGTTGAGTAAAGGAAGTCAACTGCTCACTCCTGGGGGTAATAGTTAATTTTTCCCAGGCATCAAGATACTGATTAGGGCACTAGGCAAGGAATTTTACTAAATAGATCCTCTTAGGCCGGGCGCGTGGTGGCTCACGCCTGTAATCCCAGCACTTTGGGAGGCCGAGGCGGGCGGATCACGAGGTCAGGAGATCGAGACCATCCTGGCTAACAAGGTGAGAGCCCGTCTCTACTAAAAAAAAATTTACAAAAAACTAGCCGGGCGTGGTGGCGGGCGCCTGTAGTCCCAGCTACTCGGGAGGCTGAGGCAGGAGAATGGCGTGAACCCAGGAGGCGGAGCTTGCAGTGAGCCGAGATCGCACTACTGCACTCCAGCCTGGGCGACAGAGCAAGACTCCGTCTCAAAAAAAAAAGATCCTCTTACCCAGGAAGAGATCATTCCTCTCTCCTTGTGAGCACTTTCCTCCCAGAGTGGGGTTGACGCACCCTCTGACTCAGCATGGTCACACACAATAAACATCTGAGAAATTATTGTTTTTGCTAGAGTCTCTGATGCAATCTAGCTTATTTAGTGACCAAAAAGATTCCAGATATCAACTTCCTATTGGGCCCATAGTTCTTTCCCTCAGCGTCTTTTTTTCCCCTGAACTCCCCGCTCCCACCAAACTAATACATCAAAGGTGTTGGTCACCATTTTCTCTCCCATCCAAGTGATAAGTTCACTGTCAATTAGAACTCCTTTACTAAGCAGGTTTGATTAATAATCAGCTATATTCTTTTTTTTATTTAGATGGAGTCTAGCTCTGTCACGCAGGGTGGAGTGCAGTGGTGAGATCTCGGCTCACTGCAAATTCCACCTCCCAGGTTCAAGCGATTCTCCTGTCTCAGCCTCTGGCGTACCTGGGATTACAGGCACCAGCCACCAAGCCCAGGTAATTTTTTTATTTTTAGTAGAGACGGGGTTTCACTGTGTTGGCCAGGCTGGTCTCAAACTCCTGACCTTGTGATCCGCCCGCCTCAGCCTCCCGAAGTGCTGGGATTACAGGTGTGAGCTACTGTGCTCGGTCCAGTTATATTCTTACATGCAATTATTGTATCATGCCTTAAACTTTTCTTCTTCTGGCAAAGCAACTATAATCATTAACTATTCCTATTTGTTCACCATCTTAGTACTGGTGATTCATGTAAGCTTGGTAGCCACTTGGATTCCCATAAGGTTTTTTGCTCTGTTATCAACTAGTAACCATTTCCATTTATCATACTGTGCAATTTATTGGTTCTTCAGGACACTATCTTCTATTTCTTTAAATTTGTTGATAGGAGACCCAAATTTATCAAAACCTCTTCCAAATGATTAGCAATTCAGTAGAAGTTAGTTATGTGGCCGGGCATGGTGGCTCATGCCTGTAATCTCAGCACTTTGGGAGGCCGAGGCAGCCGGATCGCCTGAGGTCAGGAGTCTGAGACCAGCCTGGTCAACATATTGAAACCCCATCTCTACTAAAAAGACAAAAATCAGCTGGGCATGGTGGCGGATGCCTGTAATCCCAGCTACTCTGGAGGCTGAGGCAGGCAAATCACTTGAACCTGAGAGGCGGAGGTTGCAGTGAGCCGAGATCATGCCACTATACTCTAGCCTGGATGACACAGTGAGATTCTGATTCAAAAAAGAAAGAAAGAAATTAGTCACGTGTAGTCATACATATGCTGACAAAACTTACTTTAAAATTATAAAAAACATAAACATATTTTGAATATATTTTAGACAGTGTATTTTACTGGACTAAATAATTCACATTTCTTACATTTTATTTTCTATTTTATTCTAAAATGTTTAATTATCTTGAATAATATTCATTCTTGTTAACTGTATCCATATTTAAAACACTTGTACAATTGTGGATGTAAATTGAAATAATTTCCTTTCCTACTTATCTGGCTTTTTAAAAAAACAATAGAGATAGGGTCTCACTATGTTGCCCAGGCTGGTCTTGAACTCCTGGGCTCAAGCAGTCCTCCCACCTAAGCCTCCCAAAGTGCTGGGATTATAGGCATGAGCCCCGGCACCTGGCTAGCCTTTTTTATTACAGACAGGGCCTCATTCTGTTGTCCATGCTGGAGTGCAGTGGGGCACTGCAGCCTCAACATTTTGGGCTCAAGTGATTCTCCCACCTCAGCCTCCCAAGCAGCTGGAACCACAGGTGCATACCTCCACACTTGGCTAATTTTTGTATCTTTTTTAGAGACAGGATCTTGCCATGTTGCCCAGGCTGGTCTTGAACTCAGCGCAAGCAGTCCTCCCACCTCAGCCTCTCAAAGTGCTAGGATTACAGATGTAAGCCATTGTGCCTGGATGGCTTTTTTTTTTTTTTTTAAGTAAGGTTGGGAAGCTCCATGAACTTCATCATGGAAATATTATAAACTCGAGTGTCCTGGATTAGAAAACATCACGTTTCTATGAATGAAATATTTAAGTATTCAAATATAGAAATAAAGCAAACATGAAAACCATTCTTTCTGATTAGGTGTGAATTGAATATACTTTTAAGAATCTAGGACTAGTCATGGTGGCTTACGCCTGTAATCCTAACACTTTGGGAGGCTAAGGTGGGAGGATCACTTGAGGCTAGGAGTTTGAGCCCAGCCTGGGCAACATAGTGAGACCCTGTCTCTACAAAAAATTTAAAAATTAGCCAAGTGTGTGGCTGGGCACGGTGGCTCACGCCTGTAATCCCAGCACTTTGGGAGGCCAAGGCGGGTGGATCACCTGAGGTCAGGTGTTTGAGACCAGCCTGGCCAACATGGTGACACCCTGTCTCTACTAAAAATACAAAAAATTAGCCGGGTGTGGTGGCAGGCACCTGTAATCCCAGCTACTTGGGAGGCTAAGGCAGGAGAATTGCTTGAATCTGGGAGGCGAAGGTTGCAGTGAGCTGAGGTCATGCCATTGCACTCCAGCCTGGGTGACAAGAGGGAAACTCCATCTTAAAAAAAACAAAAAAAGAATCATCACTAGGCAGCCAAAATTTATTTACCTAAGTATTTTCTTCAGGAATTTTCTAAGAACTGGAAAAATAATAACTAAATTGACAGCAGTCTGTCTCAATTATGGGAAAGTAATTGCTAATGGTAAAACAGGCACTAGAATATAGTTACCTTATTCTGAATAACTGTGCTGAAGCTGCATTCTCCCTGAGTCATGCCATCAAATTAAAGAGGTGATTTCAACAGCAGCAATGATGAACTTGAATCAGCAATGTCCTGGGTGCTAGTTATTGTATGTATGTTTAACAGGACTTTGATTTACTAAGTCTGTGTGGCACTTAGGCTCCTTCTGAAATTTCCATACCTGCATGTTTTACAAGCCATCGAAGTTATAGTTTTTCAGTGATATTTCAAAATTGGGGAAAATGATCAATCTATGAGCAGGATTTGGAGCAATCATTATATCCTACACTATTTACTGAGTGGCAACACTATGAGATACTGTACACACTGATGTGTGCGTTAAGGGAGGAAGTAATGGGATCAGTTCCCCAGATTTAAATTCTGGCTCTACCACTCCCCAGCTACGTCATCTCTATTACTAATACCTGCGAAATGGGGATGTTGATAATAATAACACCTACCTCATAGAGGTGTTTGAAAGACTAAATAATCTGTGTAAAGCTCTGCGCAGGAGTAAGTGCTTAATAAATGTTAATTGTTTTTATTGTATTACACTTAAAAAAATTCTTCTGGGCCAGGCATGGTGGCTCATGCTGGTAATCCCAGCACTTTCAGAGGCCGAGGCAGGCAGATCACCGGAGGTCAGGAGTTTGAGACCAGCCCGGCCAACGTGGTAAAACCCCGTCTCTACTAAAAATACAAAAATTAGCCAGGTATGGTGGCGCACACCTGTAGAGGCTAAGGGAAGAGAATCGCCTGAACCTGGGAGGCGGAGGTTGCAGTGAGCCGAGATCACACTACTGCACTTCAGCCTGGGAAACAAGAGCGAGACTCCATCTAAAAAAAAAAAATTCTTCTAAGAATTTCATCTTTTAAAAAGTATGAGGCCAGACATAGTGCCTTAAACCTGTAATGCCAGCACTTTGGGAGACCAAGGCGGGAGGATCACTTGAGCCCACTTTGAGACCAGCCTGGGCAACGCAGCAAGACCCTGTATCTAAACAAAAAAGAAAGAAAGAAAGCGAATACTGAGTATCCTGTGAATTAGTATGCAACCAATCTATAGTTCAGTACTAGAAATATAAAGCATTAAATGACTTTTTACACATAATATATTTTGTTTTTTACACATAATACTTTATATCAAAAATTTTATTTCCAGTCAGTCAACAGTAATAAGAATGAGAAAACCTTGGTTTTAGAAACTACCTCCCAGACAGAAAGTAAGTATATAGGCTGGGGTGGCTCACACTTGTAATCCCAGCACTTTGGGAAACCGAGGCCAGTGGATCACTTGAGGCCAAGAGTTTGAGACCAGCCTGGCCAACATGGTGAAACTATGTCTCCATAGTTTCACCCCATCTCTACTAAAAATACAACAATTAGCTGGGTGTGGTGCCACACGCCTGTGTCCAACTATTCTGGAGACTGAAGCAGGAGAATTGCTTGAACTCAGGAGGTGGAGGCTGCAGTGAGCTGAGATCACGCCACTGCACTCCAGCCTGGCCAACAGAGCGAGACTGTCTCAAAAAGAAAAAAGAAAGTAAGTATATAAATATGAGATAGTACTTGAGTTATTACTTGAGGTTAAGCTACTAAAAGCAATATCCCCATATTTTGAATTATGACCTTATAGCACCAATACCTATTGCAGTACCTTGCACAGATATTCAATAAACATTTGTTCAATGAATAAATGAATGAAAAGTAAAAGCATACTTATAGCCAAGAATATGAAGAGAATGTTTACTTTTTTTTTCATTTAGGTCTGGCAATGTAATTTCCAACCAATGATCTGAATACAGGTCATATAAACTGAGCTCTCTGGACAGAAGAGTAATGCATCATGGCAAATTATAATCGTTGCTTTTATAACTGGTAAAAATCTGAGCTGACAGACAGATGGATTAACAACAGTTCTTCACTGTTGCTGGAGGACAAATGAAAGCCAATGTGCTACCAATGGAAGATTAATGACATTACTTTTTATGGAGCTAGATAAATGTGCAAATGTATTGCAAATTTAAAAAAAGTTACCCATGGCCAGGCGTGGTAGCTTACGCCTGCAATCCTATCACTTTGGGAGGCCAAGGTGGGCAGATCACCTGAGGTTGGAGTTCGAGACTAGCCTGGCCAACATGGTGAAACCCCATCTCTACTAAAAATACACACACACAAAATAGCCAGGCACGGTGGCTCATGCCTGTAATCCCAGCTACTCGGGAGGCTGAGGCAGGAGAATCGCTTGAACCTGGTTGGCGGTGGTTGCAGTGAGCTGAGATCGCATCACTGCACTCCAGCCTAGATGACATAGGAGGACTCTGTCTTGGAAAAAAAAAAAGCTACTCACTGGAATAAGAAGGAAGAGTAAAAAGAAACATGTTATTTAAGGACATTTTACCTTTGCCTGATTTATATGGACTGATTGTCTTATTAGTCTAAATATATTCATGTGGTAGGCAGAATAATGGCTCCCAAAAGTGCCCATGTTCTAATTCCCTAAACCTGTGAATATGTTACCTCATCTGGCAAGACGGATTTCTGTAGATGTGATTAAAGTAAGGATCTTAAAATGGGGAGATGATCCTGGAGTATCTGTGCGGACCCAATGTAATAAGAAGCATCTGTATGAGTGAGGCAGGAGGATCAGAGGTAGCAGATTAGAAGATTCTATGCTGTTGGCTTTAAAGATGGAAAAAGGGAACATGTGCCAAGGAATGCAGGTAGCTTCTAGAAGCTGGAAAAAACAAGGGAATGGATTCTCCCACAGCCCCCAGAAGGGATGCAGGCCTTTTGAGATCTTAATTTTAACCCACTATAACCCATTTCAGACTTCTATCATCCTGAATTGTAAGAAAAAAATTTGTTTTATTTTAAGCCTCTCGATGTGGTAACTTGATAGAACAGTAAGTGGAAACAAACTCATTAATCTGCATCTAACCTATGAAGATGCTAATTTGAGATAGTAAACGGGTGTTGTTGTAAGCTGCTAGGCTTGAGGTAATTTGTTACAGCAGCAATATAAAACTATACAACTGGTAGCCAGGCCCACTGGCTCGCACCTGTAATCCCAACACCTCGGGAAGCTGAGACGGCAGGATGGCTTGAGCCCAGGAGTTCAAACTCAGCATGTTCAACATAGTGCAACCTGTCTCTACAAGAAATAAAATATTAGCTAGGGTTGGTTATGCATGACTGTAGTCCCAGCTATTCAAGAGGCTGAGGTAGGAGGATCACTTAAACCCAGGAGGTGGAGGTTGCAGTGAGCTGTCATTGCCCCACTGCACTCCAGCCTGGGCAACAGCACAAGACGCAGTCTCAAAAAAAAAAAAAAAAAAAAAAAAGGAAAAAGAGAAGAGGAGAAAGAGGAGAGGAGAAAGAAAGAAAGAAAGAAAACAAAACTACATAAACTGTCTGTAATAACACATTTTGACATCATGTACTCCCTGATAGGACATCATGTCTGAGATTCTTGCCAAAAATATATTAACTCATCTAATCATGAGAAAACATAAGACAAGCCCAAACTCAGGGACAGTTATACCAAGTAACTGACTAGAACTCTTCAAAAATGTCAAGGTCATGAAAGACAAGGAAAGATTAACTCTCTGGAAGAGAAAAAGGACATTAGGTCAAATGTAGTGGCTCATGCCTGTAATCCTAGGACTTTGGGAGGCTGAGGCAAGAGGATCACTTGAATCAAGGAGTTCAAGAGCAGCCTGGGCAACACAGCAAGACTCCATCTCTACTAAAAAATAAAAAATAGCCAGGCATGGTGGTTCAAGTCAGCAGTCCCAATTACTTGAGAGGCTGAGGTAGGAGGATCACTTGTGTCTAGGAGTTCAAGGCTGCAGTGAGCTGTGATTGTGCCACTGCACTCCAGCTTGGCAACAGAGTGAGAACCTGTCTCAAAAAAAGAAAAGAAAAAAGAAAAAGAACATTAGTGGGAAACTGGTGAAATCTGAATATGTCTGTACTTAACAACAAGATGACAATAAGATACACTTGAATTATTTCTCTCTAGAATTGGGCTAGTCTATGTAATCTTAAGCAATTCACTTGCTAGTACTTGTTTTTTCCAATTGTTAAGATGAAAAGTGTCTGTAATGTGCTTTAAGATTCTTAGCTGAAATAGTAACAGTTATGTTGCTTACTGTTTTCATTTTAATAATTCTATTTTCCTTTAAGGGAGCTTAATTTTGGAAGAGTTAGTGTGCTTCAAGAGCCTTTTTTTTTTTTTTGACGGAGTCTTGCTCTGTCGCCCAGGCTGGAGTGCAGTGGGGTAATCTCGGCTCACTGCAACCTCCGCCTCCTGGATTCAAGAGTTTCTCCTGTCTCAGCCTCCCGAGTAGCTGGGATTACAGGCGCACACTACCACGCCCAGCTACTTTTTTGTATTTTAGTAGAGACGGGATTTCACCGTGTTGCCCAGGCTGGTCTTGAACTCCTGAGCTCAGGCAACCCAGCCACCTTGGCCTCCCAAAGTGCTAGGATTAAAGGCGTGAGCCACCGCGCCCGGCCTGCTTCAAAAGACTTAACATGCAGTCCGCGAGGTGGCTCACGCCTGTAATCCCAGCACTTTGGGAAGCCGAGGCGGGCGGATCACTTGAGGTCAGGAACAACCTGACCAACATGAAGAAACCCCGTCTCTACTAAAAATACAAAATTAGCCGGGCGTGGTGGCACGTGCCTGTAATCCTAGCTACTCCGGAGGCTGAGGCAGGAGAATCCCTTGAACACAGGAGGCGGAAGTTGCGGTGAGCCAAGATTGCGCCATTGCGCTCCAGCCTGGGCAACAAGAGTGAAACTCTGTCTTAGAAAAAAAAAAGACTTAACATGCCACAACATTATAATAATTTTGATGCAGTAGTATAGATTAATGAAAGTAAATATATGCTGGGCATGGTGGCACATGTCTATAATCCCAGCTAATTGGCAGGATTGCTTGAGCCCAGGAGCTCGAGACCAGCCTGGGCAACGTATTGAGACCCTGTCTCTACAAAAAGAAAAACAAAAAAATTAGCCATGCATAGTGGGGCACCTGTGGTCCCAGCTACTCACCGCTTAGGAGGCTGAAGTGGGAGGATCACTTGAGCCTGGGAGGTCGGGACTGCAGTGAGCCAAGATCTGCACTCCAGCCTGGACAACAGAGCACGACTCTGTCAAAAAAAAAAGAGTTCTTTTTTCTTTTTGAGACGGAGTCTCGCTCTGTCTCCCAGGCTGGAGTGCAGTGGCCCGATCTCGGCTCACTGCAGGCTCCGCTCCCCAGGTTCACGGCATTCTCCTGCCTCAGCCTCCCGAGTAGCTAGGACTACAGGCGCCTGCCACCTCGCGCGGCTAATTTTTTGTACTTTTAGTAGAGACAAGGTTTCACCGTGTTAGCCAGGATGGTCTCGATCTCCTGACCCCGTGATCCGTCCGCCTCGGCCTCCCAAAGTGCAGGGATTACAGACGGGCACTTGCACCCGGCCGATTCATTGAGTTCTGTACTGAAAGACAGAATAGTTGTATGGTTACCATGGTAAAGCTGAAAAATCCTAAGTCAAACCATGGTAAATCAGGGACCATCTGTACTAAGTCGTCCAGTTTTTTTTTTTTTTTTTCTTTTGAGACACAGTCTTGATCTGCCGCCCAGGCTAGAGTGCAATGGCACGATATTGGCTAACTGCCACCTCCGCCTCCTGGGTTCAAGCAAGTCTCCTGGTTCAGCCTCCGGAGTAGCTAGGAGATTACAGGTGCCTGCCACCACGCCCAGCTAATTTTTGTATTTTTAGTAGAGACGTGGTTTCACCATGTTGGCCAGGCTGGTGTCGAACTTCTGACCTCAGGTGATCCACCTGCCTCAGTCTCCCAAAAGTGTTGGGCTTACAGGCGTGAGCCACCGTGCCCGGCCCAATCTTCCTGCCTCAGTATCCAAGTGATGGGATTATAGGCATGAGCCTCTGCGTCCAGCCAACACTTCATTGTAAAATGACTTTGTGTTTAATGATTCTGCCCAGTTGTAGGCTATTGTAAGTGTTCCAAGCTCATTTAAGGTAGGCTAGGCTAAGCTATGATGTTTGGTGGATTAGGTACATTAAATGCATTTTTTATTTAAGAATATTCCCAATTCGCAATAGGTTTATCATGATGTGACCCCATAACACCTGTACATTGTGGAGGCTTTTTGTTATTGGTTTGGTGTTTGCTTTTTGCTTTTATTTCAGAATAAGGAGTTAGCATGTGTGACATAGTAAGAAATAGATATATATGTGTATATATATAGAGAGAGAGATATGTATATATATGTGTATCTATCTATCTATCTATTTGGACTTTGTCCCTGATTTTTGACACAGAGCTCTTAAAACTGCCATTTCTTGAGTGATAGGGATGATAGGAGCGTCGTTTGTTCTAATATTTGGTCTCTGTCCCCAGTTTCCGACACAGAGCTCCTTAATCTCTTGGAATTTCCTGGTTGATAGAAGCATCTTTTGTTCTACTGAGGTTTCTTGCTGGGGCCCTAGATAGCTTCAGGATGGGGCCTGGTCACCAGAAAGACTAGACCTTGATGAGAAGCCTGGAACTTTCAGCCCATCCCCTCAATATGTGGGGAAGTGTGAAGAGCTGAAGACTGAGTTAATAATTGGTCATCCTGATTTGACAAAACCTCCATAAAAACCCCTAATGACAGGTTCAGTGAGCTTCTGGGTTGGTGAACACATCAAATTGCTAGGAGGGTGGTGTGCCCAGAGAGGGCGCGGGGCTTCCAACACCCCTGCCAATATCTTGCTCTCTGCATCTCTTCTGTTTGGCTGTTCCCAAGTTATATCTTTTATAAAGAGCCAGTAAATATTAATATAAGAGTGCTCCTGAGTTCTGTGAGTCATTGTAGCAAATTATCAAGCTGAAGGGGAGAAAGTTGTGGGAACTCCCTGACTTTGTACCCAAGAAGTGTGTGTGGGTAACCTGGGGACCCAATACTTGCGAATGGCATTGGAATTGAGGACTCTTTAAAACCTGTGGAGTCTGCTGCTAATGCTGGGCCGTTAATGTTAGAATTGAATTGAATTGTAGGATACCCCGTTGGTGTCCGGAAAGTTGGAGAATTGGTTGGTGTGAGAAAAAATTCACACATTTGATGTCAGAATTTCTGAGGAAAAATAGCTCGGCATGTAAAACCATAAATACACAAAATCCTTTCAGACAGCTTAAAAGAATGCACATGTTCCAAGTTTTCTGAACTCAAGTCAAGATAAAGAGATAGAAGCAAAAATGAACTCAGTAATGTATTACTCTAATAGTTTGATTCAGAGAAAATAAAAACTCCCTTCTAACAGGAAAAAAAAAAGACAAATGGCCTGCATAGTGCAGTTACGTGAGCTTTCTAATAATGCAAACGGCAGTCTGTTATTTCCCTACAATTTTTTTTCTTAGCTTCATTTCAGAGAGGACACAAACCGTAGAAATTGAATGATAACTTATCATATCATTGATCATCATTGTATGAAGTGTTCAGTTTGCAGCTCATAAATTTAGGTAACATCATTTTTCCCCTCCTCCTCAATAGAGAGAGACATAATGGTTACTGTCTAGCTCAACGCTGGCTTAACGGCCTCCTCTGAGGTTAATGTTAACATCATTCTGGACAGGGCAACAGGAAGCATCTGTATATCTTACCACAAAATGAGATGATCCATTTTCCCCCCATTTGAAATATAAATTCTGTTGGTATTAAATTACTTAATTGCTCTTGCTTTATATATACATTTAAAATATTTAGATATATTGTAGTAATAGCCTTAGAGAAAATTAAAATGACTTATGATTATGTAAATATTCCTTTAGTTTTTCCCAGTTGGTCAATATAGGTTCTTATTTTTTTTCTCTCTATGATTTAAAGGAAACTTGGGTTATGAAGGCTATTCTTACAATCTTTTTTTGTTCTTATGTTCTAGAACCACTGATGGTGACAACAGAACTCAGGGAATGTTAGTCAATTAACAGCTGCCAAGTTACCCAGAGAAGCAGATGGTATATCTGATCATGTCCTACAAAATGTGAAAAGGGAATACTCAAAGATGTTTGCTCAAATATGCTAGAGTTTCCACACAAAAGGCTATAATGGCAACCATATATATTTTTACATCTTCTATGTTTGCTTTTTACTCCAGGTGATTCTCTTATATTCCATTTTTAAATTTTTTGACCTGTACGGCTAGTCATCTTAAAATAACCTAGGATATGCACACGTTTTAAGTATCTTTGGCAATAGAAATGCACAACAGAAATATGTCAATAGAAAAGAAAAAGAATACTTAATACCACTCCCAGGTTTTTAAACTAGAGTATGGCCAATTGGAATATAATGCTTGAGGGTGGCTGAAATAACTAGAATTACACAGATATTTTGCTAATCATCTTGGACTTTTGTAGTGAGATGGTTAGAAAGTCCATGCTCAATTCCTCAGAGTCCTTCTCATTTAACCATCTAAAAGCCATACCTTAATTATCAAATAGTAAAGAATCCAAAATCTCAAATATTCATTAATCCAACAAATATTTACGGTGTATATTTCATCCCAGGCAGTGTTCAAGAGGCCAAATGAACAAACTAGACAAAAACAAAACAAAAAAAGACAAAATCTCCAGGCTTCGTGGAGCTTATATTTTCAAAAGCTTATATTTATAAAAGCTTACATATCAAGAGGATCTATATAAAAATAAATAACCCTAAAACAATAATTCTTTTGTCTCTTGCCAGACTGAAGACACTCGCAGGCAGGAGCTGTTTCCCCAATATCCTTACCACCTGTGCCTAGCACACTGTAAGTGATTTATAGACACTTCTTGAATACGTATGTATGTATCTATTATTATTAAAAAAATTTTTTTCAACCTTTTCAGCTCAAGCGATCCTCCTGCCTCAGCCTCCCAAATAGCTGGGACTACAGGCTCATGCCACCACAAGTGGCATATACACACACACACACACACACACACGTAGACACACACACATATACACATACACATATACACACATACATATATACATATGTGTGTGTGTGTGTGTGTGTGTGTGTGTAGAGTCTCCTCTATTGCCCAGGCTGGAGTGCAGTAGTGTGATCTACGCCCACAGCAACCTCCGCCTCCCAGGTTCAAGCGATTCTCCTGCCCCAGCCTCTTGAGCAGCTGGGATCACAGGCGTGCGTCACTACACCTGGCTATTTTGTAGAGACGGGGTTTCACCATGTTGGCCAGGCTGGTCTCGAACTTCTGACCTCAGGTGATCTGCCTGCTTTGGCCTCCCAGCTGGCTAATTTTTAAAATTTTTTATAGAGACATGGTCTCACTATGTTGGCCAAGCTGGTCTCGAACTCCTGGCCTCAAGTGATCCTCCCACCTCGGCCTCCCAAAGTGCTGGGATTGCAAACATGAGCCACTGTGCCTGGCTTGTGGTGTATTCTCTATGTACTATTTCTGAACCCCCTTTTATATTTTAAGACCTTCATTGATTCTGAAGGGCACCAAAATCTCAGCTAAACTTAAAATTATCCGGGTATTTAAGAATATCTGGGGCTGGGCGCGGCAGCTCACACCTGTAATCCCAGCACTTTGGGAGGCTGAGGCAGGCGGATCATGAGGTCAGGAGATTGAGACCATCCTTACATGGTGAAACCCCATCTCCACTAAAAGTGCTGGAGCCTTGTGCTTTATCTACTATGCCATTTAATCCTCAGAATACCCCAGTGAGGCAGGTACTATTATTATCTCTAGTTTTACAAATGAGGAAACTGAGAGGGTAAGGAGTGCTATGGTCTGAATGTGTATCCCAAGGTTTATATGTTGGAAACTTAATCCCCAAAGCAAAGAGGTTGAGAGGTGAGACCTTTATGAGGTGATCAGGTCATAAAAGCTCTGCCCTACTGAATGGATTCATGCTGTTATCACAGAAGTAGGTTAGTTATTGTGGGAGTGGGTTCCTGATAAAAGGATAAGTTCTGCCACCTTCCTTTCCTTCCTCCCCGCTTTCCCCACTCATACATGTACTCTCTTGACCTTCTGCCTTCTGCCATGCGATAACACAACAAAAAGACCCTCTTCAGATGTCAGCGCCATGCTCTTGGACTTCCTGTCTCCAGAAGTGTAAGAAATAAATTTCTCTTCTTTATAAATTTCTCAGTCTATGGCATACTGTTATAGCAGCATAAAACAGACTAGACTAGGAGCTTGCCCAGGGTTACACAGTAGGAAAATGGTAGAGCCAAGTTTCCAAATCAGATGGCCTTGACTCCAGAGATGAAGCTATTAATCACTACAGCTCCTGTTGCACATGTAGAAAAAAACCCAAAAAACTAAGAAAAGCTAGAAAACAACTCAAGGTATTAAATTAACAATAAGGTCAGTATAGACTCAACTTGGCCTCAGAAGGCTTCAGGGACAAGACTGTGAGCAAGTCATCAAGCAGAGTGGGATTTAATTGGCAGAGCTGAAAACAGAGAGCATCAGAACAAGAATAGAGGCATGAGAACAAGAATGGCCATGACTTGCTGTGTGGTGCCAAAAGAGCATTAACTTAGTAGAACGATGAGATCTAGTAATTTTTAGTAGAATCTTACCTGTTTTTTCTTTAAGAATAGAAGAAAATGCAAATACCTATAATACTATCATATGGCACCCAGGTATGCATAAACAAACTTCAAATTAGCTGCGCGTGGTGGCAGGCGCCTGTAATCTCAGCAACTCAAGAGGCTGAGGCAGGAGAATCACTTGAACCCTGGAGGCGGAGGTTGCAGTGAGCTGAGATTGTGCCATTGCACTCCAGCCTGGGTGACAAGAGCAAGACTTTGTCTCAAAACAACAACAACAAACTTCAATGTATATGGAGTAAATAGTACAATTTTCAGTTATTGAGGTCTTTTTTTCCTTCCTGGTGTACTAGAACTGGCTTTACCATTTAATATCTTTGATAATCTTTCCCTTGACCTGAGTTTAAGTCAAGCTATTTAGGTTGTCTTCATAGTTACTCCTTTTTTGTTTGAGAGGATTTTCCCTGTATTTTCCCATTCTTATCATCGAACTCTGGCAGTCTATAACAACTACATGGAGAAGATGTTATAGCACAGGAAGTCCAAACTTATTAATGGGCTGTGTTCCCATGAACATCACTGTAAATTAGTTGTTTGGAACCTGGAATTTGTTTTCCCATGGAAATAGTGGTTAAATTCCCAGCAGGTCTACAAAAGCTTGCTTAGCCAGGAATGCAGCAGAAATGAACACTGTCACCTTTGTGTTAACCTCTGCCTATTATTCAGAGGTCTCAATGGATTTCTCGCCTTACTTCAATGTTTTAGCTAACCACCACTTTTGGGACAGTTTTTAAAATTATATGGAAAAGGCTGACTATCACTTCTGATTCCACCACCCAATCATTCATACTGCTTTGGGGTGTTTCTTTTTACTAATTATTACTGAAAACATGACTTCAGTTGGGGAGTTGTTTTCCTTTTTCCAAGGTTAGGAGTCAGTAAAATAGCCCAAGAATGCCTATGGTATACAGTGTCTAGAATGTCACATTTTCTGCCTTTAGTATGATGAGAAGGCAGCACAAAATTGACCATCTGGTTCCTGGAGGGTATCTTTTGGCCTTTGTGGGGATTTAAAAACAAAACCAGGCCAGGCGCGGTGACTCACACCTGTAATCCCAGCACTTTGTGAGGCCAAGGCAGGCGAATCACAAAGTCAGGAGTTTGAGACCAGCCTGACCAACACAGTGAAAACCCGTCTCTACTAAAAATACAACAAATTAGCTGGGTGTGGTGGCAGGCACCTGCAATCCCAGCTACTCGGGAGGCTGAGGCAGGAGAATCACTTGAACCTGGGAGGTGGAGGTTGCAGTGAGCTGAGATCGCACCACTGCACTCCAGCCTGGGTGACAGAGTGAGACTCCATCTCAAAAAAAAAAAAAAAAGGCAAAACAAAACCAAACACCCACTTCTTGGTTTCTGGTATGAAATCAGAGGTCTAACTGCCCCAGGCTAGATATTAGCATTAGGGAGATTACCTGATCAACGCTCATGTTTGACTACAGCTGAATATATAAATATATATAGTATTTTTTTATATATACACATATATATGTGTGTGTGTATATATATATGTGTATATATATACACACATATATGTGATATACATATATATGTGTGTGTGTGTATATATATATATATATATATATATATTTTTTTTTTTTTTTTTTTTTTTTTTTTGAGATGGAGTCTCACTCTGTCGCCCGGGCTAGAGTGCAGTGGCGTGATCTCGGCTCACTGCAACCTCCACGTCCCAGGTTCAAGCGATTCTCTTCCCTCAGCCTCCAGAGTAGCTGGGATTACAGGCCCCTGCCACTATGCCCAGCTAATTTTTTGTATTTTTAGTACAGACACGGTTTCACCATGTTGGCCAGGCTGGTCTCAAACTCCTGACCTCGTGATTCACCCGCCTCGGCCTTTAAAAGTGTTGGGATTACAGGTGTGAGCCACCATACCGGCCTTTTTTTTTTTTTGAGACAGGCTCTCACTCTGTTGCCCAGGCTGGAGTGCCGTAGTGCGATCACAGATCACTGTGACCTCCAACTCCTGGGCTCAAGTGATCCTCCCTCCTCAGCCTCCTAAAGTTTTGGGATTACAGGTGTGAGCCACCACGCCCAGCTTTGAATCTTTATTGAAGAAATTTCATAGTCAATCTAAAGCTATGATGTGTATGTCTGTCTGCCAAATACAGTGTTTATCTCAGAAACACTTTCTTGTAACCACAATAAAACCAAAATCTTTATTTTAGGTAGAAACATTACCAACAAATGTTTGCAAAACAGAAAGGCTTTAAAGTGAAAAAAATTTGAGTCTATGGCCATCATAATAGTGTGGCTTTGAAAACTTTCAGGCTATGTACATACCCTATTTCTACTCCCTCACCTCCTTGGGAGTTTTTAAATTTTATTTATTTTATTTTATTTTTTTGAGACAGAGTCTTGCACTCCAGTCTGTTGCCTAGGCTGGAGTGCAGTGGCGCGATCTCCGCTCGCTGCAACCTCCGCCCCCTGGGTTTAAGTGATTCTTCTGCCTCAGCCTCCCTAGTAGCTGAAAGGCTAATTTTTGTATTTTTAGTAGAGGTGGGGTTTCACCATGTTGGCCAGGCTGGTCTTGAACTCCTAACCTCAGGTGATCTGCCTGCCTTGGCCTCCCAAAGTATTGAGATTACAGGCATGAGCCACCGCGCCTGGCTGATATTTTCTTAATAATTTTAGCTGGGCATGGTGGTGCATGCCTGTAGTCCCAGCTACTCAGGAGGGTGCGGCAGGAAAATCGCTTGAACCCGGGATGCATAGGTTGCAGTGAGCTGCGATCACACCACTGCACTCCAGCCTGGCAACAGAGTGAGACTCTGTCTCAGAAAAAAAAAAGAAAGACAGAAAACTAAAATAATTAATACCAAAAGGTAGATCAATGAAAGAGTCTAATGATACTAAAATTATTAAGGTTGTTGGGGAAGGTGGTTCACGCCTGTAACCTCAGCACTTTTGGCAGGCAGAGAGAGGAGGATAGCCTGAGCTCAGGAGTTTCAGACTAGCTTGGGCAAAATAGCAAGACCCCATCTCTATGTAAAAAAAAATAATAATAAAAATAATTTTTAAAAAATATTGCCCGAGTGCAGTGGCTCACGCCTGTAATCCCAACACTTTGGGAGGCCAAGCTCAGGAGTTTGAGACCAGCCTGGCCAACTTGGGGAAACCCCGTCTCTACTAAAAATACAAACATTAGCCGGGTGTGGTGGTGGGCACCTGTAATCCCAGTTACTTGGAAGGCTGAGGCAGGAGAATAGCTTGAACTCAGGAGGCGGAGGTTGCAGTGAGCCGAGATCGCGCCACTGCACTCCAGCCTGGGCAGAGCAAGACTCTGTCTAAAAAAAAAAAAGAATTAAGGTAAGCATTTCCTACTTCAACTAACGGCCAAACAGCTATTTGTGAAATGAAGGTATAATAGAATAAGTTAGTGCTTTATACAATATACTGCTCATTTTCAGGATCAGGAACAAAGTCTCTGTTAATCATAACGCGTTTATTTTTGTTATTTATTCGCATTCCTCAAAACAACTGATAGATTAGGTGCTAGACTTCACGAAAGTGAAATAAGCCACTGGTTGCCACCCATGAATGAAGGGGGCTCCAATAGCTGGCTACTCAGTTTGTTTTTGGCAAAGAGCATAGAGCACGAACCTAGCACTTCAAGCATAGTGCACAGAATTGTGACAGGCACCTTGGACACTCTAAACCAGGAGAATTGAGAATCTTATTGGAAAGCTTTTGGGCCGAGAAGGTACATGATCCCTGACAGGAAAGACAATTATCCCATCTTTATTTTTTTTTAAAAAAGAAAAGAAAAATGTAATACTTTTTGGAGCTCTTACAGGAATTAAATAAGAAAACATAGAGAAAAGTATCCAATAAGGTCATAAAGATGCATTAAGTGCTCAATAATGTAGCCAAATTTGAGTAGTGGAAATTTTATTGGGAAAAAAATAGCTTCCTCAAATTATATCAGTAGTTTTAGCCCAGGTGTGGTGGCTCACACCTGTAATCTCAGCACTTTGGGAGGCAGACGCAGGCGGATCACCTGAGGTCAGGAGTTTAAGACCAGCCTGGCCAACCTGGTGACACTCTGTCTCAAAAAAAAAATTAAAAAAAAAAATTATATCAGTAGTTTTGTTAGCATTTGCAGATTCTATGAATCAGACATAGCAATTTTTTTGCGACAGCGTTTCACTCTTGTCGCCCAGGCTGGAGTGCAATGGTGCAATCTCAGCTCACTGCAACCTCCGCCTTCCAGTTGAAGTGATTCTCCCGCCTCAGCCTCCAGAGTAGCTGGGATTACAGGCATCTGCCACCACACCCAGCTAATTTTTGTATTTTTAGTAGAGACAGGGTTTCACCATGTTGGCCAGGCTGGTCTCAAACTCCTGACCTCAGTTGATCCACCCACCTCTGCCTCCCAAAGTGCTGGGATTACAGGCGTGAGCCACTGTGCCTGGCCTCAAGTCTTGAATATTTTGCTCAATTGATGGATAAATATCATAGACTATAGCTAAGCAGAAGTCAAACTTTATAAAGAGAAAAGCACTGAAATGCTAAGCTGATGCAGCATAGCCCTATCCACTGACAGACAAGTTCCTTTGGTCACAAGGGGCATTGCAAAAAAGGGTGCAGCCAGCTTAATGCAAACAAGCACATTTTATTTTAATTTTTGTTTTTGGAGAAAGGGTCTGGCTGTGTTGCCCAGGCTGGTCTCAAACTCCTGGGCTTAAGCAATACTCTCACCTAGGCCTTCCAAAGTGCTGGGATCACAGACATAAGCCATGGAATCTGATCACATTTTAATTTCTTGAAAAATTCAAAACATATCTATAAAGTCATGTCATATATAAAGAAAAATAAGTTGTTAGAAAACATGTTTTTCAATTTCGCCAGAGGTCTAGTTAAGGGATTTTCCTTGTGATAACTAATGTGTTTGATGTCTAAATGTTTAAAAAAAATATTGTAAATAGAACATAGCTTCACAATTGAGGTTTCCAAGATGATGAGAATCAGTTAATTTTACTTAACTTTTTCCACCAAACAAAGAGGAAGAAAACCACAGAAGAAAATCCAGAATAGGCCGGGCGCGGTGGCTCACACCTGTAATCCCAGCACTTTGGGAGGCCGAGGCGGGCGGATCACGAGGTCAGGAGATCCAGACCATCCTAGCTAACACAGTGAAACCCCGTCTCTACTAAAAATAGAAAAAATTAGCCGGGCGTGGTGGCGGGCGCCTGTAGTCCCAGCTACTCGGGAGGCTGAGGCAGGAGAATGGCGTGAACCCAGGAGGCGGAGCTTGCAGTGAGCTGAGATCGGGCCACTGCACTCCAGCCTGGGCGAAAGAGCAAGACTCCGTCTCAAAAAAAAAAAAAAAAAAAAAAAGAAAATCCAGAATATTTAGGTAAGTACTATATTCAAAGTTATATGATAAAGATAAGGTTCAGCTAGAAACTAATAAATATCCGATATATGCATTACATGAACTCACTTTTAAATCAGGACAATTTCTAAATTTGGAAGTTATTTCTAAATGTTGTGTAATAAATTTTACAAAGAAATTAAATATTCTACTGATTCAGGGCACTAATATAACAAATTCATTCCTGCCAGGTTAGTCAACATGTGTTAGAAAAATAACTTTTAATACAAGATTTAAATCATCATCCCCAGTAGAACATACAAAGATAGTCGGTTCTTTTTCTATTATTTTTCTCTTTCTTCACAAAAATAGAAAAATGTCTCTGCAATTTATCCTCCAATAAGCGTTCTATTGGAATCGATGTAAATGGGTACCCTTTGTCCCTCTCACCTCTGTGCTAACAGCATTGTTTAACTCTGATCCCATTTATCTAGTAAGCTTTGCTCATTTAAAAAAGTAAATTCATGACATCCACTGCAATATACAAAAAGTCTATCATACAGGCTGGCAGCACATTGGAAGTTCTGAACTAACATAACTAACAAAAATAGCCACATTTCTCAATTCTGTGACACAAAAAGCAGATAGCAACATGTGTAATGCACCAAAGATCTAGCTAGAGTTTAAAGAATCTAAATAAATAAAAAAATTAAATGCCCGGATATAATTCTTAATAAGCTATTTTACCTCAAGAAAAATCTAAGGCTGTCTTTAAAATCTCTTTCCAGTTTTACTGTATCCTTTCTGTATGGGCAGCATAACAGAATTTCCAGAAACAGGGGCCGTTTTTAAATCCCCAGTGATAGCTGCCTTTATCTGCACTGTGGAAAATGACACACTGTATCATGCCTTTCTGGACAGTCCATAGGTTTTATTTACATTGCTTTGAGAAACAGACGAAAGACATGTTTTTTTACAATTGTCTTACAGCAATCTGTTCTGAGAGTAACATGTAACACAAATTTTTATATGCAATATATGAAAACATAAATATTTATATATACAATAACATAACCAGACAAATAAATGAAGTTACTATTAAGTCTCTTTAAGTATAAATTTACAAACTGACCACCAGCCACAGAACTTAGCCCTGTAATGGAGAAAAATTATTACTGGCTTAAAAAAATATTAAAATATCACTGTCACTAACATGAAAAAAATTAAAAACAGAAAATAAAAAACAATAACCACCGGAAAACCTGTGTCTTGTAAAGATTTCTTTCCATCAGAAGATGCAGAAACATTTTTCCCCCTGGAGCAAATGAAAACGTTTCTCATGCACCCCCCGTTTCTTCCCTGCTTTCTCCCCCAGGCGCGGGTGTAGACGGCCGGTGTGGACTTTTTTCCAGAGATGAGAAGTAAAAATTTGTACTTTATCGGGAGCGGGTGCACTTTTCCCCCTGGCCCCCCTTTGCTCTGCCTCCAAGATGGTAGGAAAGTTGTCGTTTCGGAGGGCAGAGGAGCAGCTCTCTGGTGTTATGTCCTCGCAGTGCCTGTAGTGGTGCTGTAGGAGGCTGCTGCCTCTTCTTGTACAGCCCCGGCAGCCCTGCCTTCTTGGCTGGAGAGTATATTCAGGGATTTCCCCTTAATAATCACCGACCCTGGGAGCACTTTTTAGTTTCCAAAATAAAAATATGATCCTCACCCCTCTTGCTTGACAGGGAAAGGCTCTCGCCGGAGCCCAGGGGGGAGCAGTAGCAGCGGCAGCCGAGCTTCCTAGTCCATTGCCAGCGCCTCTCACTCTGATCTGTCAGCCCAGCCGAGGGAACAGGGGGGAAGGAGAAAAAAAAAAGCAGCTGAAAGGTAAGCAGAGGCGGCCCCAGGCCCGGCCCACATCCCCGGGCTCCCGTAGGGCGGCGGGCTGGGCCGCGCAGGCTGGGCGGGCGGCGAGCGCGCTTACGTGAGGCCGGGGATTCGCCGGCCCACGCCAGGCCCCGGGCGGAGAATGAAAGGGTGAGTGGGGCCGGCGCCCGGGTGGTGGAGGCCGGGGGCCTGAGGGCCTCCGGGGCGCCCGCGGGCGGCGACGGCGGGCGGGCAGGGGTCCAGCCGGAGCCGGAGTGGGGCGAGCGGAGCGGCCTGCGCGGGCCAGGTGGGGGTGTGCGGCGGGAGGGGGGGGCGCCGGTAGGCCTCGGGCCGGTAGGCCCCACGGCAGCCGCGCCCTGCCCCCGCACCCCGGGCCTCCGCGCGCCCCCTCGAGTCCCCCGGGGTCTCCGGGTGGGACGGCGGCGCTGCTGGGCCGAATCCCGCGCCGGCCCGGAGGCTTTCCCGCGGGGCGGCAGGCCCGGGCTGCCGGGACAGGGGCGTCAGGGCCTAGGAGTGGGGAGTGGGGAATGGGCGCCCGGCTCCCCTTCCCCCGGGTCTCTCGCAGACGGCCCCCAGATTCCGGTAAGAGTTGAATTTATTTATCCCCCTCCTCCGCGCTCCGGACGGCCAGGCCGGGGCGGGGCGGGGCGGGCGGCCTGGCGGGCGTGGGGTCGGGTGGAGGGGCGGTGAGGAGTCAGGTGCAGCCGCGGCCCAGAAAGTTTCCTTTTAGGCCCGAACTGGGGGCCGCTGTCTCTCCGGGGAGCCCTGGTCCTAGCGCCCGGGACCCCCCAGGGCGTGGGGGAGCGCACTCGGCTATTTTGAAACTCTTTGCCAGTTCCTGTCCATTGAAGAAGGTACTCCGCCCCTGCACCCCTCGCCCGCGCCCCACCCAACTCCCCGCGAGCCCATTCGGGGCTGCTAACTCCAGCCCCTTCCCCCTAGAGCCCCCCAGGTTGGGGAGAGGGCCTTCTCTTCCGGTTTGGAAAAGTTTGCAAGGGGCTTTTCTTAGCTTTATTAGTTAGTGACTGGGTTTTTGGGGTGGGAAGGAGGAGGTAAACTCAGGTGGTGTTTCTGCCGGACAATCTTTCCCTATTGCCTTTTTTAGCCCTTACCCCACCAACTGGGGGTGTTATTTTCAGCTTGAGTACCCACCCCCTTTCATCCCGATTCCTTTGGGTCCAAAATCCCCCTTCTGGACAGCTCCGGCGGAGAGGAAGATGTAGGGAGCAGCGAGGAGACTGTCAGTGAGAGGGGCAGGATCAGGCAGGGTTTCTGGAGCAGTCCCCAGATGTAGGAGTTTCCCCTCCTTTTTGGTCACTGTCCGGTAAAACCAACACCGGAACAGATCCCAAGGGGGAGACGTGGTTGTCAGATGGCTTGGAAGCCTCCGGGATTGGGAGGAGGGAGAGGAAGTGGGCAGGGCAGCTCCCGAAACAAGGTCTACAGTTTAAGGATCAGTAGTTCATTTATTCTGATAATCACTGTTTAGTTTTATGTGACATTCTTGTATTCGACCTAGAAATAGAGTAATGGAGATTTTAAGGAAACCTAAACTTGTTATTGCTACAACTCAGAAGGGTCTGTGGAAGAGCCCTCGGAACCTAGCAAAACTACTTTGGTTTTGGGGTGTGTGTGTGTGTGTGTGTGTGTGTGTGTGTGTATGTATAACATTTAAACGAAAAAAAAATATATGTGTATGTATATATTTTATATGCATATATAAACACATATATATTCATACACACACACGTATGTTTTCTGTTTAAATGGATTCAATTTTAGCTATATTTTGGTGCCCTGAGCTCTGAACGTTAAAAAAAAAAAAAGTGATAAACATAAATTTCCAAATCTCGATTTTCTGCTTTTCAGGGACAGGATGTTTCCCGTGGCTATGCTTACCTCCTTGTTGTTCTTGAGTGTTGACATTGAAATGTTAATAGACCCTGCCACCCCCCACTGCCAGTCCCCAGTGTGGGCGTGTTTGGAGAGGTTATTTTGCATCGTTTAATTGTTGGTTTTTTCCTTTTTTTTTTTTTTTTTGGTGAGCTTAGGGCAGAGTGTTGTGTTTATGTGCGGTGTCCTGCTTGGTAGCAGGCTGGAGTTGCTGGCAGGAGATGTCCCACATTCTGCCCACTCAGTACCCCCAGCACTGTTGTTAGTGAAAAGCTACCACTTGCAGGGCAATGGGTCACCCACGACTTTCAGTGCTGACTTCCGTGAGGCTTCGAAATGAGACTCATGTGATTCTTCTAGGTGTGTGCCTTTCTTTTCCTTTCGTCTGCCTAAGATCAAACTCTGTTTCTCCACAATGATAGATATCCGGTCATTTAGCATTGAGCTTAAGAAAATCTTGATATTTGAGATTGTATGGATCTGATACAAAAATGCAAATTACATTTAATGGTTGTTTTAAGTTTATTGATTAATTGAAATTGTTTATTGACATGGACATTTTTTTAAACATGTGTACCAAAAATCGTTACTTCTATTATAGTTTGTCCTTATTTTTAGAGCATATACTGGATGGAAAAAAATCATTCTTAGTCATTTTTCTTGGAACATTTTAAGGTTTGAAAAAAATTGTTATTGCCTTATAATTTGATATTTTAAAGGTATATTGTTGACTTCACATTCCTAAGCTTTCCAAAACTATGTGTACAAATACCAAAAAAGTTTTGTACTTTTTCCCACCCTACCTCAAACATGTATTAATTTCCTAACCTGATCGCCTAATGGGCTACTTTATTTCCTGAAGGAATGACAGGTTTGATGTTTTTAAAAGTTACATTCCATTTGAAATTAATAAAAGATTTTCAGGGCAAATACTGAATTAACTTTAAACTACTAAGGGAATATGCTTTTTTATTATTAAGTGTTAGTTTAAAAAGTAAATGGTTAGTATAATTACAAGTCTGAAATAATCAAGTTTTCTTTCCTCTGGAAGATTTTTAGGAGGAAATTTGTATATCCCATTCCAACTTTTTCTCAGCAAATCATGTTGCTACTATTTTTAGAGAAATAAAAATTTTAGTTTAGAAGGAATTAAACATTTCTGAGAGCACCCAAAATTAATGACATTTCAAAAAAATGCTAAACTATTTATTCATACCTGAGATGTTCTCTGAGGGTTAGCAGCTCTCACTATCCAGGTTTGGTACAATGGTTATGGCTAATGAAAAGTCATTTATATTTGAATACAGTTAGAGCAATATTCTCAGACACTTTTCTTTCCCCCTCCCCCACACCTGGTAACTGGTAAAACAATGGTTGAATAGGTGAGACTGGGTTGGAGGCAGCAAATTGTCCCCAGTGCTAAGTCAGTTTAACTTACACATGCAGCTCTGTGCTAGGCAAAACAAACAGCAATAGAGTCTCCTCACTTCTTCAAGCAAGAGTTTGTCCCAGAAGTCCTGACTGTAAAGGCTGATTTTTGACAATGCTCCTGGCTAGTTTGAGATACTGAGGAAATACTCAATTTAAAACCTTAAGCCTCCCTCTTTTCCCTCCTTGCACGTAAGGTGACAGACTACTTGGTTCTCATCCTTTCACAGAATGTGATTTGTTTTTAAGATGAGTTTTTAGGCCGGGCGTGGTGGCTCACGCCTGTAATCCCAGCACTTTGGGAGGCTGAGGCGGGCGGATCACCTGAGGTCCGGAGTTCGAGACCAGCCTGACCAACATGGAGAAACCCCGTCGCTACTAAAAATACAAAATTAGCCAGGCGTGGTGGTGTATGCCTGTAATCCCAGCTACTCTGGAGGCTGAGGCAGGAGAATCACTTGAACCTGGGAGGCGGAGGTTGCAGTGAGCCAGGATTGCACCATTGCATTCCAGCCTGGGCAACCAGAGCAAAACTCTATCTCAAAAAAAATAAAAGATGAGTTTTTGGTGAAATTTTATTTGTAGCATGACTTCCTGCAGTGACACCTTTAGACTGGGCTTTGAGTTCTGATCCCAGTCCTTCCGCTGGGCAAGTTATTTAGTCTTTGGTTTCTTTAACTTAAAATGGGAATAAAATTCTTTGATATAAGGGTTAGATGAGATAGCCATGTGTTTGGCCCATAATAGTATTAATTAAATGTTAATTCCACTAGCCCACTTTACTTTTCTTTCTTTCTTTCTTTCTTTCTTTTTTTTTTTTTTTGAGACAGGGTCTCACTCTGTTGTCGAGCCTGGAGTACAGTGGCATGATTACAGCTCACTGCAGCCTCAACCTCCTGGGCTCCAGTGATCCTCCCACCTCAGGTGTGCCTGTAGTCAGCCAGGACTACAGGTGCTTGCCACCATGCCTGGCTAATTTTTGTATTTTTTGTAGAGACAGGGTTTCCCCATGTTGCCCAGGCTGGTCTCAAACTCCTGGATGCAAGGGATCCGCCTGCCTCAGTCTTTCCAAGTGCTGGGATTATAGGTGTGAGCCACCAGGCCTGGCCTCCACCTTACTTTTCTAGTAGTAACATCTAAATACTATTTCTCTTGTTTCCTTTTTTAAATAACTGAAAGTAATACTGTACTATACATACTATAGTAGGCTTATGCTATATTTGGAGAGTAGACCTGTTTTTCCCACTCAAAGGATAACCACTGTTTAACACTTTCGTGTGCTTTTTCTCTTTATGTGTATGCATACAGCAGAAACAAAGAGGAAAAACGTAAGGGTAGGATTGTCCATGTAATGGTAGTTGTGTCGTTTTGTATTGGTTAAAAGCTTGGGCTCTGGAGCAAATAGGCCTTGCATCCTGACTGTGTGACCTTGGATAATGACAATTACTTAATCTGATTAAGTCTCAGTTTTCTTCGTCTGTAAAAGGGGGTAATAATAGTACCTACTTCATAGGGTTGCTGTGAAGACTAAATGAGGAATTGAACATAAAGCCTTTAGAATGGTTCCTGAAGCATAACCTTTATATTTTCTTGGTGCATAACTTTTTCTGGTGCATAACTTTTCTATTTTTTTCTAAAGATTTTTAATATTCTTTTTTTTTTTTTTTTTTTTTTTTTGAGACTGAGTCTCACTCTGTCGCCCAGGCTGGAGTGCAGTGGCACGATCTCAGCTCACTGCAAGCTTCACCTCCCGGGTTCACGCCATTCTCCTGCCTCAGCCTCCCAAGTAGCTGGGACTACAGGCGCCCGCACACCCGGCTAATTTTTTCTATTTTTAGTAGAGACGGGGTTTCACCGTGTTAGCCAGGATGGTCTCGGTCTCCTGACCTCGTGATCCGCCCGCCTTGGCCTCCCAAAGTGCTGGGATAACAGGCGTGAGCCACCGCGCCCGGCCAGATTTTTAATATTCTTGATGTGAATTTTTAATGAGTTCTTGCCTCAGTATATATTAATAATACTAATAAGTATTTGAGTACAGAGAGAATATTATAATTACTTTAATGGGGCAAATAAATATATTTTTGCCAGTAAAAAATTGTGCAGTATATTCCATTTCAGCAGCTTCATGTTAGCATAGTCTCTGCTGTTTGAATTTGGAATTGGCCAATATAAAGGTATAGTAAGTACACCGAGGGCAAAGGAGCACAGGGTGGGTTTGCTTTACTCCTCGTTCCGCTCTTTCAGGTTTTGAAGTGTTTTTGTGAGTCCCCGTGGACGGTAGTGTTGCATGGTTTTGAAGGCACTGAGCAGTTTGTAGAATTGATAGGCTCACTTTAGAGTCCTGGGCATGTTTACCTGACTTGATTGGTAGGAGCAGCTGCTGGTTCATTCATTTAACAGATTAGCTTCTCTGTTGTAGCTCTGAGCTTTGCAATAGAGACACGTTCTCTGCCCTTGAGGAGTTTTTAGTCTATTGGAGAAGAAAAATAAGCTGACATTTACAATGCCAATGTGAATGTTAAGTAATAGCTTAGCCTGGAGGAATATTCTTCTATTCTGGCCTAAAGGGCAGGCTAGGTTTTAAAGTGAGGGCTTTGCAGGGGAAGTTTCTGTCCTAAGCGAATGGGAGGAGTTCGGCATTCCATAAGGTGTGACCTGTAAGTAGGAATCAAAGTTTAGGGACAAAAGAGTATCCTGTGTTGCAAATTGTGGTTCTGTTACCTCCCAGGAGTTGGAGGAGGAGGGGAATAAATAGTGAGAGGGAAAGGTCAGTCTGGCCAGGTCCTAAGGAGTTTCTGTGTTAGGGGAAGGAGTTTGGATTTCTTTTACGTGACAAGCAGACCCTGAAAGTCTTTGGCCACATAAATTACTTGAGATTTAGAGGATTTGAGTTATACAGAGTAGGAAAAAGGAGGACAAGACTGTAATTAGACCAGTGAGGCAGCTCCTGACAAGAGATTTGAAGAGGGTTTGAACTAAGGTGGTGGCAATGGCAATTGAGAGGAGGTAGCAGTGGCAGAGGCATGTTAAGGAGGTAAGGCGATCTCATAGGTGGACTGGATGTAAATGTGGGACTCATCCTCACAGACGGCTGCTGAAATGGTAGAAGTAGACAAATTTGGGCTAGTCAGTGGTTCTTAGTCTTGGACACTTCTCCAGAAAAATCCACATATGCAGTTGTATACATTTGGTTTGAAACCTGGGGTAGGCTTGGTACCATGGCTCACAACTGTAGTCCCAGCACTCTGGGAGGCCAAGGTGGGCGGATCACTTGAGCTCAGGAGTTTGAGACCAGCCTGGGCAAAGTGGTGAAACCCTGTCTCTACAAAAAATACAAAAATTAGCCAGGTGTGGTAGTGCATTTTTGTAGTCCCAGCTACTCAGGAGGCTGAGGTGAGAGGATCGCTTGAACTCAGGAGGTCAAGGTTGCAGTGAATCTTGATCACACCACTGCACTTCAGCCTGGGTGGCAAAGGGAGAACTTAACTCAGAAAAAAAAAAAGATAAAGCCTATAGAAATGTTTTGTTTGACCCACACTTTTTGTGATGGTTTCTGATTTTTCTTCAGTACCTTTTCATACATGAGGAAACAGATTTATAAAATAACTTAGGGTTACATGTCTTTTTCTTTTCTTTTTTGAGACAAAGTCTCACTCTGTTGCCCAGCCTAGAGTGCAGTGGTGCGATTGGCTCACTGCAATCTCTGCCTCCCAGGTTCAAGCAATTCTCTGCCCCAGCCTCCCGAGTAGCTGGGATTACAGGCGCCCACCACCACACCCAGTAATTTTTGTGTTTTTAGTAGAGACGGGGTTTCACCATCTTGGCCAGGCTAGTCTTGAACTCCTGATCTCGTGATCCACCTGCCTTGGCCTCCCAAAGTGCTGGGATTACAGGCGTGAGCCACCGCGCCTGGCTGTCTTTTTCTTTTTTTGTTGTTTTTGTTTAAATGGAGACAGGGTCTTACTATGTTGCCCCAGGCTGGGCTCAAACAAAGGGGCTCAAGTGATCCTTCTGCCTCAGCCTGCCATAGTGTTGGAATTACAGGTGTGAGTCACCACCCCCGGCCTTCATATGTTCAAAAGTTTAAAGGAGCTGCTGACATGAAAACAATTAAGGTATTTTGTGGGGAAATTTGGATTTTTATCTTCTTTTATTTATTTTTTTGAGATGGAGTCTCGCTGTGTTGCCAGGCTGGAGTGCAGTGGCACGATCTCAGCTCACTGCAATCTCCACCACCCCGGTTCAAGCGATTCTTCTGCCTCAGCCTCCTGAGTAGCTGGGACTACAGGCGCGTGCCACCACGCCGGCTAATTTTTGTATTTTTAGTAGAGACAGGGTTTCGCCATGTTGGCCAGGCTGGTCTTGAACTCCTGACCTCAGGTGATGCACCTGCCTCGGTCTCCCAAAGTGCTGGGATTACAGGCCTGAGCCACTGTGCTTGGCCCTATCTTCTTTTAATAACATGGAAGAGCTGGAAGTTCTGGGTCAACCTTTTTTTTTTTTTTTTTTTTTTTTTTTGTAAACATTGCAACAACTTGCTGGAAATGATTTGAGCAAAGTATGCCAAAGAATGCCCCTGGCCTACTCTTCCAGCCCATGTAGGCATTTCATCTTGCACCCCTGTAAAGTAAGATTAAACGAACCTTGGAGTATATTGGCATGGAAGCAAGGGGGTCAAGAGAAAAGAACTCACTGACTGGTCAGAAAGGAGAGATTTTCAAGAAAGAGAAAGTGGTCAGCAGTGTCAGATGCTGCAGAGAGGTCCAGTTAGCTGAAGGCGGAAAAGTGTATGTGGAATTCAGTAACAAAGAGGCCATTAGTTTCAGATTTTTAGCACAAAAGAACTTTGAGGAGTAGAGCTACAACTTAGTTTTTCTTCTTTCCTCTTGTCCTGTAATGCAGGGTTTCTGTAACAACAGAGAATGACTGTGACATGGATCGGAACTTAGAAAGCATTTGTTGTGAAGGATTATTAACTGGAACTAATAAATACTGTACCCAGATCAGTCAAACAGTGCTCATTCTGCTAGTGTTTTCCATCACAAGAACATTAGTATTTAAGTGCTCTATAGAATGTAGGAAATATTTTGGATATTAGATTTTTAATGATTATAGGAAACTATTCAGAAAACCACTAACAGCTGGAGAATGTATTTTAGTCCTACAGATTCTAGATCAAAATGATAATACAAATAAACCACTACTTACTGCTTCTAATGGTAGTTTGTTTTTTTTTTTTTGAGACAGAGTCTCGCTGTGTCGCCCAGGCTGGAGTGCAGTGGCGCGATCTTGGCTCACTGCAAGCTCCGCCTTTCGGGTTCACACCATTTTCCTGCCTCAGCCTCCCGAGTAGCTGGGACTGCAGGCGCCCGACTCCCGGGTTCACACCATTCTCCTCCCTCAGCCTCCTGAGTAGCTGGGACTACAGGCGCCCACCACCATGCCCAGCTAATTTTTTTTTTGTATTTTTAGTAGAGATGGGGTTTCACCATGTTAGCCAGGATGGTCTCGATCTCCTGACCTCGTGATCCACCCGCCTTGGCCTCCCAAAGTGCTGGGATTACAGGCGTGAGCCACCGCGCCCGGCTTCTAATGGTAGTTAATATTAAGTGATTACTATATGCTGGGGTTACAGTTCATGAAATACCTAATTTAATTATCCTAGGCAACTCAATGAGATACATACAATTACAATCTTCCCTTTACAGATGAGAAGACTGAAGCCTAAATAACTTGCCCAAGGTCTTATACTTAGTAATTAGCAAAACCAGATTTGATCCCCCTCTCTGATACCTACCAGAGCCAGTGAGTGATCTTTCTGCTGCATAAACTATCCTTACCTTTCTAATATAGCAGGGAAGGAACTAGTGTAAAGTTCATTGAAATTCCTAATGCAAACTTACTTGTACAGTGCTGTCTGAGTACAGTATATGGCACATACTAGACATTCAATAAGCATTATTTTAAAATATTCTGGTTCAAACTTGATTATAATGAATGTTGTTTATATTTTCGAGTGATAAGCAGTTTTCTCACTGCTTCTTTCTCTTCCAGTCACATCAGTTGATAGATTTTCATCATTCCTCAGTCTGATTTTACTATTTTTTACATAGGTAATATAGATGTTTGGTTCTTAAAATCAATATAGTCATCTGTTTAGTGTCTTATTACATTCTTATGCTTCATCAAGTTGAATTAAAACTCATTTAAAAAGTACATAACATGGAAAAACGTTTTTAAGACTTTATGATACTCTAAATATGATTTTAACAGTATCCACTCTTTCTGGGATAAGTAAATATTCTTTTCATTTGCATTAAGTATATTGGAAAACAAACATTCTGATAATTTAGTAGGCTCATGTTAGTTTTATTTATTTTATTTTTTGTCGAGGGTTTCATTACATTGCCCAGCCTGGTGTTGAACTCCTGGGCTCAAGTAATCCTTCTGCCGTGGCCTCCCAACCTTCTGGTATTACGGTATGAGCCACTGTGCCCAGCCTCACACTAGGTTTTTTTTTTTTTTTTTGAGAGGGAGTCTCACTCTATTGCCCAGGCTGGAGTGCAGTGGTGCTATCTTGGCTTACTGCAACCTCCACCTCCCGGGTACAAGCAGTTTTCCTGTCTCAGCCTCCAGAGTACCTGGGATTACAGGTGTGCACCACCAAGCCCAGCTAATATTTGTATTTTGTAGAGACTGGGTTTCACCATATTGGCCGGGCTGGTCTCGAACTCCTGACCTCAAGTGATCCGCCTGCCTCAGCCTCCCAAAGTGCTGAGATTACAGGCATGAGCCACTGCACCTGGCATCTCACGCTAGTTTTAAAAAAATTATAAGGTATGAACTGGGCACGGTGGCTCATTCCTGTAATCCCAGCACTTTGGGAGGCCGAGGTGGGCGGATCACTTGATGTCAGGAGTTTGAGACCAGCCTGGCCAACATGGTGAAACCCTCGTGTCTACTAAAAATACAAAAATTAGCGGGGCATGGTGGTGCTTGCCTGTAAATCCAGCCACTTGGGAAGCTGAGGCAGGAGAATCACTTGAAAATGGGCAGCAGAGGTTGCAGTGAGCCAACATCGTGCCACTGCACTCCAGCCTGGGCAACAGAATGAGATTCTGTCTTTAAAAAAAAAAAAAAATTATAAGGTATGTTGTAGATCTAGGCTCTTTAAAAGTGGTAGGATATAAAATTACAGATGGCAATTAGAGAAAAATGGTGTGGCAGTGAAATGAACATGTTTCTGAAACAGGAGAATCAAAAGAACAGCAGTGACATAGAGATTCCACATGGAGGTGATCAAGTGGTAGTCCCAAAGAGAATAATGTTCATATTTTTGTCAAATTGTTTTGTGGTTATCATTGGAAGACTGAAAGGGCTGCTGGCTGCTTTTGTTAAAAGTGTATCTTCCTTACTTTTCTCCTTGCTAATGTCTTATTCCTCTGTATTTGTAAGAAGTAAGAAACAATGGAAATGAATTGTTCAATTTTCCTATTAAACTTGGTGTATAATATCAAAGAGGAATTTTTTTTTTTTTTTTGAGATGGAGTTTCGCTCTTGTCATCCAGGCTGGAGTGCAGTGGAGCGATCTCAGCTCACAGCAACCTCTGCCTCCTGGGTTTAAGCGATTCTCCTGCCTCGAGATGGAGTTTCGCTCTTGTCGTCCAGGCTGGAGTGCAATGGAGCGATCTCGGCTCACAGCAACCTCTGCCTCCTGGGTTTAAGCGATTCTCCTGCCTCAGCCTCCTGAGTAGCTGGGATTACAGGCATGTGCCACCACACCTGGCTAATTTTGTATTTTTAGTAGAGACTGGGTTTCTCCATGTTGGTCAGGCTGGTCTTGAACTCCTAACCTCAGTTGATCCTCCCACCTCAGCCTCCCAGAGTGCTGCAATTACAGGCGTGAGCCGCCATGCCCAGCCCCAATGAGGATTTTTTAAAAACCTAAACCTAATCATATTTCCTACTGTTTTTTGTTTTTGTTTTTAGACAGGTTGGAGTGTAACGGTGTGATCTCGGCTCACTGCAACCTCCGCCTCCCGGGTTCAAGCAGTTTCTCCTGCCTCAGCCTCCTGAGTAGCTAGGATTACAGGCACCCGCAATCATGCCCGGCTAATTTTTGTGTGTTTGTAGAGACGGGGTTTCAACATGTTGGCCAGGTTGGTCTTGAACTCCTGACCTCAGGTGATCCGCCTGTCTTGGCCTCCCAAAGTGCTGGGATTACAGGCGTGACCCTCCGTGCCCGGCTATTTCCTACTCTTGAATTCTAGTATATGGTTATGTTTGCTGTTGAAATATTTTTTCTACAGCAAGTGAGACTTGAGTATTTTCTGTTCTCAGTAATGGTTATTTCCATTTTTTGGTAATAACAGTGTATATTCTGCTGCTGCTCTAAAGTGCTTTAATTACCTGCATTCTCTCCTTTAAGGGAGCATAGGTCTGTTTATATGCTAAGCAAGTTGTCTCCACAGCTGAAGATGGTATTTGCTAGAACTGTTAATAAATTTAGTTTGGCTAAGGTTTTTTTTTCTTTTTAAAGTGATATTCATCATGTATTAAAAAGTAGAGTTTGGCTGGGCATGGTGGTTCACGCCTGTAATCCCAGCAGTTTGGTAGGCTGAGGCAGGAGGCTCACTGAGACTAGGAGTTTGAGACCAGCTGGGCAACATAGTGAGACACCCCCCTTTTCTAAAAACAAAAACAAAAACAAAAAAAGATAGTGCTTAGTTTTAGCCTTTTGTTTGCATGGATTAGGAAATGTGATAGGCTGAGCATGGTGGCTTAGGCCTGTAATCCCAGCACTTTGGGAGGCTGATGCTGGTGGATGGCTTGAGCCTAGAGGTTCGAGACCAGCCTGGGCAACACGGTGAAACCCCATATCTACTAAAAATATGAAAAATTAGCTGGGCGTGGTGGCATGTGCTTGTGGCCCCAGCTCCTTGGGAGGTTGAGGTGGAAGGATCACTTGAGCTGGGGAGGTCAAGGCTTCAGTAAGTCGTAATCATACCACTGCACTCCAGCCTGGCCACAGAGCAAGACCCTGTCTCAGAAAAAAGAGGGAAAGGAAAGAAAGGAAGAAAGAAAATGCGATAGTATTTATATATCAGGGTCTAAAAGACATTTGATTAAGATTATGTGGGCTTTATATATTGTATATTTCCATTCTTATTTATATCTTGCACTCAATGCCAAAGAGTGAAAGTGATGTGAACTTCACCTTTAGTAAAATCAGGGTAAAAAACGCCAGCTGTGGAAGGCTAGGGGTAAAGAGTGAAAAATATGTAGGATTTTTTCTGAGAACTGCCTCAGTGCGTTTGTCATAACTTCTTCTTTATTTAAAAAGGAGAAGTTTATTAATGTAGAGAAGACCAGATATTGATCTGTTTCCAGTTTACAGAACAGTGATTTTGATACTACAATAATACTCAATTAGAAGAAATTCAGGCTGGTTGTGGTGGCTCACGCCTGTAATCCCAGCACTTTGGGAGGTGAAGCAGGAGGATCACTTGAGGCTAGGAGTTCAAGACCAGCCTGGGCAATGTAGTGAGACTCCATCTCTACAATAAATTAAAAAATTAGTTGGGCACAGTGATTAATGCCTGTAGTCCCAGCTACTTGGGAGGCTAAGGTAAAAGGATCAATTGAGCCCAGGAGCTTGAGGCTGCTATGATTGTGCCACTGTACACTCTAGCCTTGACAAGAGAGCAAGACTGTCTCTTAAAAAAAAAAAAAAGAGAAGAAAGTTAGATTTTTATAAAATTATTACAAAAGTAATGCATTTGTTGTAAAAAAATTCTATAATAAGTATGCTTTATGGTTTTGATATTATTGTGGAATAGTTTATTCAAAATTTAAAAAGATATTTGTGGTTAATGATAGCAAGTACTGAGATCTCTATTCTTCCTTCTCCAAACCAACTTTAAAAATAGGGAGAATTAGAAACAGAAACTAAACTGCAACTTTGACAATTACTGTAACCTTGTAATCAAAATATATGAATTACGGCAGGCGCGGTGGCTCATGCCTGTAATCCTAGCACTTTGGGAGGCTGAAGTGGATGGATCACCTGAGGACAGGAATTCGAGACCAGCCTCGCCAACATGCTGAAACCCCGTCTCTACTAAAAATACAAAAAAATTGGCTGGGCGTGGTGGCGGGCGCCTATAATCCCAGCTACTCAGGAGGCTGAGGCAGGAAAATGGCTTGATCCAAGGGGCAGAGGTTGCACTGAGCTGAGATTGTACCACTTCACTCCAGCCTGGGTGACAGAGCGAGACTCTGTCTCAAAAAAAAACCAAACAAAACCCTCCCAAAAAACCCAAAATATATAAATTAGTGCTATTAAGTGCAGTGAAAATTGAACCAGGGCAAGAGAGGATGCCAAGAGAGGATGATTTCCTCTGTAGAACCAGGCAAAGCAAAGGAAGAAGCTTTCTCTCAAGAAAGTGACACACCCCGAGGACAAAACCAGTAATCCCCATGCATGGATGGCAAAGTTGGATATATGTATGTTGGGCTCCCTGAGTGGCAGGAGAGGTGGGGCTGAGTTGCAAACTGTGCAGTCCTACCAGTTTTGTAGGAAGTTCAGAGTGGAGGAGAAACTGGCAGCAAGCAGCCTTTCAGCTCCTGATCTTGGTCATGTGAAGAGAAGTAAAGCCTAAATTATCACCCCACCCCCAAATCTATGCCATGTGGGCTCCTGTGAGTTAGGGAACATAGTCCAGCATGGAGTCAAGCCTCAAGGGAAAGTGAAAAAATAGTTCCTATGGTGGAAGGTGGGGGTGAGACATACCTCCTCTGAAACTAGAGTTTAAAGATGAGATATAAAAGCTCGAGAAATAAAAGAAGACAACAGAAGTATTGTAAGAGTGAGCTGATGGAATCAGGGTACAAAATAAGAGAAAAGTAACATTGCAGAAACATTCAAAGTGCAAATATCAACTATAGCTGGGGGTAATGGAAGCAAGCTTGAGAAATTTGAGCAACCCAAAATGGAACAAATAAAAATGAAGAAAGACTAGAGAGAGAGTGACAGATAGGGAATACAGTCAATCTAGTATGCCAATAATTGATACCCCTGAAGCTGTCGGAGAATAAATCAAGCAGAAAGAAATGTCAATACATTAAGGAAGAGTTTCCCACAATAAAAGATTTGAAGGCAGGTGTGGTGACATGCACCTGTAGTCCCAGCTATGGTGGAGGATTGCTTGAGCCCAGGAGTTCAATCCAGCTTGGGCATTATAGTGCAACCTCATCTCTTAAAAAAAAAAAAAAAAAAAAAAAAAAAAAAAAAAAAAAAAAAAAAAAAAAAAAAAAAAAAAAGGCCGGGCGTGGTGCTTATGCCTGTAATCCCAGCACTTTGGGAGGCTGAGGCAGGCGGATCACCTGAGGTCACAAGTTCGAGACCAGCCTGACCAATATGATGAAACCCCATCTCTACTAAAAATACTAAAATTACCTGAGCATGGTGGCATGCACCTGTAATCCCCGCTACTCAGGAGGCTGAGACAGGAGAATTCGCTTGAACCCAGGAGGTGGAGGTTGCAGTGAGCTGAGATCGTGCCATTGCACTCCAGCCTGGGCAACAAGAGTGAAAAAGAAAAGAAAAGGATTTAAAATTTTAGAACAGTTTCTAGTCTTTAAATAGACTTTTATTGTTAGGTCAACATGCAAAAAAAAAAAAAAAAAAATCAAGTCCCCTATAAAATCAAGAGACTGGCTTCAGGCTTTTTCAGCATGAAACAATATATACAAAGTCAGTAGATAAAAAAAAGCACAACCCAAGAATTTTATTTCCAGACAAGCTGTTGTTTAAGTATAACACCAATTGACATGTTTTCTTTTCTTTCTTTTTTCTTTTTTTTTGAGACGGAGTCTTGCTCTGTTGCCTGGAGTGCAGTGGCGTGATCTTGCCTAACTGCAACCTCTGCCTCCTGGGTTCAAGCGATTCTCCTGCCTCAGTCTCCTGAGTAGCTGGGACTATAGGCACATGCCACCATGCCCGGCTAATTTTTTGTATTTTAAGTAGAGACAGGGTTTCACCGTGTTAGTCAGGATGGTCTCTATCTCCTGACCTCATGATCCGCCCACCTCGGCCTCCCAAAGTGCTAGGATTACAGGCATGAGCCACCGCGCCTGGCTCTTTTCTTTTTTTGAGACAGAGTCTCATTCTGTTGCCCAGGCTGGAGTGCGGTGTGGTGCAGTTTTGGCACACTGTAGCCTCGACCTCTCAGGCTCAAGCAATCCCTTCACCTCAGCCTCTCAAGTAACCAGGACTACAGGCACATGCCACCACACCCAGCTAATTTTTGTGTTGTTTTGTTTTTAGTAGAAATGGTGTTTCAACATGTTGGCCAGGCTGGTCTCGAACTCCTGACCTCAAGTGATCCGCCCACCTCACCTCGGCCTCCCAAAGTGCTGGGATTACAGGCGTGAGCCACTGCACCTGGCCTAATTTTTGTATTC
The DNA here is from genome assembly GCF_000001405.40 of Homo sapiens. Lineage (NCBI taxonomy): Eukaryota > Metazoa > Chordata > Mammalia > Primates > Hominidae > Homo > Homo sapiens. Next base: position 206,070,114 of record NC_000002.12, on the reverse strand, counting down.
TTTGTAGAGATAGGGTTTCGCTCTGTTGCCCAGGCTGGCTTCGAACTTCTGAGCTCAAAGCAGCCTACACGCCTCAGCCTCCCAAAGTGCTGGGATTACAGGCGTGCACCATCATACCTGGCCAACGTATGTTTTCAAATAGAAAAATCGTGGCTTATAGTTTCCACAAATCTGCTCTTTTCGGGGAAAGAAAGGAGAGGAGACTGTGTTGTAAACTATTGAATCAAGAAGTGAATGGAAGACTAAGTTAAAAAAAAGCATCATTTTGCATTGAATAAATTTAAATGTAGAACTAAGAACAACAACAGGAAAAAGCCTTGAGAGTTAGGGATGGGTAGGTAGTTGTAAGTCTGGAAATTTTTCTCGTTTATAACATGGGATCAGTTGCAATAATGCTGATAAGTATACTAATTTTCTTAGTGTGGAGTAAAGAAATGTTATCTAAAGGAGACAGACTACAGTTTTTCTAAGAAAACAGACTACAGTTGACCCTTGAACAACTTGAAAGTATAGGTACCAACCCCACATGTTGAGAATCTGCATTAGAACTTTTTTTTGAGAATCTGCATTAGAACTCCTGACCTCAGGTGATCCACTCGCCTTGGCCTCCCAGAGTGCTAGGATTACAGGCATGAGCCACCACACTTGGCCATATTAGAACTTTTGACTACCCAAGAAAGTTAACTAGCCTACTGTTAACTAGAAGCCTTGCTGAAAACGTGAACAGATTAACACATATTTTGTATATGTATTATATATTATATTTTTACAATACAGTAAGCTATAGAAAAGAAAATGTTATTAAGAAAACCATAAGGAAAATATATTTAGTATTAAGTGGAAGCAGATCATCATAAAAGTCTTCACATTGAATAGATGGAGGAAAAAGAGAAGGGGTTGGTCTTACTGTCAGGGTAGCAGAGGAGGAAAAAAAATCCATGTATAAGTAGAGCTACACAGTTCAAACCTTTGTACTGAATATAGTGAAATGTATAATGAAAAGATTAAATTAAAGGCTAAAGGCAATACAAAATATAATAGGATTAAGATGAAATATGTCATAAATACAAAATTATAAATTGGATAAACTCATTTATTAAAAGAAAATGACTTGGACCAGGCAGGGTGACTCAGGCCTGTAATCCCAGCACTTTGGGAGGCCCAGGCAGGGAGATCACTTGAGACCGGAAGTTCAAGACCAGCCTAGGCAACATGGTGAAACCTCGTCTCTACAAAAAATACAGAAAATTAGCACTGTGTAGTGGTATGTGCCTTTAGTCGCAGCTACTCAGGAGGCTGAGGTGGGAGGATTGCTTGAGCCCTGGAGGTTGAGGGTGCAGTGAGTGGTGATTGTGCCACTACACTCCAACCTAGGTGACAGAGTGAGACACTGTCTCAAAAAAAAGAAAAGAAAAAAAAATTGCTCAAAAGTAAAATGATTCAGATTGGAGCAAAAAGTCAAACCCAACAAGAGTTGCATCTAAAAGGGATCAACAAATAACATGTTAGTAAATAGTTTTATTTTTGTGGCCATATAGTATCTGTTGCAGCTATTAAATTTTACCATTATAGCACAAAAGTAGGCATGGACAGTATGTAAATGAATGAGCATGGCTGTGTTCCAATAAAACTTTATTTACAAAAACAGACAGTGGGCCACATTTGTCCTGTAAGAAATAGTTTAGTTTGCTGACCTGAGATCTAAAATGTAGTGTGGCCAGGCACAGTGGCTCATGCCTGTAATCCCAGCACTTTGGAAGGCCAAAGCGGGAGGATCTCTTGAATGCAGGAGTTTGAGACCAGCCTGGGCAGCACAGCAAGACCCAGTCTCTACAAAAAATTTAAAAAATTAGCCAGATATGGTGGCACATACTTGTAGTCCTAGCTACTTGGGAGGCTGAGGCAGGAAGATCTTTTGAGCCCAGAAGTTTGAGGTTGCAGTGAGCTATGATCATGCCACTGCAATCCAGCCTGGCAACAAAGTGAGACCCTGTCCTCAAAATAAAAAATAAATAAAAATAAAACACAACACAGTGCCTCAAAAGTTGGGAACAGAAGTACGGGCAAAGACTCAATTGATAAATTCAAACCAAAAAAGCAATAGTTCAAATATTTGTGTAAGACAAGGTTGAATTCATCACAAAATGCTCAGTTGAGTTGCATTTTTTTTTTGAAACAGGGTTTCCCTCTGTTGCCCAGGCTGGAGTGCAGTGGCACGATCTCGGCACACTGCAACTTCACATCCTTCCATCCCTGCCCTCAGATTTCTTTCTATGATTTGTAAAATGCTCTCATACCTACAGACATGTAGATTGCTCTTTTTTCTTGATGTTCGTATAGGTTTCTTTGAACTAATTTGTGAAAGATACGTGTGTGTTTGGCTTGTGGGTGAGTAGAGAAAAGATGGTGAAAAATGAAAAATGGCATGGATTTGCTTTGAAATATTTCCTGTCCCAAACATCCAGGGCAGCTAAATTTAAATGTTTATGTTTTATAATTTTCAAATTAAAAAATTTTAATGGACACAAAATAATTGTACATATTTGTGGGGTATATAGTGATGTTTTGATTCATATAATGTATAGTAATCAGCAGGGTAATTAGAACAGCCATCATCTCAAGCATCATTTTTTTGTGTATTGGAAACATTCAATATCCTCCTTCTAGCTATTCAAAACTGTATAATAATTATTGTTAACTATAGCCATCCTACAGTGCTATAGAACACTAGGGCTTATTCCTCCCATCTAGCCATAATTTTGTATCCTTTAACAAATCTCTCCATATTCTCTTCTTTCCCCTACCTTTCCCAGTCTTTGTCTTGTAGCCTCTAGCCTCTGTTCTACTTTTTACTTCTTTTTTTTTTTTTGGAGACGGTTGCACTCTGTTGCCCGGGCTGGAGTGCAGTGGTGCGATCTTGGCTCACTGCAACCTCCGCCTCCTGGGTTGAAGCGATTCTCCTGCCTTAGCCTCCCAAGTAGCTGGGATTACAGGCCCCCACCACCATGCCCGGCTACTTTTGTATTTTTAGTAGAGACAGGATTTCACCATGTTGGCCAGGCTGGTCTCGAATTCCTAAGCTCAAATGTTCCACCTGCCTTGGCCTCCCAAAGTGCTGGGATTATAGGCATGAACCACTGCGCCCAGCCTACTTTTAGCTTCTATGAGATCAACTTTTTTATGTGACTACATGAGTGAAAACATGTATGTTTAATTTTCCATACCTTATTTATTTCACTTAAGATAATGTCTTCTAGTTCTATCCATATTGCTGTGAATAAGAGAATTTCTTTTTCTTTTTTTTTTTTTTGTGATGGAGTCTTGCTCTGTCACCCAGGCTGGAGTGCAGTAGTGCGATCTCGGCTCACTGCAACCACTGCCTCCTGGCTTCAAGTGATTCTCCTGCCTCAGCCTCCCGAGTAGCTGGGATTACAGGTGTGTGCCACCACACTGAACTAATTTTTGTATTTTTTGTAGAGAAGGGTTTTGCCATGTTGGCCGTGTTGGTCTTGAACTCCTGACCTCAGGTAATCTGCCTACCTTGGCCTCCCAAAGTGCTAGGATTACAGGTGTGAGCCACCACGCCTGGTGCCCAAGAATTTCATTCTTTTTAATGGCTGAATAGTATTCCATTGTGTATATATACCACATTTTCTTTATCCATTCATCTGTTGTGGGACACCTAGTTTGATTCCATATCTTGGGTATCATCAATAGTGCTTTGATAAACATGGGAGTGCAGATATCTCTTTGATGTATTATTTCCTTTTCTTTGGAAAAATGCCTAGTAGTGGGTAGTTCTATTTGTAGCTCTTTGAGGAACCTTCATACTGTTATTTTATTTGTTTATTTTTTTTTTGAGACATCGTCTCGCTCCATCACAGGCTGGAGTGCAGTGTTGCGATCTCAGCTCACTGCAGCCTTGACCTCCTGGGTTCAGGCGATCCTCCTGCCTCAGCCTTGAGTAGCTGAGACTACAGGCGCATGCCAACAAGCCCAGCTAATTTTTGTATTTTTAGGAGAAACAGGATTTTGCCATGTTGACCAGGCTGGTCCTGAACTCCTGACCTCAAGTGATCCACCTGCCCTGGCCTCCCAAAGTGCTGGGATTACAGGCGTGAGCCACTGCGCCCGGCCCATGCTGTTCTTTATAGTGGCTATACTGGTTCACATTCCCAAACAGCGTACAAGAGTTCCCTTTTTGCTGCTTCCTCACCAGCATTTGTTATTTTTTGTCTGTTTGATAATAGCCATCCTAAGTGGGGTAAGAGGATACCTTACCCCAATTTTGATTTGTATTTCCCTGACGATTAGTGATGTTCAGCATTTTTTCCAAATATTTGTTAGCCATTTGTATGCCTTCTTTTGAGAAATGTCTGTTCAAATCATTTGCCCATTTAAAAATTGAATTGGTTGTATTTTTTTCTTTTGAGATGTTTGTTTCTTATATATATACTGGATGTTAATCCCTTGTTGGTTCAATAGTTTGCAAATATTTTCTCCCATTCCGTAGGTTGTCTTTTTGTGCTGTTGGTTGTTCCTTTGCTGTGCAGAAGCTTTTTAGTTTAATATAATCCCATTTGTTTATTTTTACCTTATTGTCTGTACTTTTCAGATCTTTTTTTCTCTCTTTCTTTTCTTTTTTTGAGACAGAGTCTCACTCTGTTGCCCAGACTGGAGTGCAGTGGCGTGATCTCGGCTCACTGCAACCTCTGCCCCCAGGTTCAAGTGATTCTCCTGCCTCAGCCTCCCCAGTAGCTGGGATTACAGGCATGCATGACCATGCCTAGCTGATTTTTGTATTTTTTAGTAGAGACAGGGTTTCACCTTGTTAGTCAGGCTGGTCTCGAGCTCCTGACCTCATGATCCGCCTGCCTCGGCCTCCCAAAGTGCTGGGATTACAGGCATGAGCCACCGTGCCCACCCTGTACTTTTCAGATCTTAACTCATAAACCCTTTCCCCACATCAGTGTCCCCTGTGTTTTCTTCTAATAGTTTTATAGTTTCAAGTCTTACAATTAGGTCTTTGATCCATTTTAAGTTGATTTTCGTATGGGGTGAAAGGTGGGGGTCTAGTTTCATTCTTCTGCATGTGGATATCCAGTTTCTTAGCACCTAAATTTAAATTTCTAGTCCAACTTTTTTTTCTTACATTCTCATAAGGTGAAAAGAGAAAGCTCTTATTTTTTACATTAATGTGTGATTAATTTACTTAGTAATGAATGTGATTTTTTTTCCCTCCAGAAGAGAAAATATGATTTTTATTAACTAAGTTAATATTTTGAGTTTTTTTTTTTCCTACTACAGTAAGTGAAGTATGTCTTGAGAAGACTACAAATTCTCTACTTTCATTACTGGCAGGTGGAATGTAGTCTTGTATTACAAGAATGAACACTTGTGAATAGTAATTTGTTTCTCTAGTATTTACCATATACTAGGGATGATACTTAGTATGTTGGATGCTTTGTATCATTTGATCATTCCAGTATCCTGATAACATAGCTACTATTATTATCCCTGTTTTACAGATGAGAAAACTGACATTCAAATAGGTTAAATGATTTGTTCAAGGTAACACAGCAAGTGGCAGATTTTGGACTTGAACAACCGTGTCTTCTGACACCTCCAGCATTTATGTATCTTGTCATTTACTGGTAAAACAGAGAGTATTTCTGGACTTTTTCAGTAGCTGATATCTGAGCTGTTCCATCAGCCATCTTGATGGCTGGAAGTGTGGAAGAGGATGGGTGAGACTCCATCAGCTCACTAAGATCCTGACTTGGCAAAATAGATTCAGTTTCATGATAGACTAGATGGTGTTGTAATATATAAATCCTACCACTGGGCCTTTTGCGTGTAGATTGGTAGTGAGTATTGTGTAATTCCCTCCTTCCATTTTCTCACTGACTCTGAAAAGACTCATAAGCCACGATTATTTTACTATTTAGTGTGACTGGAAGCACCATGTGGTGCAGAACTTTGAAATGAATGATATAAGTGTGGTCAGCTGACTAGTCTTTGGGCCTGAGAAGTTTATTGTGATTGGATGGGATAGGTGTGGGGAAATATTATAAGGGAAAGAACATTTTTTAATGACAGAAATTTAAATACAAAATTTATTTTGTATTTCATAGAAAAATTTATAAATTGCCAAATATTTTACCATCATATCAAAAGAAGTAGAATTTCTGAGAGAAGTTTTAGGTCTACCATTTATTCTGCTGGCATTGTAAAGGGATGTGGGTTCTGAAAATGAGTATAGCATGCAAACATCAGTAATGAAAAAGAGACCTGCTACCTGTGACATTCATTTGGTGGAAGAGTTTTGCTGCTTTGAGGTATTTATAGAACTTAACCAGAGCAAATGTTATTTAGTTCAATTTGGGGGGATAAGGTAACTTACTTTTTTTTTGTTTTGTTTTTGAGACAGATCTTCACTCTCACCCAGGCTGGAGTCCAGAGGTGTGATCTCGGCTCACTGCAACCTCTGTCTTCCGGGTTCAAGTGATTCTCCTGCCTCAGCCTCCCAAGTGGCTGGGATTACAGGTGCCCGCCACCATGCCTGGCTCAGTTTTGTATTTTTAATAGAGACGGGGTTTCGCCATTTTGGCCAGGCTGGTCTCAAACTCCTGACCTCAAGTAATCCACCCGCCTCCAAGGTGCTGGGATTACAGGCGTGAGCCACGGCGCCCAGCCAACTTAATGTTTTATAATGTCTCTTATTTTCTTATTTAACCTCGTTATTGGGATGTTGATTTACAGTGAAGAATCCATTGCATTAGTAAGGGTGATATCTTAGTATTTTGCTTCCTGGGTGAGCTAGCTTTGCTTATTTCTGTTTGTTAACTAGGCCTTTTGATATTTTTATAGACAATCTGCTTCATCCTGATTCTGCGGCATTCCAAACTGTGGTATCCTTGGGGGTTCTCTTAACATTGCTATGGTGCAGAAGATTTAAAATCAGGTATGGCTGTGGGGCCAGAAGTCCCTCAGTGAAATTCTCAACTTAAATCTGCCTTATACTCTCTGATTTATCATTTGGGTTTCTTTTTTTGTGGTGGCCTTTTAGCTGATGTTCACAAGGAATAGAGTCACGTGATGTATGAAGGGAAACATATACACTTCTCTGAGGTTGACAATAAGCCCTTGTGCTCATATAGCCCCAAACTGTGCAAGCAGAGGCGACTCAACGGCTACGCCTTCTGTATCAGACACGTTCTGGAGGACAAGACTGCCCCCTTCAAGCAATGTGAATATGTGGCCAAGTATAACAGCCAACGCTGCACCAACCCCATCCCCAAATCAGAGGATCGTAGGTAAGGGCTAATCATGAGAATCAATCCTTGATTTCATTAACAGGCTTGGAATTTTTTCTTTTCTTGTTTTTTCTTCTCTTTTCTTCTGTCCTTCATTTCTCCCTCCCTCCCTTCCTCCACCTATATAAATGTTGAATTCTGGGGGTAATCTAAGTAATCTATGGAATACTTTTAAAGATGAAATATGGCAATTTTTTAAAATAGAGTAATAAATTTGGGGAATTACTTAAAGTATGTTTGAGTGTCTTCTATTTAATTGATTTCATGGACTTCTAGAATTTTTAAAAGATTTTTTTTCCCTCAAAGTTGCTGCTTGAAGTCTTGAAACGGATTTGTTTGGTTTATGGCCTTATAAAGTAATTCCTGACTTTTCTACCTAGTTTTCTCATTTGCCTAAATGAGAGAAATTTAAATAACTAATTAGGTGTTATAATTAATGATAGCAATTTTGGAGTTTAAAATCTATGCCTAGAAGTTAGTAAAGGATATATACTTACTGAAGAAAATTTTAAAAAACTACTTGAATCAGTTAGATTTATTTCCTATCAGACTTCTCACCAGTGTTTGGCATGTTTTATAACCTTACCTTTTTTGGTTAAAAAGTGTTCCAAATAGAGTATGTTTGCCATAATTTGGAAACACTATTTTCACATTAAGGGTCGGTTTTGCCACTAGAATGATGAGTTTATGCTTCGCTAAATTTAGAAAAGAGTGGAATTGTTTTTAAAGGAGTCTTATACTGGTTATTCATCTTTCATATTGTTAGGAAAATTCACACTATCTTTCATATATAATCTCTTCTCTGTGCTTCTTTTTCTTCAATTCTCCAGAAACTATATAGATCACTGTGGGGCTTCATGGAGAGATACATGCTTGTTTTCCAAAAGTTTCAAGATACTTGTTATCTCTAGGTAGAAAATTTGAACCTTTCACTTCTATCTTAAAACACACACACAACCTTCATCCATGTTTCTATACATTAGCAAATGTCACTTGCATAAATTGGTTGGAAAGGAATCAGATATTTTGTGTCATGAATACTTTTTACACTTGCAGTATGAAATAAATAATTTGTGTTGGTGCTGATCTCACCAAAATGAGTACAAATAGTTTAATGGGGATTTAGGAATACTCTCTTAGAATTTCTAATGAGCATTGAGGCTTCAAATTACAATACCTGAAAGTTAGAAACAGCTGCTTAGTGAGGCAAGGAATAAAATTTTAATCTCAGGTGAGAAAGGGATGTATGTATTAGGCTAAATATATCTGTCTAGTTAGTTTTTAGCAGACTGAAAATGATAATTTCTTACCCTGCCTTTTTTTAACTTGAAGAATGGATGAGCTTGGATTAATTTTTTTTTACATCAAGCCCCATCGTAAACACATTTCTAAAATTTTGTCTTAAAATTAGCTTATCATGGTTACAGTTGTCAGTGTTGGATTTTTTTTCAGTTGAGCCAAAGCAAGAATTATCTTAATAGCAGCAAGGACTGGGTGTGATGGCTCACGCCTGTAATCCCAGCACTTTTGGAGGCTAAGGCGGTGGATCGCTTGAGCCTAGGAGTTCAAGACCAGCCTGAGCAACATGACAAAACCCCATCTCTACAAAAAATACAAAAATTAGCCAGGTGTAGTGGTACACGCCTAGAGTCCCAGCTAATTGGGACTGAGGTGGAAGGATTGATTTAGCCCAGGAGGCCGAGGCTGCAGTGAACAGTAATTGTGCCACTATACTCCAGCTTGGGCAACTGAACAAGACCCCCTATCTAAAAAAAAAGGCAAGAATTCAAGTGAGAGTCCTTATGAATCTCTTCAAAATATTCTCTGAAGCATCTGTATACACCTTTGTCTTTGAAATAGTTTGCTCTTTTGAGAACAAGATAAGGGAAAGGACTTTCATGTTTCTATCTCGAGAAGCTGTGCTTAATAAGTACTAAGTTGCCGGGCACGGTGGCTCACGCCTGTAATCCCAGCACTTTGGGAGGCCGAGGTGGGTGGATCACCTGAGGTTGAGAGTTTGAGACCACCCTGACCAACATGGAGAAACCCCGTCTCTACTAAAAATACAAAATTAGCCGGGTGTGGTGGCACATGCCTGTAATCCCAGCTGCTCGGGAGACTGAGGCAGGAGAATTGCTTGAACCCAGGAGGCGGAGGTTGCAGTGAGCGGAGATCGCGCCATTGCACTCCAGCCTGGGCAACAAGAGCGAAACTCCGTCTCAAAAAAAAAAAAAGCACTAAGTTGTTGTTGTTGTTTTTTTTTTTTGACGGAGTCTCGCTCAACTGTTGCCTAGGCTGAAGTACAGTGGCATGATCTTGGCTCACTGCAACCTCTGCCTCCTGATTCAAGCAATTCTCCTGCACCAGCCTCCCCAGTAGCTGGGATTACAGGTGCACACTACCACGCTCGGCTAATTTTTGTATTTTTAGTAGAGATGGGGTTTCACCATGTTGGCCAGGCTGGTCTCGAACTCCTGACCTGAAGTGATCCTCCTACCTCTGCCTCCCAAAGTGCTGGGATTACAGGCATGCTCCACTGCGCCCGGCCATAAGTACTAAGTTATAAATTTGTCTTTCTTTTCTTTTTTTTCTTTGAGATGGGGTCTCATTCTGCTGCCCAGGCTGGAGTGCAGTGGCATGATCGTAGCTCACTACAGCCTTGAACTTTGGGCCTCAAATGATCCTCTTGCCTCAGTCTCCCGAGTAACTAGGACTACAGGCACAAGCCACGTGGCTGGCCGAGTTTTGAAAACTTTTTGTGGAGATGGATCCTTACTAGGTTGCCCAGGCTTGTTTCGAACTCCAGGCTTCAAGCAATCGCCCTGCCTTGGCCTCCCAAAGTGTTGGGATTATAGACATGAGCCACCACGCCAGGCCAAATTTATTCTTTATTAAAATTTTTTCTTGTTCTTGGGAAACTTTTTGGTTAGTGCAGTTATCCCAGACGCCTCTTTCTTTGCTGGCCATTGCTTTGTGAATCTGTTCTGTTTAAGATATATATGGGACCTAGCTCAAACCTGCTAGGGAAGCACACAGACACACAGACACACACACACACGGTGTAGATTCTCTTTGCTGGCTAGAAACCTTTTTCGCTTTTTCAGTGACTGCACATGACAAAGAAAGCTTTTTCTTAAGAGGCCTACGTTAAAGAGTGCCTCTGATAGATTTATTTCTAAGACGAAGCAACAAAACACACCCACACATATTCTGTGTGTGCTTGAGATTTTCTGATTATTTGGTGAATCTGTATTTTTAGCAATTACTAGAAAAACACTTATATGATGAAGCCCAGTGAATTTGAGGATTGACATTTTTTACCTCAGTGGTCTTTTCCCAAACTATGTTTTTTGGAGCTATCACCTATATGCTACAGTAAAAATAGGTTCTCTGTTCTTTTTTGTTTTTTTTGTTTTTTGAGGCTGAGTCTCACTCTGTTGCCCAGGCTGGAGTGCAGTGGCACAGTCTCGGCTCACTGCAGCCTCTACCTCATGGGTTCAAGGGATTTTGCTGCCTCAGCTTCCCAAGTAGCTGGAATTACAGGCGCACACCACCACACCCGGCTAATTTTTGTATTTTTAGTAGAGACAGGGTTTCACCACGTTGGCCAGGCTGGTCTCAAACTACTGACCTCAGGTGATCCACCCACCTTGGCCTCCCAAAGTGCTGGGATTACAAGCATGAGCCACTTTGCCCGGCTGGTTCTGTTTTCTTTGATTTTTTTTTTTTTTTTTTTAACTGAGACAGGGTCTTGCTATGTTGCTCAGGTCGATCTTGAACTCCTGGCCTCAAGGGATCCTCCTGCCTCAGCCTCCCAAAGTGCTGGGATTACAGACATGAGCCACCACATTTGGCCCTGGGTTTCATTTTCAAATAACTTTGGGAAACACTGCCAGATGGGTACAGTTTCCTCTTGGAACTTCATAATGCATGTTACACAAAGTGCTTTGAGTAGTTGCACATCAGTAACAAAAAACAACAAAATCATTCTTTAATTTTGTTTAAGCCAGCATTTTCCAAATTTATTTAAGCATGGAGTACTGTTTTTTTTTGTTGTTTGTTTTTTGAGACGAGTCTTGCTCTGTCTCTCAGGCTGGAATGCAGTGGTGCAGTCTCAGCTCACTGCAACCTCTGCCCCCGGGTTCAAGCGATTCTTGTACCTCAGCCTCCTGAGTAGCTGGGATTACAGGCATCTACCATCATATCTGGCTGATTTTTGTATTTTTAGTAGAGATGGGGTTTCACCATGTTGGCCAAGCTGGTCTCGAACTCCTGGCCTCAGGTGATCCACCTGTCTTGGCCTCCCAAAGTGCTGGGATTACAGGCGTGAGCCACTGCGCCCGGCCCTTTTATAGGTTTTTTTTTTTTTTTTTTTTTTTTGAGACAGAGTCTGGCACTCTCACCTGGGCTGGAGTGCAGTGGCACCATCTCGGCTCACTGCAAGCTCTGCCTCCGGGGTTCGCGCCATTCTCCTGCCTCAGCCTCCCGAGTAGCTGGGACTACAGGCTCCTGCCACCACGCCCGGCTAATTTTTTGTATTTTTAATAGAGACGGGGTTTCACCGGATTAGCCAGGATAGTCTCGATCTCCTGACCTTGTGGTCCGCCGCCTCAGCCTCCCAAAGTGCTGGGATTACAGGCATGAGCCATTGTGCCCGGCCTTTATAGGTTTTTAAAATAGCATGAAGAGTGTGAAGACAACAATAAATACCTAACTTTTCAATGCCCACACAGACGAAAATTCACAAGCTTCAAGACCATCCAGGAAAACATGACATCAACAAATGAAATACATAAGGCACCAAGGACCAGTTCTGGAAAAACAGAGATATGTGATCTTTCAGACAGAGAATTCAAAATAGCAGTTTTGAATTTAATTTTGCTCTTTTTTTTTTTTTTTAAACTTTCCACAGGAAAAGTCCATGTCAGATGGCATCACTGGTGAATTCTATAAAGCATTTTTAAAATTATTAGTTTTTATTATTTTATTTTAAAGTTATTGAGGTACAGGTGGTATTTGGCTACATGAGCAAGTTCTTTAGTGGTGATTTGTGAGATCCTGGTGCAACCATCACCCAAGCAGTATACTTGCTTATTGTTGAAGACTAATGAGAGTCTTCATGAGCTTTGATTTTAGTTGGTCTTAGCTCTGACTCTTTCCAGCTGGAAAGAGTCTCAGGCAAGTTCATCAATTTCTGTAAAGCTTAGTTTCCTCATCTGCATTAAGGGAATTATTTTAGCGCCTACTGCAGGTAGGTACTACAGGAGATAATTCATGTACTTACATCTGGCTATTGAAAAAGGCATTTCACCTATAACCCCACGAACCATCTTTTACTTTCTTATTTCATTCTCTCTCTCTTTCTCTGTCTCTCTCTGTATATGTGTCTAAAGCACAGTAGACACTTGACATTCTTGAGGGTTTTATGTCATAAGAGCTTTGTGAATCTCCGAATACTTTAATGGCATTAGAAAATATATATATTTTTTCTCATAAGAGAATTTTAAGTGATCTTTTAGACTCTTGATGAGTTACTTTGTATGCTATGAATAGAGAATAACAAAGCCATGTGAGAAGCAGTAGCTGAGCAGTTATCCAGGGCCACTCAGTAACTGAATGACTTGCTTCTGTCTGGCCACCCCTGTGCATGTACAGTTCACATATTTGCCTCATCAAAATTACACTGACTTTGAGGACTGCTTGAAAGTAGTAGAGGTTTGCATGTTAAGTTGCTGGCTGCCAAGAGTCACTATAGTGACGCAATTTTTAACATTAGGATTCTCATGTAGTTTTATGTTCTACTTTTAAAAAATATGTATCATGACTGTTTTCCCATGTATGTGTGTATTTTAAAGGTACTGCAACAGCCACTTGCAGGTACTTGGCTTTATCCCGAAAAAAGAGAGGAAGAAAAAGAATGATCCTATAGATGAGGTGAAGGTCAGGCACCAGATGGATACCATGGCCTTTAGCCTGACAGTGCCCACGTTGGCCTTGAAGATGCCCAACGGACTGGATGGAATGTCCCTCTCTCCACCTGGGGCAAGGGTCCCTCTCCACTACCTGGAAACCGAATTGGAAGACCCATTTGCTTTCAATGAGGAAGATGATGACCTAAAGAAAGGGGCAACTGTGAGAAAGAAGTTGCAGAGCAAGTTGGCCCAGAATCGGCAGCGCCAGAGAGAGACAGAGATTTTAAAAGTTCGACAAGAGCACTTTAGTCCCCCTCCTGCACCTTCACAGCAGCAGCCTCCGCAGCAGCACTCCCACCTGTCACCTTTATCTACTTCTTTAAAACCTCCAGCGCCACCGCAGGGTTCAGTCTGCAAGTCACCTCAACCTCAGAACACCAGCCTACCAATGCAGGGAGTGGCACCCACCACACACACTATAGCACAAGCACGGCAGTTGTCTCACAAGAGGCCTCTGCCCCTCCTGCCATCCAGTAGGGCTCCCACTGTGGACCCACCCAGGACTGACCGGATCCTCATGAAAGCCACAGCCTTCTCTCCACACTTCTCATGTATAAGCCGACTGCAGAGACTGGTGAAACTGTGCACCCAGAAACATCAGTTGGACACTGATCTGTTTCCCCATTTAGGTGAGTTATCTATTTTATCGTATCATAGACACATAATATGACAAAATGTGTTCGGTTGTGTGGAGCTTCCCTTTCATAATTACCCCATATGTGATGGGGGTGGAATCACAATGAGGCAGAGTGGTGCAGTGAAAGATTCTGTATTTAGGTAGACCACCTTAAAATAAACACAGTCGTCCCTCTACATGTGTGGTGGATTGGTTCCAGGTCTTCCCTCAGGCACTAAAATTTGAGGATACTCAAGATCCTGATATAAAACAGCATAGTATTTGCACATAACCTATGTACATTCTCCCATATTCTTTAAATCATCTCTAGATTACGTATAATACCTGATATAATGTAAATGCTATGAAAACAGTTGTTATAATGTATTGTTTAGGGAATAATGACAAGAAAAAAAGTCTGTATATGTTCAGTACAAATGGAATCTTTTTTCTCAAATATTTCTGATCAGCAATTGGCTGAATCCACAGATGTGGATCCCATGGATACAGAGGGCCAACACTGGAGGGTGTAACACTTGCTGAATAGGATACAGAAATAGGAGTTGGGAATTTAGAATTCCACACGCAGCTTTTATTTGTAGTGATAGCAGCATTAAAAGGCAGTTGTGTTTGGTTGTATGCTTTTATGAGTTTAACACCTGTGCATCTAGTGAAGTTCTTGGTGTGTCTTATTCTAGGAATGATCATAGCATTGTTGATATCTGCTGACAGTTTTAAAACATTTTTTCCTGTTTAAAAAATTCTCAAGGCAATACCTGTTAATGATTTAAGAGTGAGAAAATACAGGGAAAACTTGTAATTTAATGTAGTCACATGTCTATTTTTCTTTTGTTGCTTCTGAATTTCCTGTTTTGCTTAAGAAAACTTCCTCGATTCCAAGTTTATACAGATATTCTATGTTTTCTATTAATAGTTTGATTGGTTTTGATCATTTAAACCTTTAATTCAGTTGAAATTTATTCTCGAATGCAATATGAGCTATGATTTTCACTTCAGGAAAAATTATTTGCATAATATGACAGCAATAGAAATATGAGCAAAGATAGAACGTGAAGAGATATGAATAGTCAATAAACAAATGAATACCTCAATCCTCTCAGCAGGCAGGAAATACAAATTAAAGCAACAATGAATTACCAGATTGTGAAAAATGATATCCATTGTTGGTCAGGGTCAGGATATGGTATCTCATACATTGCTGGTGAGTAATTTAGCAATATCTACTAATTTAAAATATATGTATAGGCTGGGCTTAGTGGCTTATGCCTGTAATCTCATTACTTTGAGAGGCTGATGCAGAAGGATCACTTGAAGCCAGAGGTTTGAGACCAGCTTAGGCAACATAGTGAGATCCTGTCTCTAAAAAAACAAAAATAGGCCGGGTGTGGTAGCTCACGCCTGTAATCCCAGCACTTTGGGAGGCTGAGGTGGGCAGATCACCTGAGGTCAGGAATTGGAGACTAGCCTGGCCAACATGGTGAAACCCTGTCCCTACTAAAAATGCAAAAAATAGCCGGGTGTGGTGGTGCATACCTGAAGTCCCAGCTATTTGAGAGGCTGAGGTGGGAGAATTGCGTGAACCTGGGAGGTGGAGGCTGCAGTGAGCCGAGATTGTGCCACTGCACTCCAGCCTGGGTGACAGAGCGAGACCCTGTCTCAGACAAACAAACAAAATATATTTGTAGCCAGCAGACTCACTTTTGGGACACTATCCTGTGGATTAAAAAAATCAAAATGTAAGGATATATGTGCAAGGATGTTCACTGAAACATTGTTTGCAGCATTAAAAACCTGCAAAGAAACAATTACTGATAGGAAACCTTGACTAAATTATTGTTCATATAAGTTTTATGAAATATTATGTAGCAGGCTGGGTGCAGTGGCTCATACCTATAATCCTAGCACTTTGGGAGGCCGAGGTGGGAGGATCACTTGAGCTCAGGAGTTCAAGACCAATCTGGGCGACACAGTAAGACCTTGTCTCTATTGTATAAAAAAAAAAAAAAGAAAAGAAAAGAAATATTATATAGCTATTAAAAAGAATGAATGAGGCCAGGTGTGGTGGCTCATGCCTGTAATCCCAGCACTTTGAGAGGCTGAGGCCGGTGAATCACCTGAGGTCAGGAGTTCGAGACCAGCCTGGCCAATATGGCAAAACCCTGTCTCTACTAAAAATACGAAAATTAGCTAGGCATGGTGGTGTGCGCCTGTAATCCCAGCTACTTGGGAGGCTGAGGCAGGAGAATTGCTTGAACCCAGGAGGCGGAGGTTGCAGTGAGCGGAGATTGTGCCATTGTACTCCAGCTTGGGCAACAAGAGCGAAACTCCATCTCAAAAAAAAAAAAAATTCTGTATCTTTTGACCGGGATGTGTCCATGGTATATTAAAAAGTGGAAAAAAGAAATCAAGAGGTAATTATTATCCCATTTTGGTAAAAATAAACAAAGTAAATAAACAGGGGATATCAATATATTTATTGATTAAGTATATGGCTATTGGCCTGATTGATGTGAGCAAAGGTAAAAGTATAAAAGGATATATACTTCCAGACTGTTAACATCAGCTACCCTAGGGAGGATGGAATTGGACAGGGTATATTTTATAGGAGTTGGGAGTGGTGGCTTTTCTTATAGCTTTTTATTGTTTCACCTGTTGTTAAACCATCTGTGACTTTTCGTGATTAAAATACAAAAGTTAAAAAATTTATAAACAAAAATAATAAATTAAAACACTCCAAGCCATATTAATACCCATTTGTTAATACCTTGATATATTCTTTCTAATATATAAAATTGGGCTCTTACTATACATGCTGTTTTGTAACCTGGTTTAAAATTTTTCATACTAATGTATTTTCAAGTTGGTAATTTTTCATATGCAGTGTAATTTGTCATGGCTGAATTCTGTCTTCCATTTAAGTTGTATCCAGCTTATGTCCTTATAAACTGTCGTAGATGTATATAGCCTTGCAGTAAAACAATTATTGCCACATCTTTTTTTCTTCAAATAGATTGTTAATTCAGACTAAAAGTGGAATTGCCGATTCCAAGCTTTAGCTTTTAAAAAAAAAAAAGTTTTGATATATGTTGCCAAATTTTCCTTCAGAATTATTTTGTCAGCTTATCTTCTTTAAGCAGTGTGTGAAAATAACAGTTTCTCTAAATCTTTATCAGCCCTGGGTAGTAGTATTATTGTTATTATTGCCTTTGCAAATTAGATAGAAAATCTGCTTAAATTTACATATCTTAGATTAGTGTTTCTCAAATATTTGGTTTTAGGATCCTTTACACTTAAAAATTAATAAGGAAACCATAAAGCTCTTATGTATGGGTTGTATCTATTTATACTGTATTAGAAGCTAAAACTGATAAATTTAAAATATAATTTTTTTTTTTTTTGAGACAGGTTCTTGCTCTGTTGCCCAGGCTAGAGTGCAGTGGCATGATCATGGCTCACTGCTGCCTTGACCTGCTGGGCTCAAGTGATCCTCCCACCTCAGCTTCCCAAGTCACTGGGACCATAGGCACACACTACCACAACTGGCTAATTTTTTTTTCAGATTTTTTGATAGAGATGGGGTCTCACTATGTTGCCCAGGCTGATCCTCCTGTCTTGGCCTCCCAAAGTTCTGGGATTACAGGCACAAGTCACTGTGCCTGGCCTGTCAGATTCTCTTTCAAATAAAAATGATGATGAAGGCTGGGTGTGGTGGCTCACACCTGTAATCCCAACACTTTGGGAGGCTGAGGCGGGTGGATCACGAGATCAGGAGTTCAAGTCCAGCTTGGCCAACATGGTGAAACCCCGTCTCTACTAAAAATACAAAAACTTAGCTGGGCGTGGTGGAGCGTGCCTGTAATCCCAGCAACTTGGGAGGCTGAGGCAGGAGAATTGCTTGAACTGGGACCCGGGAAGCGGAGGTTGCAGTGAGCCGAGATCGCACCACTGGACTCCAGCCTGGGCTACAGAGTGAGACTCCATCTCAAAAACAAAAAAATGATGATGAATGAGAAAAAGCAGTTTGGTCAGGTTGCAATAAAAACAGTTGTGTAAGTCCTCTTCCTCAGGACAGCTGTCATGCTTTCTTCCTTTGCAGCAGATTCACATTTACTCACACAGAATAGTATAAAGACATGTGCTCAGGGATCGATTTAATAAAAATAAATAATCTTTAACAAACAAGAATATTCTCAAATAAAACTCCTTTACAACTGCGAGGCATGGCATGAGGAATACAATGACTCCTAGTAAGTCTGATGCCACTGCCTTGATTCATGGTAATTAAGGAGCCTGTAGTTTTACCTGTCATTGCTTTTATACCATCAGTGTGTCAACACAGTGAAAAAGGCACATAATGTTTTAATATTATTTTGTTGAAAATAGTTTTGAGGCCAGGCGAGGTGGCTCATGCCAGTAATCTTACCACTTTGGGAGGCCAAGACAGGAGGATCACGTGAGCCCAGGAGTTCGGGACCAGCCTGGGAAACATAGTGAGATTCTCTTTTTTAAAATTTAAATTAAAAAAAAAAACTTCTTAGAAAGAATATAGTGTTGACCTATATACTCCAAGAATATTTCAAGGACTTCTGGGGATCTGTGGACCATACTTTCAGAACTGCTATTTTGGATTAATAATATAGTTGAGTATTCGTTCATATGATTTTTGGACATTTTGTTTATTTTGCCTTTCACTTCTTCCATCCATATATTTATTTTCTATTGATTGGTAAGAGCTTTTTATATGTATATTATATTTGTTGGAAAGTCTCTCCCTCCTCTCCTTTGTTTTTTGCTTCCGGGTATCTGTTATAGCCAGGCACAGTTGCAAACTTGTAATCTCTGCTACTTGGGAGGCTGAGGCGGAAGGATCCCTTAAGTCCAAGAGCTTATGACTGGCAGTGAGCTATAATCATGCCACTGCGACAGAGCTGAGACCCCGTCTCTGAAAAAAAAAAGAAAAGAAAAGAAAAGAAATATCCATTGTAGGAATTTAAAAGTTAAAATTTTTATGTATTCTCTTCTTTAAGATTTCTTTCTTTTGAGTCTGGGTTTTGGTTTGCTTGCTTATTTGGATTCTCTTCATCCCAAGAATATATGAACATATTCACCCGTATTTTCTTTTAGTCCTTTTATCATTTCATTATTTACATTTTATCTAGCTGGAACTCATTTAGACATTAGTTTTGAGGCAGAGATCTAAGAAATTTTTGTTGTTGTTGTTGAGACGGAGTTTCGCTCTGTCACCCGGGCTGTAGTGCAGTGGCGGGATCTCGGCTCACTGCAAGCTCCGCCTCCCGGGTTCACGCCATTCTCCTGCTTCAGCCTGCCGAGTAGTTGGGACTACAGGCGCCCGCGACCACGCCCAGCTAATTTTTTGTGTTTTTAGTAGAGACGGGGGTTTCACCGTGTTAGCCAAGATGGTCTCAATCTCCTGACCTCGTGATCCGCCCGCCTCGGCCTCCCAAAGTGCTGGGATTACAGGCGTGAGCCACCGCGCCCGGCGAAATATAACAATTTTTAAAAAATGTTTGCCTCTAATTCCAACACTTACCGGCATCATCTACTAAATTTTTATTTATAATTTCATTTATTTCTGGATGCTGATAATTTTTTAGCTTTTGAAATGATGAAATATTATGTCATCTTAGGGGCTGATTTTTTAATCTTTTTTTTTTTTTTTTTTTTTTTTTTTTCTTTTGAGACGGAGTCCTGCTCTGTCACCCAGGCTGCAATGCAGTGGCGAGGTCTCGGCTCACTGCAACCTCCGCCTCCCGGGTTCAAGCGATTCTCCTGCCTCAGCCTCCTGAGTAGCTGGGACTACAGGCGCATGCTACCACATCCAGCTAATTTTTTGCATTTTTAGTAGAGACGGGGTTTCAGTATATTGGCCAGGCTGGTCTTGAACTCCTAATCTTGTGATCTGCCCGCCTCGGCTTCCCAAAGTGCTGGGATTACAGGCATGAGCCACTGTGCCCAGCAATTTTTAAATCATTTTTAAACAGAATGAAAACACACAGAAAAAGTTTTCAGCCTTTTAAATTTTTTTTTTCTTTTTTTGAGATAGAGTCTCGCTGTGTTGCCCAGGCTGGAGTGCCGTGGTGTGATCTCAGCTCATTGCAACCTCTGCCTCCCAGCTTCAAGTGATTCTCTTGCCTCAGCCTCCTGAGTAGCTAGGATTACAGGTGCATACCACCACGCCTGGCTCATTTTTTGTATTTTTAGTAGAGATGGGGTTTCACCACGTTGGCCAGGCTGGTCTTGAACTCCTGACCTCAGGTGATCCACCCGCCTTGGCCTCCCAAAGTGCTGGGATTACAGGCGTGAGCCACCATGCCCGGACGCCCTTTTAAATTTTTTAAAATGCAAACATATTAGAGGCCTAAGATTTCAAAGCAAAAGTTACTTTGGGGAAACCAGAAATAGTAATGCATATACTCTGTAATCTTATGACAGAGTGTAGTCTGTATTCATGTCAGCAAAGAGTATTTAAATAAAAACTCAGTCTTATTATTAGCCTTTATAGTCCTGTCTGGGCTAGTTATGTCAGCTAGTTACATTAAAACTAGTGATAATGAAGCCAAGATCAAAGGTTTGCTTTATTGGACAGTTAGTTTCACAGCAGGAAAAACACTTCCGTCTTAGTTTTTATGACTTAGATCTTGACTTCCTCAGAGAAAGTCAAGACACCTCAGAGGTGTCTTAGGAGAAATTATTCTATTGAAACAAATAAAAGATAACTCATGTTCTGTTTTTCAGTGGTGCCTTAAATGTCACTTTGAAGGACCTTACCTTTCAACACACTGAAGTTGATGCTGTGATCATTTAATTGCTTTTTTACCTTTTCCCCCTACAAATTATTAATTATTTCAGTTGAGAAAGTAACTCATTTTTAAAGGTGACCTGACATTTTAGATAGTCATCTTAGAATTAGATTTGAAGTTTCTTTATGCCAATGGCAATGTGTTATTTAATCTTAAGCATTCATAATTTGCATTTTAATTAACCTTTTCTTAATTTCCCTATTTGGCACATGTAAACTCATTTAAACTATGGAAGCAATCCATGAAGTCCTTTTTAATGTAACTGTCTAATGAGGATACTCTTGATTTTTGAGGTTCTCAAGAAGGAAGACATAAATAAAATACTAGTTATCAAGGTGTCTAGTAAGTTTCATAGAGGTATGGATATATTAAACTTACATAGTCCCACATACTGTTACACTTTAGGCTGTGCAACATCAGTCTTTATCAAGACCTCTTCAAGATATAAAACTTTTTTTCTTAACTTTTAGAGACAGGGCCTTGCTCTGTCACCAGGCTGAAATGCAGTTACATGATCATGGCTCACTGCAGCCTCAACCTCCTGGGCTCAAGGGTCAGTCGATCCTCCTGCCTCAGTCTCCTGAATAGTTGGGACTGCAGGCATGCACCACTCAGCCTGGCTAATTTTTAAGTTTGTTGTAGAGTCGGGGTCTTGGTGTGTTACCCAGGCTGGTCTCTAACTTCTTGCCTAAAGTGATCCCCTTGGCTCAGTGTCCCAAACTGCTGGGATTACAAGCATGAGCCGGTGCACCTGGCCAAGATACAAGACTTTTAAAAGGGTAAAACTTTTATGGCAGGAGCTAAAAATTATTCAGTCATTAAAAATTATAGCATTTGGCTGGGCACAGTGGCTCATGCATGTAATTGCAGCACTTTGGGAGGCTAAGGCAGGTAGATCATTTGAGCTCAGGAGTTCGAGAGCAGCCTGGTCAACATGGCAAAACCCGGTCTCTACAAAAAGTACAAAGATTAGCTGGGCATGGTGGTGCTGTCTGTAGTGCCAGCTACTTTGGAGGCTGAGGTGGGAGGATCACTTGAGCCCGGGAGGTCAAGGCTGTAGTGAGCTGAGATTGCACCACTACACTCCAACCTGGGCAACAGATCGAGACCCTTTAACAAAATATTAATAAATACTGTATCCACTTTTCCTTCTAACCTTGTTTTAGATAATGGAGCACAAAGTCTGACATTTTTTGTTTAAAATAATTGAAAGAGGCTGGGCACGGTGGCTCACGCCTGTAATCCCAGCACTTTGGGAGGCCAAGGCGGGTGGATCACAAGGTCAGGAGATCGAGACCATCCTGGCTAGCACGGTGAAACCCCGTCTCTACTAAAAATACAAAAAAAAAAATTAGCCAGGCGCGGTGGCGGGTGCCTGTAGTCCCAGCTACTCGGGAGGCTGAGGCAGGAGAATGGCGTGAACCCAGGAGGCGGAGCTTGCAATGAGCAGAGATCACGCCACTGCACTCCAGCCTGGGCGACAGAGCGAGACTCCGTCTCAAAAAAAAAAAATTGAAAGAAATCCGAAACCTCATTAGTAGTAGAACATTACCATCCTACCCTTCCATCTTCCCATGGAAGGTAAGAGCCAGGGAATGGTTTGGGAGAGGGGGATGGAGTGTTTCTACCTTTGACACTTTATCATAGGGCCCTTCGTTGTTGAAATGTAGAGTGACTCTATCTGCACTTTTTGATTTTTTTTTTTTGTTGTTTTCATAAAACCATTCAGAAGCAGGTATTGACCTTTTTCTTGCCTTAACATATATCGAGCTTCTTTTCTCACCCTCTTGTTTGTATTTTATGTTTTTCTGACATCATTTTAGTGTATTAAGTTTTGATACTTAAATTCTGGCCAGATGTGGTGGCTCACGCCTGTAATCCCAGCACTTTGGGAGGCCGAGGCAGGTGGATCACTTAAGGTCAGGAGATTGAGACCAGCCTGGCCAACATGGCGAAACCCCATCTCTACTAAAAATACAAAAATTAGCTGGGCGTGGTGGTGCTCACCTGTAATACCAGCTACTTGGGAGGCTGAGGCATGAGAATCACTTGAACCTGGAAGGCAGAGGTTGCAGTGAGCCGAGATCATGCCACACTGTGCTCCAGCCTAGGTGACAGAGCAAGACCCTGTCTCAAAAAAAAAGAAAAGAAATTCTGCCTTTTTGTGACCTGAAATCTCTCTTTACTTGTGTTGTTTCTACCCCATTAGTGAAGTGTCTGACAAAAGAAGTTCATCTGTGGAATATAGCTTAGCCTTTTTGTTGTAATGTCATTTTAAAAACCCGATTGTGTGGCCAGGCGGTGGCTCACGCCTGTAATCCCAACACTTTGGGAGGCCGAGGTGGGTGGATCACGAGGTCAGGCGTTCAAGAGCAGCCTGGCCAATATGGTGAAACCCTGTCTCTACTAAAAATACAAAAATTAGCTGGGTGTGGTGGCTGGCGCGTGTAGTCCTGGCTACTCGGGAGGCCGAGACAGGAGAATCGCTGAACCCGGGAGGCAGAGGTTGCAGTGAGCCAAGATCGTGCCACTGCACTCCAGCCTGGGTGACAGAGTGAGACTCTGTCAAACAAAAACAAAAACAAACCGATTATCTTTGTAAGAATAGAAATGAGATTCATCAGGAGACATTTATTCACACCATGATAGTACTTGCAATAGGTATGTTGGGTTATGTTATTTTGTGTAGCTTTTTAGTTTAAATTTTGAATAAAAGTAAACTTTTTCTAATTTGCAATATCTCCTGTCTAACCCAGGTTTGGACTGGTCTGAAGAGAGCGGAGAGGAACCAGAGGACTCAGAGCAGGCCTCGCCCTACCAGGTTGCATGGTCCATCCGGGAAACCCTCAGATATCAAAGACATGCGTAAGTCTTCTGTTCTGTTTTTATTCTTTTTTTTTTGAGACGGAGTCTCGCTCTGTCACCCAGGCTGGAGTGCAGTGGTGTGATCTCAGCTTACTGCCACCAAGCCTGACTAATTTTTTTTGTATTTTTAGTAGAGATGGGGTTTCACCATGTTGGCCAGGCTGGTTTTGAACTCCTGATCTCAAGTGATCTCTCCGCCTAGGCCTCCCAAAGTGCTAGGATTACAGGCATGAGCTACCACGCCCGGCCCTAGTTTCCTTCTTGAATGACCACTGTAGCAGATTGATATTTCCCACTATATATGCTGATACTTTTATGTTATTAGATCTAGTTTTATTGTAAAATAAAGGTAAAAAAAGACTTCACTCTAAAAAATTGGTGGTAAAATAGATTCCACTTGGGAGTAAATGTACTATATTGTTTGTAAATGTACTATATCGTTTGAGCAAAGCTACTCTTAAATTTTCTTGGTAAATTTGCTTCTGTACCTTTCCCATTCATCATTAAAGGAATTAATTATAATAGAACCTAGAATTGAAAAGAACCTTAGAGATTAATTGATCCAATTTCCTCATTTTACAGAAGAGGAAAGCAAGGCCCACATAGGTTGAGGAACTTGCACGTGGTCCCTTGGGGGGCTACGTGGAGTCCCACTATCTTGCCTCTCTGTATCTTCCTTGGCTGTACATCTCCACAGTAGTAGAAATAGTGCTTTTTTACTTCACCTCTATCTTCTGCAACATTGATCCATTCTTTATTTCTACTGTGCTACAATTTTTTTTTTTTTTAGGCTAGATCTCCTGAGGGGTTTTCTTTGTACCTTCCTTATTGGAAAGCTGTCGGGGTATACTGACAGCTCTCTTCAGTTTTTTTCCCCATGTTATGTCTTCGGAAAAGAAGTGTTTGTCTAAGATCTGTAGAAGTTGAATGCACATCCTCTTCAATGATAGTAAGAAAATGAATTTTTTTAGGAGACTCCTTTTAGCATTCTACAGATTCACTTGGTACAGTTTGACAATACCAAGATAGATCCTTGTCTACCAAAAGATGACTCACTTACTCAGCTAACCATTTATTTAAAATGTTGTGGTTTGAATAGATATTCAGCAATGTAGAGGGAGATCAGCTATCTGTGATGGTTTTTGAGTTTATAGGATTAAAAATGTGATTTGTTAGTATACCTAGAGGTGATTAGGCTTAGGGAACTGATTCACTAGAGACTAATCTGTACACTAAAATGCCAGCTTATAATGAGAAATACAATCATCAAATAGTACAAATGGTCACTAAACAAAACTACACAGGAAGCAAATTATCATCAGAAGCTTATTTGGACATGGAATTAGAGCAAGTAGGGTTAGTTGGATTTTATTAGTGGTCACTGTCTTAAATTATAATAGCATGATGTATCTATTCCACTCTTTGGATTTATCTCCCACCCAGTTGTTCCTCACTTACCCCCTAGATAGTATTGGAGAATGTTATACCTTTTTTTCTTACACTGAGGTTCCATTTTATATGTCATTCAAGACTGTTTCCTTACCTTACCATTAGCAGGTTCTTTCAGATACAGCACAATAGAGTCAATTGAGCTTAAGCTTTTTAGTTATAGATACCATCAGTCATACTTCCTAATGGTAATTCGTATCAGCTTAATTTGACTTGTGATATTTTGGGTTAATTTTACAAATCCAGCCAAAACCTGGTACATGGGAAATTATTAATAAATGGTAGTTATCATTCTTAATTTAATTCTTAAGGTAACCTTGACATCAGTATAGGGAGTATATGCTATTGATTAGGAACAATGTGTATTCTATTCTGCCTTCTATTCTTGCAGAGTTATCAAAATACTTCTTTTGTTGTTTCAGATTTGTGGCCATCCTCATTTTTCTTTATCTCTGTAGCATGTTACTTTCTTGGCCACTTTCATAACTTGCTTCCTCTTTGATTACTACGATACTCTGCTCCCCTGGTTCTTTTCCTTTACTCTGTTTTCCTCCTTTTTTTTTTTTTTTTTTTAACAGGTATTTATCCTTACTTCTTGCCCAGCTGCTGTTTCCATCTTTTCCCCTTCATTCTTTTCCTTCACTCAGTCATTCATTTTTCATTCATTTGTTCATTTACTTATTCAGCACTTTCTTGTTGGGCTATTATGCTCCAGTCAGGGAGCACTGTATATTTTTAATGTTGGGCAAACATGTTGGTTTACCCACCCATCTATTCCTGTAACTCCACATTTGTATCTGCCACTCTGCCCTCTAAGAGGAATCTCTGTCCTGTATTTTAATTAATTAATTAATTAATTCTTTGAGACGAGAGTCTTGCTGTTGCCCACAGTAGAGTGCAGTGGCATGATCACAGCTCACTGCAGTCTTGAACTCCCAGGCTCAAACAATCCTCCTGCCACAGCCTCCCGAGTAGCTGGAACTACAGGTGTGCACCACCACATTTGGCTAATTTTTAAGTTTTTTGTAGAGATGGGGTCCTGTTATGTTTACCCAGGCTGGTCTGGAACTCCTGGTCTGAAGGGATCTTCCTGCCTTAGCCTCCCAAAGTGTCAGGATTATAGGCATGAGCGACCATGCCTGACCTGTCCTGCATTTTAAACTTCCATCTTTATTCCAATTTCTTGTTGCAGCTACCTGTCATTTGTTGTACCTTGCTGTGTTTCAGTGTAGTAGAAAATGGGGAGCTGTAGAAAATTGGCCCTACCTCGGCCAGGCACAGTCGTCACGCCTGTAATCCCAGCACTTTGGGAGGCCGAGGCAGGCGGATCACAAGGTCAGGAGATTGAGACCATCCTGGCTAACGCGGTGAAACCCCGTCTCTACTAAAAATAGAAAAAATTAGCTGGGCCTGGTGGCGGGTGCCTGTAGTCCCAGCTACTTGGGAGGCTGAGGCAGGAGAATGGCGTGAACCTGGGAGGCGGAGCTTGCAGTGAGCCGAGATCGTGCCACTGCACTCCAGCCTGGATGACAGAGCGAGACTCCATCTCAAAAAAAAGGAAAAGAAATGAAAATTGGCCCTACCTGGCTGAGCACGGTAGTTCACGCCTGTAATCCCAGCACTTTGGGAGGCCGAAGTGGGCGGATCATGAGGTCAGGAGTTCGAGACCAGCCTTACCAACATGGTGAAACCCCATCTCTACTAAAAACACAAAAATTAATCGGGTGTGGTGGTGCACACCTGTAATCCCAGCTACTCAGGAGGCTGAGGCAGAAGAATTGCTTGAACGCGGGAGGCAGAGGTTGCAGTGAGCCGAGATTGTGCCACTGCACCCTAGCCTGGGCAACAGAGTGAGAGTCTGTCTCAAAAAAGAAAAGGAAAGAAAAGAAAATTGGCCCTACCTAGGCTGTTCATTATATCTTCAAGAGGGTGTTGCCATGCCAAATGCCTCAATAAGTTCATTGAGTTTTTAAAAGAAAACTGACAGTTGTCTGGCCACCAAATTTGTGCCTAAAGAATCTTTTTGTGAATTTTTTGGTAATGCAGGATTGTGCCATAAGGAATTTGTTTGTTTGTTTGTTTTGAGTCAGGGTCTTACCCTATCACCCAGGCGGGAGTGCAGTGGTGAGATCATAGTTCACTGCAGCCTTGACTTCCTGGGCTCAAGTGATCCTCCTGCCTCAGCCTCCTGAGTAGCTGGGACAACAGGTGCAGGCCACCATTTTAAATTTTTGTAGAGATAGGCTCTTACTATGTTGCCAATGCTGGTCTCAAACTCCTTGCTTCAAGGAGTCCTCCTGCGTTGACCTTCCGAAGTATTGGGATTACAGGCGTGAGCTGCTGTACCCAGCCCTAAAGGCTTTTTTTTTTTTTTGAGACAAAGTCTCGCTCTGTCGTACAAGCTGGAGTGCAATGGCACGATTTTGGCTCACTGCAACCTCCGCCCCCCGAGTTCAAGTGATTCTCCAGCCTCAGCCTCCCGAGTAGCAGGATTACAGGCGCCAGCCACCACGCCTGGCTAACTTTTCTATTTTTAGTAGAGACAGGGTTTCACCATGTTGGCCAGGCTGGTCTCAAACTCCTGACCTCAGGTGATCCACCTGCCTCCGCCTCCCAAAGTGCTAGGATTACAGGCGTGAGCCACCTTTTAATATTGCTTTTGGTTTCTTTGATTCTCTTTATTGTTTTTAATTTCATTGCTTTGTGTTCTAATTCCCATTATTTCCTTCTGCTTGTTTTGAATGCAATTTGCTTGTCTTTTTGTAGTTTTTAAGGTGACAGCTTAAGTCAGTTGACTGAGATCTTTATTGTTTTCTAATATTGACTCTTCATGTTATACACTTCCCTCTAAACACTGGTTGTAGCTGTGTCCCACAAATTTTAATACATTTTCATTTTTATTCAGTTAAAAATACTTTTTTTTGAGACAAGGTTTCACTCTGTCATCCAGGCTGGAGTGCAGTGGCATGATTACGGCTCAACTGCAGCCTTGACCTCCTGGCTTAAGAGATCCACCCATGTCAGCTTCCTGAGTGACTGAGATCATAGGCGTGTGCTACCACACCTGGCTAATTTTAATTTTTTTATTTTCTTGTAAAGATGGGGTCCCAAACTCCTGGGCTCAAGTGATCCTCCCACCTTGGCCTCCCAAAGTGCTATGATTACAGACATGAGCCACCATGCCCAGCCCCAAAATACTTTGTAATATCTCTTTTGATTTCTTGTTTGATCTATGGGCTATTTAGAAATGATACTTAGTTTTTGAGTATTTTGGGGTTTCCCAGATACTGATTTCTAGTTTAATTCTGTGATCACAAACCACATTTGAATATAGTATTCTATAAATGTAAATTAGGTCAAGTTGGTTAATAGTGTTGTTCATGTCTTCTACATCTGTGGTGATGTTTGTCAACTTGTTATATCAATTACTGAGAAAAGGATCTTGAAATATCTCTTTGTAAATTTGATTATTTCTCCTTTTGGATCTGTCATTGTTTATTTCCCACACTTTGTATTTCTGTTATTAGATGCATAATTGTTTAAGATTGTTTTGATGAAGTGGCCTTTTATTATTATAAAATGGTCCTCTATATCCCAGTAACAGTGTTTGCTTTGAGATCTTTCCTTATGTGGCATTAACATAGCCACTCCATCGTTCTTTTGATTAGTGAAAGCTTGGTATCTTTTTCAGTCCTTTTGCTTCTAACCTATTTGCATCTTTATATTTAAAGTGAGTTTCTTACTGGCAATGTATTACTGGGTCTTGCTTTTCTATCTCTTCTGACAATCTCTGCTTTTTATTTGGAGTATTTAGACAACTTAAATTTAATATGATTATTGATATTTATTGGGTTTAAATTTACTGTCTTTTGTATTTGTCTCACCTATTCTTTGTTCTTTTCTCCCTGTTTTATTATGGTTGTATTTTATCTCTTTTCATAGCTTATTAGCTGTACTCATATGCTTTGTTTTTGTAGTAGCTGTTGTAGGGTTTATATCATACATCTTTAATTACCACAGTCTACCTTCAAGTGTTAAACCACTTCACGCATAAGAACGTATAACAGTGTCCTTTCATTCCTACTCATTTCATTTATCTACTCTGACAGTGTCTGCTTTTTATTTGGAGTGTTTAGACCATTTGAATTTAATGTTATTATTTATATTACTGCATTTATTTATTTAATTTTTAAGATGGAAACAAAACATCTAAAACTGTAGCTTCTGGAAGAACTGCTTGTTCTTGCCCGTTTTGTATCTCTCTTTGAGCTTGACCTTGGCCTCCCATTGGGACTTGTGTTTAAGAGCAGGATCTCTGAAGACATCCTTGTGGATGACAGTTTTGTGTAAGAGGATATCCACAGAGTGCACTGTAGGCGTAAGATGATTGTAGTTATAAACCTTCACAAAAGACTCGATCTTTGACCTCCTGGTAATCTTCTTTTTGCCCATGGCAGCTGTCACTTTGCAGGGATAGCGATCAATTCCAACCACGAGAGCTTGGATGTAGGGGCAGTCTGAGGTGCCATCATTAATGTTCTTTACGATGACAGCTTTGTGTTCAGCCAGAATACTGCTGGCCAGGACCAGCACCACTTTCCCAGGTTTCATGCACTTGCCCATTTTGACAGCAACCACCGAGGGCTACAACAAAAAGGAAGGAAGGCTATTATTGCATTTACGTCTAACATGTTAGTTATTCTTTAAATGTTTTAGTATAATTCACTAGTGAAGCCATCTGGTCTTGGGCTTTTTTTTTTTTTTTTTTTGAGACAGAGTCGCACTCTGTCACCCAGGCTGGAGTGCAGTGGTGAGATTTAGGCTCACTAAACCTCCTGAGTTCAAGCAATTCTCCTGTGTCAGTTTCCTGAGTAGCTGGGATTACAGGCATGCACCACTACGCCCGGCTAATTTTTGTATTTTTAGTAGAAATGAGGTTTTACCATGTTGGCCAGGCTGGTCTTCAACTCCTGACCTCAAGTAATCTGCCTACCTTGGCCTCCCAAAGTGCTGGGATTACAGGTGTGAGTCACCGCGCCTGGGCCTGGGCTTTTTTTTGTGGGAAGTTTTGTGATTACTCTTTGTCGTATGTTTATTCATGTTTTTTCTTGAGTTAGATTCAGAAGCTTGTGCCTCTCTAGGAACTTGTCCATTTTTTATCTAAGTTTTTGGCATACAGTTTTTAAAAATAACATTCCATTATAATATTTTTTCTTTCTTTCTTTCTTTTTTTTTTTTTTTTTTGGAGACAGAGGCTCACTCTGTTGCCCAGGCTGGAGTGTAGTGGTGCAATCTCGGCTCACTGCAACCTCCACCTCCTGGGTTCAAGTGATTCTTCTGCCTCAGCCTCCCGAGTAGCTGGGATTACAGGCATGCGCCACCACGCCCAGCTAATTTTGTATTTTTAGTAGAGAGGGGCTTTCTACATGTTGGTCAGGCTGGTCTCGAACTCCCAACCTCAGGTGATCCCCCACCTCAGCCTCCCAAAGTGCTGCGATTATAGGCGTGAGCCACTGCACCCAGCAAATAATTTTTTATTTGTAAGAGTTTATTTATTAAATAAAATTCTGGAACCATGCCACTAAGCCCAGAACCAAGAGCCTAAGCTATAGCAGGAACATCGTTTATATGTTTCTTTTTTGTTTTGTTTTTGAGATGGACTTTCGTTTTGCTTTTGTTGCCCAGGCCGGAGTACAATGGCGCAATCTCGGCTCACCGCAATGTCTGCCTCCTGGGTTCAAGTGATTCTCTTGCCTCAGCCTCCCGAGTAGGTGGGATTACAGGCATGCGCCACCACGCCTGGCTAATTTCGTATTTTTAGTAGAGACGGGGTTTTTCCATGTTGGTCAGGATGGTCTTGAACTCCCGACCTCAGGTGATCTGCCCGCCTTGGCCTCCCAAAGTGCTGGGATTACCGGGGTGAGGTACCGCCCCCAGCCCCTTTATACCTTTCTTACACAACTTTTATATTCTGTATGTCGTAAGTCCCACCTTCGGGGTCTTTGTAAGTATGAGTCTATCATTTAATGTGTTTTTTCTTTTTGTCACACAAAGTGGCTTACCTACTCATTTGCATGGTAATCTTTGGTTTTATAGGTTCTGGACTTACCCTGGAAACTCAAATTTAGCTACATTATCTTGTTTGGATGATACTTTATATCAGCAAGTACTCTGAAATCAGCCTACCTCCTCTCTTTTTTTCTCTGCTTCTAACTTTAGCTTCAGTTTTGAGTTCATTTGTTTGTTTGTTTTCTGAGACAGGGTCTCACTCTGTCACCCAGGCTGGAATGACCTTCCAGGCTCAAGCCATCCTGCAACCTCAGCCTCCCGAGTAGCTGGGATTACAGGCGTGTACCAGCACGCCTGGCTATATTTTTGCATTTTGTTGTAGAGATGGGTTTCACCATGTTGCCCAGGCCACTTTCGAACTCCTGGGTTTAAGCTATCCTCCCACCTCGGTCTCCCAAAGTGTTAGGATTACAAGCGTGAGCCACTGTGCCTGGCCCAAGTTTTTTCTATTTATTGTTTATTTACTTTTTGATGAGCAGTTAGGGGAAGAGATCTCCTCTACTTCCTATTGGGACCAACAATGCATTCATATATTTTACCTAGTATATTGTTGCTTTAGAATGGCAACAAGTTCTGTTAGAGTATCTAAACTACCATATGCTGTTAAGTGTTTCTTTTAAAAGTTTTATCAGGTACCTCTTTTTACCCTCAAGGTCAAAGAACACAATTTATTCATCTTTATACCACAAATATTCTAATACACAGATCAAAATAGAATACAACAGATGACTAGTAATTTTATTTCCATATTATTTGTACACATTTATGGGGTACACATGCAGTTTTGTTATGCATAGATTGTGTAGTGATCAAGTCAGGGCTTTTAGGGTACCAATCACATGAATGACATACATTGTGCCTGTTAACCAATTTCTCATTATCCTCCGCTCTTCCACCCCGTCACCCTTCTGAGTCTTCATCGTCTATCACTCCATTCTCTACGTCTATGTGAACATGTTTTTTAGTACCCACTTATGAGTGAGAACATGTGATACTTGTCTTTCTGTGCCTGGCTTGTTTCACTTATAATAAGCCCCTAATTCTATACATGTTGCTGCAAAAGACATGATTTTATTCTTTTTTTATTTTGGCTAAATAGCATTCCATTATGTATACATACAACACATTTTCTTTATCCATTTGTCCACTGATGGACACTTAGGTTGATTCCATTCTTTGTTATTCTGAATAGTGCTGTTATCAACATATGAGTGCCGGTATCATTTTGATACATTGACTTACTTTCCTTTAAGTAGATACCTGGTAATGGGATTGCTGGGTTGAATGGAAGTTCTATAGTTCTATTTTTACTTCTTTGAGAAATCTTTATACTGTTTTCCATAGAGGCTGTACTAATTACATTCCCACCAACAGTGTCTTTTTAATGATAGCCATTCTAACTGGGTTTACTTGTTATCTTTTTGTGAATGACTCCCAAATCTTTTACTCATGTCTAATGATTCTTTTGAGTTTGAATTGCTCGTTGGATATTTCTCATCACGTATTTGGTCAATACCTTAAATTCAGCATTTCTAAAACTAAACTCATTATTTTTCTTAATATGTATGCCTCTTTCTGATTCTCCTGTTTTTATTAGAGGTATTACCATTTTGCTGTTTGGTTGTCTTAATAAAGTAAATTAAAATGAATTTCCCTTGGAGAAGTTCATGGCATGCCTTGAGATTATGGACAAGCCTGGAATCTTAGAATATCAAGTGTAGAATTTGCTGCTCTGTATTTGGGTTATTAATAGCATCTTAGTAATAACAATATCTGTATTTATATTGTTACTTCACAGGTATCATTTCTTTCCTTTTTTGTAAACAACCTTGGGAGGTAGGCCAGGTGTATCTCTCATTTCACAGATATGGAAAGAAAGAAGGAAGGAAACAAACACAAACTGAGAATGCACTAGGTGCCAGGTTTTGTCACTGCTAAATGAAGGGAAACTGGCCTTTCTCTTCTCAATTCTCTACTCTTCATCAGCAACCAGGTTTGAAATATTAATGTCCTTGATCTTAGAAGTGGGAAGCATCCTGAAGATGTTCTAAATTATGTCCTTGCAAGGGATGGTCTGTGGACCTGTGTCAGTCTGCAAACTGCTTGTTACTGGTCTGTGATAAAATAAGTATGGAAATTATGAATAAGCTTTAGAAAATCGTATAATCATGTAACGTGCCTCAGCATCCAAGTGCGTCTTTCCACACTTAACTTGAGAAGCACTGATTTAGTCCTTCCATTCTGCAGTAATAGCATCTTTTTTATTTTTTCAGTTTTCCATAGGTTATTGGGGTACAGGTGGTATTTGGTTACATGAATAAGCTCTTCAGTGGTGATTTGTGAGATCAGTATTCACTGCACCCTATTTGTAGTCTTTTATCCCTTGCTCCCCTTCCACCCTTCCCCCCAAGTCCCCAAAGTCCAGTGTATCTTGCTTATGCCTTTGGGTCCTCATAGCTTAGCTCCCACATATCAGTGAGAACATAGGATGTTTGGTTTTCCATTTCTGAGTTACTTCACTTAGAATAATAGTCTCCAATCTCATCCAGGTCACTGCAAATGCCATTAATTCATTCCTTTTTATGGCTGAGTAGTATTCCATCATATACCACAGTTTCTTTATCCACTCGTTGACTGATGGGCATTTGGGTTGGTTCCATGATTTTGCAGTTGCGAATTGTGCTACTATAAATGTGTGTGCAAGTATCTTTTTTGCATAATGACTTCTTTTCCTCTGGGTGGGTACCCGGTAGTGGGATTGCTGGATCAAATGGTAGTTCTACTTTTAGTTCTTTAAGGAATCTCCACACTGTTTTCCATAGTGGCTGTACTAGTTTACATTCCCACCAGCAGTGTAGAAGTGTTCCCTGATCACCACATCCATGCCAACATCTACTGATTTTTGATTTTTTGATTATGGCCATTCTTGCAGGAGTAAGATGGTATTGCATTGTGGTTTTGATTTGCATTTCCCTGCAAATCAAATTTGCAATTAGTGATGTTGAGCATTTTTTCATATGTTTGTTGCCCATTTGTTTATCTTCTTTTGGGAATTGTCTATTCATGTCCGTAGCCCACTTTTTATTGGGATTGTTTGTTTTCTTCTTACTGATTTGTCTGGGTTCGTTGTGGATTCTGGATATTAGTCGTTTGTCAGATGAATAGATTGTGAAGAGTTTCTCCCACTCTGTGGGTTGTCTGTTTACTCTGCTGACTGTTCCTTTTGCTGTGCAAAAGCTCTTTAGTTTAATTACGTCCCAGCTATTTATCTTTGTTTTTACTGCATTTGCTTTTGGGTTCTTGGTCATGAACTCCTTGCCTAAGCCAATGTCTAGGAAGGTTTTTCCAGTATTAGAATTTTTATAGTTTCAGGTGTTAGATTTAAGTCCTTAATTGACCTTGAGTTGATTTTTGTATAAGGTGAGAGGATCCGGTTTCATTCTCCTACATGTGGCTAGCCAATTATCCCAGCACCATTTGTTGAAAGGGTGTTCTTTTTCCACTTTGTTTTTGTTTGCTTTGTCAAAGATTAGTTGGATGTAAGTATTTGAGTTTATTTCTGGGTTCTCTATTCTGTCCCGTTGGTCTGTGTGCCCATTTTTATACCAATACCATGCTTTTTTGGTGACTGTGGCCTTATAGTATAGTTTGAAATCAGGTAGTGTGTTGCCTCCAGATTTGTTCTTTTTGCTTAGTCTTGTGTTGGCTATGTGGGCTGCTTTTTGGTTCCTTATGAATTTTAGAATTGTTTTTTCTAATTTTGTGAAGAATGAGGTGGTATTTTGATGGGGATTATGTTGAACTTGTAGATTACTTTTGGCAGTATGGTCATTTTCACAATATTGATTCTACCTGTCCATGAGCATGGGATGTGTTTCCATTTGTTCGTGTCATCCATGATTTCTTTCAGCAGTGTTTTGTAGTTTTCCTTGTAGAGGTCTTTCGCCTCCTTTGTTAGGTATATTCCTAAGTATT
Organism: Homo sapiens; assembly: GCF_000001405.40. Classification (NCBI taxonomy): domain Eukaryota; kingdom Metazoa; phylum Chordata; class Mammalia; order Primates; family Hominidae; genus Homo; species Homo sapiens. The sequence goes on along the minus strand of NC_000002.12, from coordinate 206,035,010 downwards.
TTATTATTATTATTTTTCTTTTGCAGCTATTGTAAAAGGGATTGAGTTCTTGATTTTGGTTGCTGTTGGTGTATAGAAGAGCTACTGATTGGTGTATATTAACCTTGTATCCGGACACTTTACTGAATTCTTTTATCAGTTCTAGGAGCTTTCTGGAGTCTTAATGGTTTTCAAGGGTAAACGATCAGATCATCAGCAAACAGTGACAGTTTGACTTCCTCTTTACTGATTTGGATGCCCTTTATTTCTTTCTCTTATCTAATTGCTCTGGCTAGGACTTCCAGTACTATGTTGAAGAGGAGTGGTGAGAGTGGGCATCCTTGTCTTGTTCCAGTTCTCAGAGGGAATGCTTTCAACTTTTCCCCATTCAGTATTATGTTGGCTGTGGGTTTGTTATAGATGGCTTTTATTATATTGAGGTATGTCCCTTGTATGCCAATTTTGCTGAAAGTTTTAATCATAAAGAGGTGCTGGATTTTGTCAAATGCTTTTTCTGCATCTATTGAGATGATCATGTGATTTTTATTTTTGATTCTGTTTATGTGGTATATTGCATTTCTTGACTTGCTTATGTTAAACCATCTCTGCATCCCTGGTATGAAACCCACTTGATCATGGTGAATTATCTTTTTGATAAGTTGTTGGATTCGGTTAGGTAATATTTTGTTAAGGGTTTTACCATCTATGTTCATCAGGGATATCGGTCTGTGGTTTTCTTTTTTGGTTATGTCCTGGTTTTGGTATTAGGGTGATGCTGGCTTCATAGAATGAAGTAGGGAGGATTCCTTCTTTCTCTATCTTGTGGAATAGTGTCAAAAGGATTGGTATCAATTCTTCTTTGAATGTCTGGTAGAATTCTGCTGTGAATAAGTCTGATCCTGGACTGATTTTTGTTGGTAATTTTTAAATTACCATTTCAATCATGCTGCTTGTTGTTGGTCTGTTCAGGTTATCTAATTCTTGATTTAAGCTAGGAGGGTTATATTTTTCCAGGAATTTATCCATTTATCCATCTCTTCTAGGTTTTCCAGTTTATGTACATAAAGGTGTTCATAGTAGCCTTGAATGATCTTTTGTATTTCAGTAGTATCAGTTGTAACATCTCCTGTTTTGTTTCTTATTGAGGTTATTTGGATTTTCTCTCTTCTTTTCTTGGTTAATCTTGCTAATGGCCTATCAATTGTATGTGTCTTTTCAAAGAACCAGCTTTTTGTTTCATTTATCTTTTGTATTTTTTTGTTTGTTTGTTTCAATTTCATTTAGTTCTACTCTGATATTGGTTATTTCCTTTCTTCTGCTGGGTTTGGGTTTAGTTTCTTCTTGTTTCTCTACTTCCTTGAGGTGTGACCTTAGAATGTCAGTTTGTGCTTTTTCAGTCTTTTTGATGTAGGCGTTTAGGGCTATGAACTTTCCTCTTAGCACTGCCTTTGCTGTATCCAAGAGGTTTTCATAGGTTGTGTCATTATTGTCATTCAATCTGAAGAATTTTTAATTTTCCATCTTGATTGTGTTTTTGACCCAAAGCTCTTTCAGGGGCAGGTTATTTAATTTCCATGTATTTGGATGGTTTTGAAGGTTTGTTTTGGAGTTGATTCCCAGTTTTATTCCACTGTAGTCTGAGAGATACTTGATATAATTTCAATTTTCCTAAATTTATTGAGGCTCATTTTGTGGTCTAGCATATGGTCTATCTTGGAGAAAGTTCCATGCACTGTTGAATAGAGTGTTTATTCTGTGGTTGCTGGACAAGGCCTTTTACTATTATATAATATCCCTCTTTGTCTGTTTTAACTGCTGTTACTTTAAAGTTTGTTTTGTCTGATATAAGAATAGCTACCCCTACTTGCTTTTGGTGTCCATTTGCATGGAATGCCTTTTTCTGTGCCTTTAAGTTTATGTGAGTCCTTATATGTTAGGTGAGTCTCCTGAAGGCAGCAGATAGTTGGTTGGTGGGTTCTTATCCATTCTGTGGTTCTGTATCTTTTAAGTGGAGCATTTAGGTCATTTACATTCAATGTTAGTATTGAAATATGAGGTACCGTTGCTTTCATTGTGCTCTTTGTTGCCTGTGTACTTTTGTTTTTTGTTTCACTTTCTAACTTGTATTTTTGTTTTATAGGTCCTGTATAATTTATGCTTTAAAAAGATTCTGTTTTGATGTGTTTCCTGGATTTGTTTCAAGATTTAGAGCTCCTTTTAGCAGTTCTTGTAGTGGTGGTTTGGTCATGGTGAATTCTCTCAGCATTTGTTTGTCTGAAAAACGACTGTATCTTTCCTTCATATATGATGCTTAGTTTTGCTTGATACAAAATTCTTGGCTGATAATTGTTTTGTTTAAGGAGGCTGAAGATAGGGCCCCAATCCCTTCTAGCTTGTAGGGTTTCTCTTGAGAAATCTGCTGTTAATCTCACAGGTTTTCTTTATAGGTTATCTGGTGCTTCTGTCTCACAGCTCTTAAGATTCTTTCCTTCGTCTTAACTTTGGATAACCTAATGACAATGTGTCTAGGCAAAGGCTCCCAGATCAATGGAGTTGTGTATTTAGGAGGATTATGGCTGCCTCTGCTGAATCACACAGGTTGTCAGAGAAGTGGGGGAAATCCGGCAGTCATAGGCCTCACCCAGCTCCCACACAATCTGAGGGGCTGGTTTCACTCCCACCATGCCCCACCTAATAGCCCCAGTCTGTTTCCAGGCAGTGGGTGAGCAGGGCTTGAGAACTTGTCCGAGGCTACCTGCCTCCCAGCTGCAAAAGAGAGGGGCTTTGGTTCTTTCCCCACCTGTGGAGTCTGCACAGACGATTTGTGGCCTTCCCCACATTCTGGCCAGGAGGCTTCTCGCCAGGTTCAAATTGTTACAAAGTTCAGCTGGAGATTTCCTTCTCCCTGTGGCATTTTCCCCATGCCTCTGGCTGCCCTCCCGAAAGATCTCTGTGATGCCAGGCAGGAATGACCTGCTTGGGGACCCAGTGAGCTCCCAGAGCGTTTCCTGCTGCTTTCTCTACCCCTGTTATTTTGCTCAGCTCTCTAAATTGACTCAGCTCCAGGTAAGGTCGGAAACTTCTCCTGCAAACTAGACCTTCAGTTTCCCCAGCAGCGGTGTGTGTTCGAAACGGAGAATCTCCCTTTCCTACTTCCGCAGTTTGGGCACTCACGGTATTTGGAGTGTCTCCGGATCCTGCAGGAGCAGTCCACTTCCTTCAGAGGGTCTGTAGGTCCTCTCGGGATTCCTGGTTTGTTCTTGCAGTTGTTCTGGAGATAAAATTCACTATGCAAGCCTCGGCACTCTGCTCTGTCTGTCCGAGTTGGAGCTGCAATCCAGTCCTGCCTCTCATCGGCCATGATGATCACTCCACTATTTTAAGCCAGTCCTAGGGGTAAAGTGCCATCTGGGGCACCCGCAAGTGCTGCGCAGCACAGGAGGCAGGCAGGGCCATGCAGCAGTGGCGGTGCTGTCCTAAGAGTGGGACTGGAGCCAAGGGACACTGAGGTGGTGATAGCGGTGGCAGGGGCGCAGGTGCATCTTTTTAAAATAACAGTTTTGGCAACTGATTATCGACCCAAGCTTTACCTTCCCTTTAAGATCTGCCTTTCCTCTCCATTTCCTTTTTCTATGAATGAGACTTCTGTTTTCCTAGTTATGCATATTCTAAGTCATTGAGTCATTGACTTTCTAATCTTTCATATTGAGTCACCAAAGTGAGTTAGTTCACTTATGATAATGGCCCTTATATGTCTTTTTTTTTTTTCTTTTTTTTCGAGATGGAGTCTTGCTCTGTCACCCAGGCTGGAGTGCACTGGCGTGATCTTGGCTCACTGCAACCTCTGCCTCCTGGGTTCAAGTGATTCTCCTGCCTCAGCCTCCCAAGTAGCTGGGACTACAGGGATGCACCACCATACCAAGCTATTTTTTTTGTATTTTTAGTTCCTTGTTTTATACATGATGTTACTGTCCTTCCCATTCTTTGTTGGTGGAAACTGCTGCCTGCTTATTGTCCCTTCTCTGGTCCTTGCCAGCTGACAAAGCTTGTCTTTATACATGCAGATTGCCTCATGCTCTCCAGTCCTGCTCCTTCCATCCTAGCATGGATCCTTGTTATCTCTTTGCTGGAGATTTACAGTAATTTTTTAACTGCCTTCTTCTCTCTCTTCTTCTGTTTATTTTATATCTGCTGCTGACTGTAATCATTGTCATGGCACACCTCTGTTACTGTATTTTCTTAACAGTTACAAAGCTTAGCAGTTAGGAGTGCAAAATTTAAAAAATTACAAGTCTTCTGCTTTACCTGTGGAATAAAGGTTAAACTCTTTAATTTGACATTTAAGTCTAGAAAGCTAACCTTACCTATCATTATTCCCTTACAGACCCCTTACCTTAGCCACACCAAGCTACTTACATTCTTGCTGTTCACCATCCTGTCTATCTCTGTGTCTTGTGTGTCTTGGCTTACGTGTTGTATTTGTGTGAGGTCCTCTTTCTTCAGGGTTCATTTCTGCTGTCACCTCCTCTGCAAAGCCTTTCTTTACTTCCAGCAGTCTTTTTTTTTTTTGAGACAAAGTCTTGCTCTGTCACCCAGGATGGAGTGCACTGCTGTGGTCTCAGTTTCCTGCAACCTCCACCTCCCAGGTTCAAATGATTCTCCTGCCTCAGTCTCCTGAGTGACTGGGATTACAGGAATACACCACTACACCTGAGTACTTTTTGTATTTTTAGTAGAGACAGGGTTTTGCGTTGTTGGTCAAACTCTTGACCTCAGGTGATCTGCCCACCTTGGCCTCCCAAAATTGCAGGGATTACAGATGTGAGCCATCGTACCCAGGCCTTCCAGCTGTCTTTCCAGTGAACTTCAGTAACACCTTACCCTGACCTCTGTTGTGGTACTTTACTGTTTTCTGTCTTGTGTGAAAGATATTTATCACATTTGCTAGCTCTACGAGAACTCCCAAGTGTAGACCTGCTGTCAGAGGTCAGGGAAAAATTCAAAATGAAGAATCCTGGGCCCTATACCATGGAGATTCTGGTTCAGTAGATTTGGGGTAGTTTGTAGGAGTCTGAAACTTTTAAGTGCTCACAGATTTTTCTGATTTGTGGTCAGATATTTGAATCATTGGCCTTTTTGCCCCACTGTTTTTGTTACTGTTTTTATTCTTTTTTGAATTGTTTTAACTTTTTGGGAAGTGTTTATCTTGTCCAAATTGCATTGCAAACTCTTTGAAATGTTGGTCTCTCTTCTGTAGTGCTGAGCATAATAGATACACAGTGAATGTTGAATGTTGAATAAATGAAAAGATTGAAGTAAAGTCCTTCAATTTGTAGATCTGTAGTAAAAAGTATACTGACGAGAATGTGCTTCTTAGGAGAGGTACTAAGTAGAAGTTTATAGAGTAGCCTGTTATAGACTATGCTGAAGGAAAGAAGAATAATATCACTTAAGAGAAACCCAGCAATGAATAGTAGAAGATTAGTAAGAGAATATATAGTCCATGGTGTCATGTGTGGTATTTACTTATGATAGCAGAGAAAGAAGCTAAAATAACAGGTCAGTTTTCAAGTCCAGTGGGCATTATTCCTAACGGTAAAAAGTAAGATCACATTTGTTCCATAAAAAAGTGGCCTTTTAAACCTTGCTGGTGGTAGCCATTGCTAAAAAGGCACTCTTTCTTGTTGAGCTTAGATGTTCCTTCAGCATCACTTCCACATAGCATTTCAGCCAGGACACCAATTAATCACATTATTAGCATGTGATGGAAAATCCTTTATGTAATCCCTGACTTATCAAATGCTGTTTAGGATACTTCCATAGTTAAAAAAATACATGGTAGAAGGCCGGGCTCGGTGGCTCATGCCTGTAATCCCAGCACTTTGGGAGGCCGAGACAGGTGGATGACAAGGTCAGGAGATCGAGACCATCCTAGCTAACATGGTGAAACCCCGTCTCTATTAAAAATACAAAAAAATTAGCCAGGCGTGGTGGCAGACACCTGTAGTCCCAGCTACTCATGAGGCTGAGGCAGGAGAATGGCGTGAACCCAGGAGATGGAGCTTGCAGTGAGCTGAGATCGCATCACTGCACTCCAGCCTGGGCGACAGAGTGAGACTCTGTCTCCAAAAAAAAAAAACAAAAAAACAAAACAAAAATACATGGTAGAATTAATGCGATCCCTACAACCAAATTTCTTTAGGTGGTTAGCAAGAAAAAGGTGGTTAAAAACCAGAATGGTTAAAAGGGCAGCTCTTAGATAATAAACTGTTAGAATTCGCTGCCCTATTTCTGGTATGACCTATCTTTTATGAAATTATGCTATGTGTTTCCTCATAACTGTCATGTCATTTACTCAGACTTTTTAGTAAGTAAAGGTAAAGAAATGAATTTTTTTCCTCAGGGGTCTCTAGTCACTTAAAATTTAGAAGACACTGGTATATTAAGTGTCTACTGATGCCATGCTAAGAAGGCTGTTTTTGAAAACACTGGATTAACTCTGTCCTTACTGTTGAAATACTGTACTTAGTTCAGCTCTGTTGGAATTCTCTTACTCTAATTGTGTGAAGTATGTGCTCACATGCCACAAAAGTTTTAAACCTGTGCATTCAGCTACATTTCCTAATTCTCGTTTACCCTGTCTAAAATGAGCCTAATGTGTAATCAGTTTTTCCTTTCTCTCCCTGCACTTTCCAGGTCAGATGATGATGATGCGGAGAGTAGGAGCTCCAGGGTGACTCAACTTTGCACTTACTTTCAGCAGAAATATAAGCACCTCTGCCGCCTGGAGCGGGCAGAATCTCGTCAAAAGAAATGCCGGCATACGTTTAGGAAAGCTTTGCTGCAGGCGGCCAGTAAAGAACCAGAATGCACTGGTCAGTTAATACAAGAACTGCGGAGAGCTGCATGCAGTCGAACCAGGTTAGAGCCACAGCAACCTATTCTTAAGGGACTCATCTCAGTTTGCTTTCTTTATTTTGTGAGAGGATAGTTGAGGCACAGTGGGAGATGACCACTAAGTCCTAAACGTTTAAGCATTATGTTTTGGTTTTCTTGCTTTATTAAAGTGCTACAGGTGGCAAAATAATACTGCCATGAGCTAACAGTAAAATTAAACCATTACTAAAATTTTGCTGAAGTTTGATTAGAATTTATTCATTGAAGATTTGAGAATGTTACCTGGCTTTAAAAAAATAGAATGCTTAGAAATTTCATGTTATTTAAAAGTAACATTTATAGATTTTTAACTACAAAAGTAGTATTTTATGTTTATTTACATGTGTTATTTTAGTTTCTTTTCAGTGTTGGTTTTCATTTTTTTGTTTTTAGAGACAGGGTCTTGCTCTGTCGCCCAGGCTGGAGTGCAGTGGTGTGATCATAGATCACTGCAGCCTCAAACTCCTGGGCTCAAATGACCCTCCCACCTCAGCCTCCTGAGTAGCTGGGACTATAGGCATGTGAAACCATACCCAGCTAATTAAAAAAATTTTTTTTTGTAGAGGTGAGGGTCTCGCTGTATTGCCCAAGCTGGTCTCAAACTCCTGGCCTGAAGCGATCCTCCCACCTTTACCTCCCAAAGTGTTGGGATTAGAGGTGTTAGCCACTGTAGCTGGCCTTTTCAGTGTGTTTTCTATTAATATTTACATTACCTCACAGATTATTTGTGCAAGTATTTTATTACATTGAATTTTTTTTAAGAAAAAAATTCCTTCTGTTTATAATGCAAATACTTGTTTATTGTGGAAAATTTTAAAAATACACAAATGAGAAGGGAAAAATCTTCTTGTTACCATTCATGAGAGAGAGAATGAGCACTGTTAACATTTTGATTCTGTTTCCTTCTAGTCTTTCTCTGTGTGTGTGTGTGTGTGTGTGCGCGTGCGCGCGTGCGTGTGTAAATTTTCCAGTGAGCCATGTGTTTATATTAAAAAGCAAAATTGAAATCATGTTATCTGTATTATTTTCATTTATTTCCGTAAATGCTCTTTTCCTTTTATCACTGAATTATGACCACTTTCTCATGAGATTAATTCTTAATTATTAATTAATGACATTCTCATGACAATAATTTGAGTTTTCTAGTTTTCCCTCAAAAGTATACCATAGCCATTTCCCTATGTTCTTCAAGATTCTTTTGAAAACAGGATTTATAATGTTTACATAATATTCCATTCGTGAAAATCTGTATATCAGAAATGTAGAGTTATCTGATATTTTAGAAATTTGGCATATTACCATTTTGGTGGTAATGGTGAAAACCTTAGTACAGTAATACCTTTGTTTATACCTATAAAATTTTTAAAAAATACAAAGTTATATTTTCTAAACTGATTATGGAATTCTGTTATATATATAAATATAAAATATCTGTTATATATAAAATATATATAATATCTGTTGTGTATATATAAATACATATTTAACACAATTTTGTTTTTTATATATATTTTAATTATGGCTATTTTTCTTTTTTTTAATTTTTTTTTGAGACGGAGCCTTGCCCTGTCACCCAGGCTGGAGTGAAGTGGCACGATCTTGGCTCATGGCAACCTCTGCCTCCCTGGTTCAAGCAATTCTTCTGTCTCAGCCTCCCAAGTAGCTGGGATTACAGGTGCCCGCCATCATGCCAAGCCAATTTTTGTATTTTTAGTAAAGATGGGGTTTCACCATGTTGGCCAGGCTGGTCTTGAACTCCTGACCTCAAGTGATCTGCCCACCTTGGCCTCCCAAAGTCCTGGGATCACAGGCATGAGCCACTGCCCCTGCCTGGTTATTACTTTTAACTGAAATACACATTTAAAGCACTAAATTGAATTTTAAAATTTCAAAACATGGCTGGGTGCAGTGGCTCACACCTGTAATCCCAGCACTTTGGTAGGCTGAGGTGGGTAGATCACTTGAGGTCACGAATTCGAGATTAGCCTGGACAACGTGATGAGACCCCATCTCTACTAAAAAATACAAAAATTAGCCAGGTGTGGTGGCGTGCACCTGTAGTCCTAGCTACTAGGAACGTTGAGGTGGGAGGATGGCTTTAGCCTGGGAGTAGGAGGTTGCAGTGAGCAGAGATCACACCATTGTGCTCTAGCCTGGGCGACAGAGTGGGACTGCCTTCCAAAAAAAAAAATTTCAAAACATTATCTTACTTTAAGGAAATAGAGTTCAAATTCTGATTCTTTTTGTTGTCGTTCAGACAAGGTCTCAGTCTGTCGCCCAGGCTGGAATTCAGTGGCGTAATCACGGGTCACTACAGCCTCAGCCTCCTGATAGAAGGCCAGCTTCTTTATTGAGTTTATTATTTATTATTTCACACATTTAAAAAATTTCTTTTCCTTTAAGGCTAGTCAAGTGAAGCAGTGGGAGTGGAGAAGGAGCAAAGAAATCTGTAACTAACTGGTTGTGATAAATTACTTGTAAAACCACTGCATATGGACCAGCCTATTTCACACTTTTTAGTTATTTTATATATATATATATATATATATATATTTTTTTTTTTTTTTGAGATGGAGTTTCACTCTTCTTGTGTAGGCTGGAGTGCAATGGTGCGATCTCGGCTCACTACAACCTCTGCCTCCCGGGTTCAAGCAATTCTCCTGCCTCAGCCTCCTGAGTAGCTTGGACTACAGGCACCCGCCACCACGCTTGGCTAATTTTTGTATTTTTAGTAGAAATGGAGTTTCGCCATGTTGGCCAGCCTGGTCTGGAATTCCTGACCTCAGGTGATCCACCCACCTCGGCCTCCCAAAGTGCTGGGATTACAGGCGTGAGCTACCATGCGTGGCCAGTTATTATATTTTCATATGACAACTTTTAGTACATATATAGAGAAAAAATTTAGGAATTTATGTACCAGAATATCTCTAGGTGGTGGGATTATTGATAAAATGAAAAAATTCTTAGTTTGTACAGTCTCATTTTTATGTAATGATCATAAGTCACTTGAGGGAAAAAAAGGGTTTTAAAACAAAGTGTTGGCCGGGTGCGATGGCTCATGCCTGTAATCCCAGCATGATTTGGGAGGCCGAGGTGGGCGGATCATGAGGTCAGGAGTTCGAGACCAGCCTGGCCAACATAGTGAAGCCTTGTCTCTACTAAAAACACAAAAATTAGCTGGGTGTGGTGGTGGGCACCTGTAGTCCCAGCTACTCGGGAGGCTGAGGCAGGAGAATTGCTTGAACCCAGGAGGCAGAGGTTGCAGTGAGCCGAGATTGTGCCACTGCATTCCAGGCTAGGCGACAGAGTGAGACTCCGTCTCAAACAAAAAAAAAGATAAATAAATAAAACAAAGTGTTAAAATATAACCTTTATTTTGTAGCTGTTGGTCATATTACTTATATACCTGTTTTTTGATATTTTATTTTAGTGTTGTGTATTTTGCTTTTCATTTGTTGTAATAAAGTGACCTAATTTTCAGTTGCATATCTCACATGGATGCACTGTGCCCTTAAGAGTTTTCTAGAAGTAGAACAGGTTAGAGTTGTTTGAAGTATCTAATATACCATATGTAATGGCTGCAGCCTACTCTTCCCTTACACCCAAATCACCTTGCCTGACTCCTAGACCTCTCAGTCCTCTGGATCTAGTATCTGTTCTAGAACATCCTTCAGGTCTCAGCTTACTCAGAGACTTATGTTCTTAGAGATACATTCCCTGATTCCCTGGACTATGTTAGGTTCCCTCTACTGTGTATGCCTACTGTGCTCTGTACTCTGTTTCATTGTACAATTTTATACCTATATTAACTTGTCTCTCATGCTAGACAGTAATTTCCATGAGAACAGGAAAAAGTTTGTTCCTAAATCTCCAGTATTGATGAACGAGTGAACAAAATTGAATAAATGAAGGTCTGTTCTCTATTTGTTGAAGGAATTTACTCAGTTTGACACAGGTTATAAAATAATGATAACTAACATTTATATGATATAATGCTTTCAAGTGTATACTTTTAGTAGAATTGTCCAGCATGAACCAATTTGTATGTAAATGTATATGCTGAGTCCAATATATTATTCTGATCTTGTCAAAGATATAAAAGACTATACAATGAGTTTGGGAAAATTTGGTATTTGTGTGGAAAACTGTATATATCTATGATTCTTAACTGGTTGTTTTCAGAACATCTTCCTAACTGACATCAGTGATATTTAAAAAACATTAATGATAACTGCCACAACAAACAAACAGCAAGATGGACCCTGTTATAGTTTTCAGATTGATTTGATGATATTCAGTTGTGTCACCCATGATTAGTGAAAAGTTTATGGCCCAGTGCATCGCTGATAATCATGTAACAATGTATCATAATCATTCTTTGGTGATTGGCAACTTTTTTTTTTTTTTTTTTTTTTAGATGAGTCTCACTCTGTTGCCCAGGCTGGAGTGTGGTGACACAGTCTTGGCTCACCACAACCTCCACCTCCTGGGTTCAAGCAATTCTTCTCCCTCAGCCTCCCAAGTAGCTGGGACTACAGGCATGCGCCACTATGCCCGGCTAATTTTTTGTATTTTTAGTGGAGACGGGGTTTCACTATGTTGGCTAGGCTGGTCATGAACTCCTGACCTCGTGATCTGCCTCCCCCGGCCTCCCAAAGTGGTAGGATTACAGGCATGAGCCACTGCGCCCAGCCGGCAGCTTTTTATATTACATTATATTCTAGGTTCACAAAAGTCAACTTTTAGTTGCATGCTGCCCTCTATTTGATATTTTCGGTATTAAAGTCCTAGTTTCAAAAAAAGATACATAAAAGTTTGACATTACATATTTTAGAAATTAAAAGTTTAATGGCTACCTTCTAATGTGGACCCTTTATTAATTTTTTAGTTTTTTGAGATGGAGTGTCACTCTTGTTGCCCAGGCTGGAGTGCAATGGCGCTGTCTTGGCTCCCTGCAAGCTCCGCCTCCCGGATTCAAGTGGTTCTCCTGCCTCAACCTCCCAAGTAGCTGGGATTACAGGCACCCTTTACCACGTCTGGCTAATTGTTTTGTATTTTTTGTAGAGACAGGATTTCACCATGTTGGCCAAGCTGGTCTCGAACTCCTGACCTCAGGTACTCTGCCTGCCTTGGCCTCCCAAAGTGCTGGGATTACAAACATGAGCCACTGCGCCCGGCCTGGATCCTTTAAAATAGAGTTCGTTGGCCAGGCATGGTGGCTGGGTGTGGTGGCATGCGCCTGTAGTCTCAGCTACTTGGGAGGCTGCTGTGGGAGAATTGCTTGAACCCGGGAGGCAGAACTTGCAGTGAGCTGAGATTGCACCATTGCACTCCAGCCTGGGTGACAGAGGGAGACTCCTTCTCAATAAAATAAAATATAGTTTGTATACAAGCTAAATAATGTTAGTCTTTCCTATCAAATAACTTTGTCGTATTTATTGATGAGTAAGTGGAATAAGCCATTGAAATAGCTTCAAATATGTGAACCCAAATTAAGTATCTTGCAGCCCACAATCATACAGTGACTAATGTTTGTATGGAAACATCATTATTTATGGGGGGTGCAATAGGGCATGTCAAAGGGAATCCTGTAGTAGATTTTTTAAATATGAAAAACATGAAAAAGTTTTGGTAATTCCCTTTGTTTGTTGGGCTTATTTGGATAATAAAATATATCTAACATTACATCAAGCATTTTCACATTAATTTTTTTTTATTTTTTATTTTTTGAGACAGAGTTCTGCTCTGTTGCCCAGGCTGGAGTGCAATGGTGTGATCTCGGCTCACTGCAACCTCCACCTCCTGGGTTCAAGTGATTCTCCTACCTCAGCCTCCCGAGTAGCTGGGATTACAGGTGCCCGCCACCATGCCCAGCTAATTTTTTTTGTATTTTTAGTAGAGACGGGGTTTCACTGTGTTGGCCAGGCTGGTCTCGAACTCCTGACCTTGTGATCCGCCTGCCTCAGCCTCCCAAAGTGCTGGGATTACTGGGTGAGCCACTGTGTCTGGCCATTTTTACCTTAATTTGTCCATGGGGTTATTGAAACAAGGCAAGTTTAAAAAATGAAACCAATAGTTATTTTGTAAGTTTGGAATAAAGAAAATGAGGGAATGTATTGTACACTAGTCTTTGAAGATAGCTGAGCGGTTTATTAGAGTGTTTAATGAAAATTATCCATTCAGGCAGGGTGTGGTGACTCATGCCAGTAATCCCAGCACTTTGGGAGGCTGAGGCAGGTGGATCACCTGAGGTCAGGAGTTCAAGACCAGCCCAGCCAACATGGTGAAACCACGTCTCTACTAAAAATATAAAAAATTAACAAGGCATGGTGGCAGGTGCCTGTAATCCCAGCTACTTGGGAGGCTGAGGCAGGGGAATCACCTGAACCCGGGAGGTGAGGGTTGCAGTGAGTCGAGATCGCACCATTGCACTCCAGCCTGGGCAACAAGCAAAACTCCGTCTCAAAATAAAAAAAGAGAAGTATCCCTTTAATATGGAGACCTTTCTATTTAAATCTAGACCAAGAGAATTTGAGCTTAGCTGCCAGAATAGTAAAGGTTTATTTATTTGAAATTATATATTCCTTTTATAGGGCTAAATTTAATGTAAACAATTTTTTAAAGAAACAATGGATAAACTATTAGGAATAAACTGTTTAGTTCTATGATGATCCACTTCCCTATTCTTATAATCGTGACAAATCTTGTAGACATCTTAGTTAAGGCAGGTTTTAAGGCAACACCATGGACATATAAACAGTGTTTACAGTTTATATGAAATTAATAACTACGGTAGAAGTATTTATATTTTGTGTAAATTCATATGTAATTTAGATTCTGTGTGGCCTTACCTAATTAGTGTCAATAATTCCATTGAAACCCTGAGAAAGATACTAGAAACAAACAACTCAAAAGATTTTTTGTTTGTGATATCTGACTTGAACTCAGTATGTTAAGTAGATTTTTTTCCTCATACTCAGACTTGTAAAGGCCTAATGGTTTGTGATGCTTTATAGAGTCACGTAGATGGGATAGGTTTTGTACTTGTAAGAATTGTCTTTTTTCTTTTTCTTTTTCTTTTTTTCAATAGAGATGGGGATCTCCCTATGTTGCCCAGACTGGTCTCAAACTCCTGGGCTCAAGCGATCCTTTTTGATTTTGGGAGCCCTCCTCTGCCTCCCAAAGTGCTGGGATTACAGTCATGAACCACTGCACCTGGCCCACTTCTAAGAATTTAAATGTTATTTATTTGTGTTTTTATATGTTTGTGTAAAGAAACTGGAAGGATCTGCAGACTAATAAAATGAATACGTATTATAGAGGGAGTGGGGGCTGGCAAATTAGGGGGCAAGGGCAAGAAGTCGATTCTTCACTGCCTAGCATTCTTTCATTTTTTTATGGATCCATGTGAATGCATTGCTTATTCATAAGATTTTAAATGAGTTAAAATATTTAAACATTAAGTGTACAAAGTGGAGATAAAAAAAAATTTAAATAATGAAACATGGATTGCACATATAATAGAAAGTTTAAAAAATAGATCTAAAGTGAGTTCACTTTGGAGGATAAAAGCCACTCAGCCATTTCTGCGTATCAGTATCCTCTTCCCCATGTATGAGATGAAGAGTTTTTTTGCAGATTTATGGGTTTAGTAGCATGAGGCAATCAATTCCTAATGGTGGCGATAATCATAGTCATGACTAACAACCACTGACTGTTTACTGTGTAATACTATATACTGTATATAAGTGGTTTAGATGTGATTAATCCTTTTATGCTCCCAACAACCCTGCCAGCTCAAGGTACCTTATTGTCTCTACTTTACAGGTGAGAAAATTGGGGTTTAAATGAGGCTGAGCAACATGCCCATAGTCACACAGCTAGTAAGAGGGAGAGCTGAGATTCAAAACCAGGTCCATCTGATTCTTCTCTCATGTTCTTCATCACTTTTCTCTACTGTCTCTTTGTGAAGAAAAGGGAAATAAAACATCACTTAAAAAAAAAAACAGACATACTTGAAACATATTCTGATGTAATTATCAGCTTTGAATGTCAGAAGATTAGGGAAATAACACAATTGGTAATTGTAATACCGTCTTTCTTTAAATCACATTTGCATTTTATTTAGTGACTGTAGATGTTATATATATTATAATGAGAGTGTTACAGAGTTGTGACATCATGTTGAAAAATTACCCTGGATTCTTAAAGCATTAAAAAAAAATTAATTCTCTGTTTTTCTTTCCTTAGCATAAGCCGGACCAAGCTGAGGGAGGTGGAACCAGCAGCATGCAGTGGAACCGTGAAGGGTGAACAGTGCGCTAACAAAGCCCTTCCATTCACCAGACATTGTTTCCAACGTATCCTTTCAACTAAATGGAATGTGCATTGAAAAAGTACTACCTAATTTGGGGCTGTATATTTCATTTTTAATTCAAGTGAATGACTTTTGAAACCATAACTGTTTAATGTTTAAAATAATTTTATCGAACATAATTTTCATGATGTCCTCTGAATAATTTTTCTTGTTTTACTCAAAAATCACAAAAAATAAGCAAAATTGATAGCAAATAGCAGGTTCCTCCAGTGTCTGTCACTTAATTATATTTTGTTAATAGAATTCTGGTCCCTCAGGTGGTTCCTAGTAGCTTGTAAGAAGGAGCTATAACACTCATTAATGGAAAAAATCAAATCACATTATTTAAAATCTGTTTTTAGTCTTCTAAGACAGTTACACAGTTTTACAGAACTTTTTCCTGTAAGATTAGTTTACTCTTTTTAATGAGTACAGTGCTGATTTGAAATGAATGAAAGGTAACAAACATCACTGCCTAGGAAAGAAGATCTCTTTTAAAGTATACTTGAAGAAAACCTATGTTAAAGAGCTTTAGGTTGGTGATGAAATCTTATTGCTGTGACTTTTATTGAGTATTTAAAATCAGGTAGCATGTAAAAATAGCAGCAATTACTTATCTTTACCATCTATTTAATTGTTGCCCTCCTTTCTGTTCTTGGAACAGCTTGTTCAGCAGCACTTTCTATGTAATAAAGGCTTTATAGTTTTACCTAAAAACCATAAAGGAAAAACACAAAGGCACTTAATAGATATAAGGTAAGTGTTAAGGAAATGTAGTAGCTAAAAGTATGAGTGCTTAAAAATATTGATGATGTAAAGCTCATGTTTGTTTGTTTAGAGGCAGGATCTCACTCTGTCACCCCGGCTGAAGTGCAGTGGCACGATCACAGCTCACTGCAGCCTCGACCTCCCTGGGCTCAGGTGATCTTTGCATCACAGCCTCCTGAGTACCTGGGACTACAGGCATGCACCACCATGCCTGACTAATTTTTGTACTTTTTTGTTGCCCAGGCTGATCCTGAACTTCTGAGGCTCAATAAATCAACCCACCTTAGCCTCCCACAGTGCTGGGAGTATAGGTGTGAGCCACTGTGCCTGGCCAATAGTGAAGTTTTGATTTAAAAGTAATTTTTCATGGGTTGTGAGTTTGAGTTTGTTGCTGGAAGTGTGAAGCAAAATATTCAAATTTGGAAAGATGAGTTTCTAATAACTATATCTTTAAATTTTTATTCTTGGTAAGTATCATAGGCAGAAAATTTTCCTTTTAAGAGCTGTTTAAAAAAAGAAAACCATTGGCCAGGTGCAGTGGCTTATGCCTATAATCTCAACGCTTTGGGAGGCTGAGGCGGCTAGATCACTTGAGGTCAGGAGTTCGAGACCAGCCTGGCCAATATGGTGAAACCCTGTCTCTACTAAAAATACAATAAATTATCTGGATGTGGTGACAGATGCCTGTAATCCCAGTTACTCGGGAGGCTGAGACAGGAGAATCACTTGCTTGAACCCGGGAGGCCGAGGTGGCAGTGAGCTGAGATCGTGCCATTGCACTCCAGCCTGGGCAACAGAGTGACTTCATCTCAAAACAAAAAACAAAACAAAAAAAACATGAAGTGGAACTTTAAGTGGAGTTCACATGTTAAGAAGGAAATGGCCCTGCTTTTCCAAATAACACAATTTGGTTCAGAATGGTCATTAAGGAGACTGGTGCCAGGGTCTCATTAGCAAAATAGAGTCCTTCAGAGTTGTCATCTGATAAATTCTATTATTTTCCCATATCAGTAGTTGAGCTAGTACTGATATGGGTAATATTTATATTATGGATAATAAAGCTTGTACTTATGAAATGTAAGGGAACAAGCAAATTTTATATAGAAATTGAAAAATTAGAGTTTCAGTGTATTTTACTCCTAACTTAAAAAAACCCAGATATCCTCTTGAACCACTCTCAGCAGCTCTTCTCAAGTTGCACAGCCAAGTTTGCAGATGGACAGCAGTGCTCTGTGCCAGTTTTTGACATTACACATCAGACACCTCTGTGTGAAGAACATGCCAAAAAAATGGTAAGTTCTGCAACAGAGGCTTTCAAACTTTTTGTAGCTATCCACTGTAGGAAGTATTTTATAACTTAGCACAAACTATGTATGTATATAAATCACTGAAACAAGTTTTGAGAGAGGATTTTTATTCCCTTAAGATACATTTTATTACCTTAAGATATGTATCTTATACATAGCAGAATTTCTAAATACTCTCTTTGTTCCTATGTCTCTAAGTTTTTGCTTTCTTATATACAATTCTACAAATGTCATGAATAGTTGATGAAACTTCAATCGAAGGCCCAGCCTTTCTAGAAATCTATTGAATGTAATTATTGCTTTAGTTAATGCTAGTTATCATAAATCCTAATTAATTCAGAATAATTTGGAGGAGAGACAGATTTGAATTTGAGGAATATCTAAATTATATAATCATTTAAAGGAAGTTCATTTTTATTGTTTTCATCCATCAAGCAGTTACTGCAAGATACTTTCCTAGGTACCTTATGTACTAGAAAGTGAGATACTTCCTGCCCTCTATAAACATGTTATAGTTTTCAGGGATTCTCAGGGTGAGGGAATGGGTATTAGACCAGGACTTAATAGTTGGAACCTGTGATCCTGGCTTTGCCACCAGCTTGGTATATAACTAGGGGCTAAGGATTCAGCCTTTTTGGACCTCAGTCTCAATGTGTGTGATTCACTGGTGTATTAGTCCGTTTTCATGCCTCTGGGAAAGACATACCTGAGACTGGGCAGTTTACAAAAGAAAGAGGTTTAATTGGACTCACAGTTCTATGTGGCTGGGGAGGCCTCAAAATCATGGTGGAAGGCAAGGAGGAGTAAGTCATATCTTACATGGATGGAGGCAGGCAAAAATAGAGTTTGTGTAGGGCGACTCCCATTTATAAAACCATCAGATCACATGAGACCCATTCACTATTACAAGAACAACAGGAAAGACAACAGGAAAGACCTGCCCCATAATTCAGTCGTCTCCCACCAGGTCCCTCCCACAACACGTGGGAATTATGGGAGCTACAAGATGAGATTTGGGTGGGGACACAGAGTCAAACCGTATCATTCTGCCCTGGCACATCCCAAATAGCATATCTTCACATTGTAATACCTTCACATTGTAATCATGCCTTCCCAACAGTCCTCCAAAGTCTCAGCTCATTTCAGCATTAACTCAAAAGTTTCAGCATTAACTCAAAAGTCCACAGTCCAAAGTCTCATCTGAGACAAGGCAAGTCTCTTCTGCCTATGAGCCTGTAAAATCAAAAGCAAGTTAGTTACTTCCTAGATACAATGGGGGTACAGCCATTGGGTAAATACAGCTGTTCCAAATGGGAGAAATTGGCCAAAACAAAGGGGCTACAGGCTCCATGCAAGTCTGAAATCCAGTGGACAATCAAATCGAAAAGCTCCAAAATCATCTCCTTTGACTTCATGTCTCACATCCAGGTCAAGCTCATGCAAAACATAGGTTCCCATAATCTTGGGCAGGTCTGCCCCTGTGACTTTGCAGGGTATAGCCCCTCTCCTGGCTGTTTTCATGGGCTGGCATTGAGTATCTGCTGCTTTTCCAGGTGCATGGTGCAAGCTGTCAGTAGATCTACCATTCTGGGGTCTGGAGGATGGTGGCCCTCTTCTCACAGCTCCACTAGGTGGTGTCCCAGTAGGGACTCTGTGTGGAGGCTCCCACCCACATTTTCCTTCTGCACTATTCTAGCAGAGGTTCCCCTGGAGGGCCCCACTCCTACAGCAAACTTCTGCCTGGGCATCCAGGCATTTCTATACATTTTTTTTTTTTGGAGACAGAGTCTCACTCTGTCACCCAGGCTGCAGTGCAGTGGTTTGATCTTGGCTCACTGCAACCTCTGCTTTCAAGGTTTAAGCAATTCTTGTGCCTCAGCCTCCCAAGTAGCTGGGATTACAGGCGTGTGCCACCACGCTTGGCTAATTTGTGTGTATTTTTAGCAGAGACAGGGTTTCACCATGTTGGCCAGGGTGGTCTCAAACTCCTGACCTCAGGTGATCTGCCCGCCTCAGCCTCCCATAGTGCTGAGATTACAGGCGTGAGCCACCATGCCCAGACAGACTGTTTCTATACATCTTCTGTATTCTAGGCGGAGGTTCCCAAGCCTCAATTCTTGACTTCTGTGCACTTGCAGGCTGAACACTATGTAGAAGCTGCCAAGGCTTGGGGCTTCCACCCTCTGAAACAACAGCCTGAGCTCTACCTTGCTCCCTTTTAGCCATGGCTGGAGTGGTTGGAATGCAGGGTACCAAGTCCTTAGGCTGCACAGAGCACGGGAGCCCTGGGTTTGGCCCATGAAACCATCTTTTCCTCCTAGGCCTCCAGGCCTATGATGGGAGGGGCTGCCGAGAAGACATCTGACGTGCCCTGGAGACATTTTCCCCATTGTCTTGGGGATTAACATTCAGCTCCTTGTTAATTATGCAAATTTCTGCAGCTGGATTGAATTTCTGCTCAGAAAGTGGGATTTTCTTTTCTACTGCATTGTCAGGCTGCAAATTTTCCAAACTTTTATTCTATATTTCCCTTTTAAAACTGAATGCTTCTAATAGCACCCAAGTCACCTCTTGAATGCTTTGCTGCTTAGAAATTTCTTCTGCCAGATACCCTAGATCATCTCTCTCAAGTTCAAAGTTCCATAAGTCTTTAGGGCAGGGGCAAAATGTTGCCAGTCTCTTTGCTAAAACATAACAAGAGTCACCTTTGCTCCAGTTCTCAACAAGTTCCTCATCTCCTTCTGAGACCACCTCAGCCTGGATTTCATTGTCCATATCACTATCAGCATTTTTGTCAAAGCCATTCAACAAGTGTCCAGTGAGTTCCAAACTTTCCCACATTTTTCTGTCTTCTTCTGAGCCCTCCAAACTGTTCCAGCCTCTGCCTGTTACCCAGCTCCAAAGTTGGTTCCACATTTTTGGGTATCTTTTCAGCAGCACCCCACTCTACTGGTACCAATTTGCTATATTAGTCTGTTTTTGTGCTGCTGATAAAGACATACCTGAGACTGGGCAATTTAAAAAAAAAAAGAGGTTTAATTGGATTCACAGTTCCACGTGGCTGGGGAGGCCTCACAATCACGGCAGAAGGCAAGGAGGGACAAGTCACATCTCACATGGATGGTGGCAGGCAAAAAGAGCTCGTGCAGGGCAACTCCCATTTTTAAAGCCATCAGATCTGTGAGACCCATTCACTATTACGAGAACAACAGGGGAAAGACCTGCCCCCATAGTTCAGTCATCTCCCACTGTCTCCCTCCCACAACACGTGGGAATTATGGGAGCTACAAGATGAAATTTGGGTGGGGACACAGAACCAAACCAGATCAACTGGCTTCTTCACCAAGAACTTGTTTTATTTTTTAGGTTTCTTTTACAGACAATATGTTTTGAAAAATTTGTATACTAAACTACATATTACAATTACATATTACAAATGTTGAATAATTATTTTCCCACTTTAATATAAAAACATTTAAAATATAGGTTGTTTTTTTTTTTTTTTTTGAGATGGAGTTTTACTCTGTCACCCAGGCTGGAGTGCAGTGGTGCAATCTTGGCTCACTGCAACCTCCGCCTCCTGGGTTCAAGTGATTCTTGCACCTCAACCTCCCGAGTAGCTGGATTACAGGCGCATGCCACCATGCTGCCTAATTTTTGTTTTTTTTAGTAGAGAAAGCGTTTTTCCATGTTGGCCAGGCTGGTCTTGAACTCCTGACCTCAGGTGATCCACCCGGCTTGGTCTCCCAAAGTGCTGGGATTACAGGCATGAGCCACCATGCCCAGCGAATATAGGCTTTTTTTTTTTTTTTTTTTAAGCTTACTCAGGCTTTGTCATAGCTAAGGAATAATTTCTATATGCTTTTTGAACCACTTTTGTGGACCTTCATTGATGATTTCACAGACCCATGGTAATGTGGGCCCTGTAGCTTTCAAATCACGAAATAAATGATCCCAGCTGCATATTTTCATTTTAAAGTTCCACCATTCCGGCATACTTCTAAGATACTGAGGAAGATACTGTTAAGTAGAAAAAACTGTACTTCAGTGTCTGCTTTAGGAACTTATTATGAATGAATTTTTGGTTCCTATAACAATTTTTTTTTTTTTTTTGAGATGGAGTCTTGCTTTATCACCCAGGCTGGAGTGCAGTGGTGAGATCTCGGCTCACTGCAAGCTCCACCTCCCGGGTTCACGCCATTCTTCTGTCTCAGCCTCCCAAGTAACTGGGACTACAGGTGCCTGCCACCACGCCTGGCTAATTTTTGTATTTTTAGTAGAGATGAGGTTTCACCATGTTAGCCAGGAAGATCTCGATCTCCTGACCTCATGATCCGCCCACCTTGGCCTCCCAAAGTGCTGGGATTACAGGCGTAAGCCACCGCGCCTGGCCTCCTATAACCATTATTATGTGAATGCTTTTAGAGAAATTGAATGCAGTTTTATTCTTTTCAGCTAGTTAAACTTTCCTACTTAGGCAAATTCAATGAGGCAAACCTAAGACTGAATTAGTATAATGTAAATTAGTCATAAAATAATATATATTTTATATAACAATCAAAATTATACTAATCAAATTTTTTTCAAGTATTTAAAATACAAATTTTTGAAAATGGTTTTCTCTCTGAAGACAGTTAGAATCTGGCAGTAGTTTGAGCTATTTTTGTTTTAGGTTAAAAATTACATAAGAGACTATAAGAAGCACTTGTACCCCATCAGTGCTCCTATGAGAGACTGACACTGGGAGATGAAAAGTATGTGCAAATCTAGGCTCTGGTTTTTTTTTTTTTTTTTTTTGAGACAAGTCTCTCTTTGTCACCCAGGTTTGAGTGCAGTGGTGCAATCTCGGCTCACTGCAACCTCTGTCTCTCAGGTTCAAGGAATTCTCCCACAGTAGCCTCCCAAGTAGCTGGGACTGCAGGCGTGTGCCACCGTGCCCAGTTAATTTTTGTATTTTTTGGTAGACATGGGGTTTTACCATGTTGGCCAGGTTGGTCTTGAGCTCCTGACCTCAAGTAATCTGCCCACCTTGGCCTCCCAAAGTGCTGGGATCTTACAGGCCTGAGCCACTGTGCCAAGCCTCTATTTTCATATTATATTCTGAATCCAAACACATTTTATAAATTTCACTGCTACCATTCTAGTTGAGGCTACCATTATCTTTGCCTGGATTATTGTAATAGTCTCCTAATTGATCTCCCTTCTTGCCATATCCCCCTGCCATAGGGGGTATGTTGTTTACATAGCAGCCAGAGTAGGCTGGGTGTGTCTATGTTCTACTTTCTTTGAATTGAATTCACTTTTGAGTGTACACTCTCAGGAGTTTTGTAGACGCATACAGTTGTATAACCACCACCTAAATCAAGATACAGAACTGCTCCCCAGATTCTCTTACACTACTCCCTTTGTGGTCATCCCTTTACTCCATCCCCACTGATCTATTTTCTGCCCCTATACTTCTGTATTTTCCAGAATGTCATAGAAAGGGAATTCTGTAGTAAGTAGCCTTTAGAGCAGGCCCTTTAGACTATACATCTGATCATATTAGCTCCATAAAATCAAAACCTGCTAATGGCTTCCCATCACATCCTCCTGCCACTGCCTCCCAAAGTGTTGGGATTATAGGCATGAGCCACCACACTTGGCCTTTTCCCAAGTTTCCGCATTGCTCACTCCTTCCTTTCATTCAGGTTTGTTACCATGTGTTGTCTCATCACACAAGTCTTCCACCTGCCTGTTACCCTGTCAGGTTTTATCCTCATACTCTACCTCATTTTTCTTCCTAACATTTGTCTGCCTAACAGTTATTCATTAGTTTGTTTATTTTCTGTATTCTCCTACTAGAATGTAAACCTCACAAGGGCAGGACCATTTTTTTGTTACTACTGTATCCCTAGCACTTAGAACAGAGATGCTCAGTAAGTAATTGTTGAATACATTAATGGTTAGGCATACCAATGGAAGGGGTTAAGATTCAGAACTAGGATGTGACAGCCATTGGTAAGAGACTCCAGCTGCAGGAAGTCCCGGCTGTCAGGCAGAACATGGGATTCCACCTTTGTAAGATCCTATGACAGATGGTGAGTGCATTGCCTTGACATAGAGGTAGAATCAGACAAAAGTTGGGAGTGAATAGTATTTCACTGTGCACTGAAGCTAGGTAAAAGAACAGCTGGCATTAGGAAAGCCTCAGGGGGTGGGGGCTCTAGCTCTCTGGAGGCGAGCAAGGCAGGTATCAGTCACAGGCTGTTCTGTGTGAAGTATCTGGCATAGTACCAAGAGTGCCACAAGGCCACTGCACACAAGCTTAGGAGAATCAGGCAGGAATCTGACCCAGGTGATCATTGGGAGCCTTACAGATAGGACTTATTTTCTCTTGGGTGAGAGCCCCCTAACTTCCTCCTGAGATCAGCACTGGTGCTGGAGGGAAAGCCTGGAATGGATGCTGAGCACAATGTTCGGGTACTGGCCCTTGCGCATTCACCATTTGTTGAGTTAAATAGTGGACATAATACAAGTAGACCTCAAGTGTTGAGACAAAAAGAACTACAGAGTCTGAGAAGTAGCCTTTTTTTTTTTTTTTTTTGAGACTGAGTTTCGCTTTTGTTGCCCAGGCTGAAGTGCAATGGCATAATCTCAGCTCACTGCAACCTCTGCCTCCCGGGTTCAAGCAATTCCGTTGCCTCAGCCTCCCAAGTAGCTAGGATTACATGCACGTGTCACCAGGCCTGGCTAATTTTTGTATTTTTATTAGAGATGGAGTTTCGCCATGTTGGCCAGGCTGGTCTCGAACTCCTGACCTCAGGTGATCCACCCACCTCGGCTCCCAAAGTGCTGGGATTACAGGTGTGAGCCACTGCGTCTGGCCAGAGGTAGCCTCTTTTTTTTGGTTTGTTTTAAATTTATGTATTTGTGACTTAATCTGTAATTGTTTACATTCAAGCATTTGAGTAGGATTAAACCTGTTTTAGATTTCCTGAATTTATGCTTTAATTTTATTCTTTCTTGTTTTCAATTTTTTGATGCTAGTGATAGTTATTAGTCTTAAAATACTATGGTCTACAATCTTTATTTAGCTACAAGAGTTATTAGGGAATTAATTAAAGGTGACATCAATTGCAAATCCCACTGTTTTATGTGCCAATAAGAAAGAAAAAAAATGTTGCCAGTGATGCGGTACTTTCTTATCACTTAGAATTTTTGTTTTCAACTTATTAAAGAGCTTTTAAAAGACTTATTTAGACATAGATTTTTATATACTGTTCCTGGTTTTGGCTGTACTGCTTGACATGTGAAAGGCAGTATTTTCTACGTACTTCAGCAATAGAACAACTTCATCTACTTTGTGGTTATTTTCCTTTTTCACTTGGTTGTTGCCTTACAGGGAAAAAAAAAAAAAAGAATTGTGGTCGGTTCTTCAGTAATGAATATGTGCTCCACTAATATTAATTTTATGCCCTGCTGCTCTTTGTGCCTTTCTACATTCACAAAAAATTTTCCTCCACACGTAGTACCAACAGTGTACAAACCTTAATTCAGAAACGATGCCAGTACAAAGAACTGGAACCGTGTGTGTGCGTGTGTGTGTGTGTGTGTGTGTGTAGACAGTGTCAACTATAATGACCATCAGCAGGCTGACCGCAATGGTAAAATGCCACCAATTTAAAATGCTTCCCAATTGCAGAGATATTAAAATGTAGATCTTGGAATTGATGAAGTTTGATGTCTTCATTATTGTTATACATAGTTTTGGGCATCCAGTATGTTTTAGGCATTATATAGAATATTAAGGGATGTAAGTATTTTTTAGGTAGCTGTCAGGTTTATCCCAGATAATCTCAATTTAAAAGCCTATTTATTCATTCCAAAGGATAATTTCTTGAGAGGAGATAACTCCCGTAAAGTTCAGCACCAGCAGCAGAGGAAACCCAGGAAAAAAACCAAGCCTCCTGCACTAACCAAAAAACACAAGAAGAAGAGAAGGCGTGGACCTCGTCGACCCCAAAAACCCATTCCACCTGCAGTCCCCCAAGGGAACCTCAGCATGCCCGCCAGCGTCTCACTGCCAGTGGAGGCCTCTCACATCCGGTCAGTGGTGCCACTGGCACCTAATTTTTCTTTACATTTTGGGATTCTTCTCAGAACATCTAGCTTCATGTGGTTATTGTAAAGTTGTCACTAGGCTACAGAAACCATTTAGTATATCAGCCTAGATTTTTTAAATAGTTTTTGGTGCAAATTTTACCTATATCTGGCTGTATTTGATCTAAAATTAAGCTTTTGCTTACAATAAAGAGAACAGACGCGAAACTGACTTTAATTGTATACTCTCAACTTAAAAAACATTTTTTTTTTCTTGAGACCAAGTCTTGCTCTGTCTCCCAGGCCAAGTGCAGTGGCGCAATCTCGGCTCCCTGCAACCTCTGCCTCCAGGGTTCAAGCGATTCTTCTGCCTCAGCCACCCTAGTCTGGGATTACAGGCATGTGCCATCACGCCCAGCTGATTTTTGTATTTTTAGTAGAGACGGGGTTTCACCATGTTGGCCAGGCTAGTCTGGAACTCTTGACCTCAAGTGATCCACCTGCCTCGGCCTCCCAAAGTGCTGGGAATACAGGCATGAACCACTATACCTAGTCTCTTAACTTTTAAAACTTTTGCAGAAATTCCATATATGTTCCAACAGAAGTATTCCATCAGAAATATGAGGCATTATTTATTTTGGCAGGGTTAAACATTTTGACCAGAAGAATGAAGCTTTTGTTTTAGCTAAGCATTTCAATTTTACCTGTTGTTAATTTCATTTCTAAAATTATTATTTCAACCAGATTTGAAATTCTACTAAAAAGCATTAAGACACACTTGATACACCAAATTGTGATTCATTGTACAAATTTGAAGTAAAAGTATTACCTAGTAGTTGTTGTTGCCTCTTAATACATGGGTGAAGGTTGCAGAAATATGACTGCATATGGTGAGGCATGTATTTTTGCAGTGACTCTACTTTCAGATTTCCTTCTTTTAAAATAGGGGAGGAGACACTGTAAGTTAGGGTTTCTCATGTTTCTGTTGAATATAAAAAACCTAGGACCAGGTGCGGTGGCTCATGCCTGTAATCCCAGCACTTTGGGAGGCCGAGGTGGGTGGATCATGATGTCAGGAGTTCGAGACCAGCCTGGCCAAGATGGTGAAACCCTATCTCTACCAAAAATACAAAAATTAGCCGGGTGTGGTGGCGAGCACCTGTAATCCCAGCTACTCAGGAGGCTGAGGCAGAAGAATCGCTGGAACACGGGAGGTGGAGGTTGCAGTGAGCCGAGATCATGCCACTGCACTCTAGCCTGGGCGACAGAGCAAGACTCCATCTCAAAAAAAAAAAAAAAAGCAAGGCATGGTGGCTCATGCCTGTAATCCCAACACTTTGGGAGGCCAAGGTGGGTGGATCACCTGAGGTCAGGAGTTCGAGACCAGCCTGGCCAGCATGGGTAAACCCCGTCTCTACTAAAAACAAACAAAAATTAGCTTGGCATAGTGGTGGGCGCTTGTAATCCCAGCTACTCTGAAGGCTGAGAAAGGAGAATCTCTTGAACTCAGGAGGTGGAGGTTGCAGTGAGCCGAGATTGCGCCATTGCACTCCAACTTGGGCAACAAGAGTGAAACTCTGTCTAAAAAAAAAAACCTAGAAGACATTAGGATTGGCTTTAGCTCAGGTGGTTACTTCCTTACTTTCCATCTGTCTAATCCCTGTGCTTGGGTTCAAGACCTGCCGGGGCTTTCTGACCTTTAAATAAAAAACCTAAAAGACATTATTAGCTTGTTTTTTGATTTTGGTTGTTTTTTTTTTTGAGACAGAGTCTCGACCTGTTGCCCAGGCTGGAGTGCAGTAGTGTGATGTCAGCTCACTGCAACCTCCGCCTCCTAGTTTCAAGTGATTCTCATGCCTTAGCCTTCTGAGTAGCTGGGATTACAAGTGTGCACCACCATGCCCAGCTAATTTTTGTATTCTTAGTAGAGACAAGGTTTTGCCATGTTGACCAGGCTGATCTCGAACTCGTGCCCTCAAGTGATCCTCTCACCTTGGCCTCCCAAAGTGCTGGGATTACAGGTGTGAGCCACTGTGCCCTGCCTGACGTTAGCTTCTTTTCATGTTGAATGAACTTGGCTTGGTGGTATTGATGTGAAGATAATGGGGGAGTTATGGGACCAACAGTGTCCTCTTTCCCAGGAGCCCATCCACGCCAGAGCTGAGTGCTGATGAGTTGCCGGATGACATTGCCAATGAGATCACTGACATTCCACATGACTTGGAATTGAACCAGGAGGACTTTTCAGATGTCCTGCCACGGCTACCTGATGACTTACAAGATTTTGATTTTTTTGAAGGTATAGTCAATATTTTGACTCAAGGAAACTGGTTTTAAAAATGAGTTTATAAGAAAAGAAATAGTGTTTTGAGATGTGTTTATCATATTCCTCCTCACATGTAATGTCTTTCACTGTAGATAGGAAATATAATGCCACTGCAGCTATTTTAACCCTTTCAGAAGATAAGGAATGTGCAGTTTGTTTAACCATCTCATAATTTGCTGACTAGGTTTATAACTTGTTTCTTTTTTCTTTGGAGACAGAGTCTCACTCTGTCGCCCAGGCTGGAGTGCAGTGGCACGATCTTGGCTCACTGCAGCTTCTGCCTCCGGGTTCAAGCGATTCTTTCGCCTCGGCCTCCCGAGTAGCTGGGATTTCAGGCATGTGCCACCACGCCTGGCTAATTTTTGTACTTCTAGTAGAGGTGGGGTTTCGCAGTGTGGGCCAGGCTGGTCTTGAACTCCTGGCCCCAAGTGATCCACCCGCCTTGGCCTCCCAAAGTGCTGGGATTACAGGCATGAGCCACCACACCTGGCCCAACGTTGTTTCTTTAAAGTGAATACTTTTGCTTTATTTTTGAACAAAGACATCTCGAATATGACTTTTTTTTTTTTTTTTTGAGATGGAGTCTCGCTCTGTCGCTCAGACTGGAATGTAGTGGCGCCATTTTGGCTCATTGCAACCTCTGCCTCCCATGTTCCAGCGATTCTCCTGCCTCAGCCTCCCGAGTAGCTGGGATTACAGGTGTCTGCCACCATGCCCAGCTAATTTTTCTATTTTTAGTAGAGGCGGGGTTTCACCATGTTGGTCAGGCTGGTCTCGAACTCTCAACCTCAGGTGATCCACCTGCCTTGGCCTCCCAACGTGCTGGGATTACAAGCACGAGCCACCGCGCCCAGCCGAACATGAGTTTTGAAGTCTTTTAGAACTTGCCCTAGTTTTATACCCCACCCTGTACTTCAACTGAAGTGCACTTTTCCAAAACGAAGTTTGCTTAATCCTGCCAATTCCCCCATGCTTTCAGGGGAAATATTTTATACTTTTAGAATGTTTCTTTCACCATTAAAAATCGAATATTTCCATGGTGATTAATCAAGTTCCTAACAATAGATTTTTTAAATATTAGAAATGAAATCAAAGTAGGTCCATGGGCTTCCATTTTATGAAAATTAGTAAGAAATGGGAAGAGGATGAGGGGAAAGGATTAGAGAGTAAAGCAAAAGCATTTTGAAAGATAACCCGTGAAATGAACTGAGAGCTTAGTGTTGTGCTCAAATAGATGTATGAATTTCTGTGTTTTAACCTTCCACAGCTGCCCTCCAGCTGGGAGAGTCAGGAGTAGAACAGGCAAGGTGGACCTGTTCTACACAGCCTTTTCTCTCAAATCCAAGTTGATATATGTTTTCTATGTTAATGATGATAATATTATTTTAGGTTAAAAACACGTATAATCACATAGTCACCATGAGCTTTAAATTTGTAATCCTTAGAATTCCTAAGAATTTAGTACTTTGATAAGATGGTTTTTGAGATGGTATTCAGTAAATCAACTGAAGATGGTGATTCAAATTCCTAGGTAGCTGACGTTACAGACCCTGTCCTGCAGACCATTATTTCACTTTTTCCCTCCAATCAAAATCTTGGAAACTTTTCTTTTCAAGAGGGACTCTTTAAATCGAATATTGTTTAAAATAATTCAAATGTGTGATTTTTGTGATGTAGAACTGGTAAAAGCTCTACTGATTGTCGATGGCTTTTGTTGACTCAGGGAAGAATGGAGACCTCCTCCCAACTACCGAAGAGGCTGAGGAGCTTGAACGGGCCTTGCAGGCTGTAACTTCTCTCGAGTGCCTGAGTACCATTGGGGTCCTTGCCCAGTCAGATGGTGTGCCAGTCCAGGAGTTGTCAGATAGAGGAATAGGGGTGTTCTCCACAGGTACTGGAGCTTCAGGAATACAATCCTTGAGCCGAGAGGTGAACACAGACCTAGGGGAGCTATTGAATGGGCGTATAGTACATGATAATTTTTCTAGTCTAGAGCTGGATGAGAACCTGCTCCGTTCTGCTACCTTGTCAAACCCACCTACACCCCTGGCAGGGCAGATCCAGGGGCAGTTCTCTGCCCCAGCCAACGTTGGCCTTACTTCTGCCACTCTGATCAGCCAGAGTGCACTTGGGGAGAGAGCCTTCCCAGGACAGTTTCATGGACTTCATGACGGCAGCCATGCCTCCCAGAGGCCACATCCTGCCCAGCTGCTGAGCAAGGCAGATGACCTAATCACCTCACGACAGCAATACAGCAGTGATCACTCACACTCCTCACCCCATGGAAGCCATTATGATAGTGAGCATGTGCCGTCTCCCTACAGTGACCATATCACCTCTCCCCACACAACATCGTACTCTGGTGATAATATGGCAGCTACCTTTTCAGCAGAGATGCCCATCATGGCGCAGCACTTGCTCCCAACCCAACTTGAGGTGCCACTTGGAGGCGTGGTAAACCCCAGAACTCACTGGGGCAATCTCCCTGTCAACCTTGGAGACCCCTCTCCATTTAGCAACCTTCTCGGCGCAGATGGACATCTTCTTTCCACTTCCCTATCCACGCCACCCACCACTTCGAACTCAGAGACCACACAGCCTGCCTTCGCCACCGTGACCCCCAGCAGCTCCAGTGTGCTTCCGGGGTTACCACAGACCAGCTTCAGTGGCATGGGGCCTTCTGCTGAACTAATGGCCTCCACCTCTCCCAAGCAGCAACTCCCTCAGTTCAGCGCAGCCTTTGGCCACCAGCTGAGTTCTCACAGTGGCATTCCTAAGGACCTGCAGCCCAGCCACAGCTCTATAGCCCCTCCTACAGGCTTCACAGTAACAGGTGCCACAGCTACAAG
Source organism: Homo sapiens (assembly GCF_000001405.40). Taxonomy (NCBI): domain Eukaryota; kingdom Metazoa; phylum Chordata; class Mammalia; order Primates; family Hominidae; genus Homo; species Homo sapiens. Next base: position 206,004,407 of record NC_000002.12, on the reverse strand, counting down.
TACCAATAATGCATCTTCTCCCTTTCCCTCCCCTAACTGAGGGTGTCTGTGTGTTTGCAGGCAGGTGGGGAACCCAGTGTTTTCTATCTTTGTTTCCTCTTTAGCACCCCTCTCCCCTTTTCCTAAAGAAGATATAACAGATGGGGATCAGAGGGGCACCCCCCTTCCCAGTTCAATGAGTGGCCCTGCAGTGGACCTCGCTACAGTGTTCACATGTGCTCCTTAGCACTGGTGCTCATTCCCTCCTGGCAGGCCCACTCCGCCCCAGTGGTTTCCTTAGTGGTTCAGCACAGTGACTGGATAGGATTGATTTTTAGCAGCAAGTCCTAGAAGTGGAAGATACCTCAGAATACCAGTGCCCTTTACTATTTCCTAGTATTCAGATCAGTGCTTTCCATTCTGTTGCCAGGTTTTTACATAGGTGGTTCTAGATAGAATGATCTTATTAATTGAGTTCCTGTATAAGAGACAGCAAATGGTGTGTGGCAGGTCAAGATTCTGACCTAGCACCAACTGCTAAACACCACAGTGAGGCCAGGATTCCATTCGTAATTGTGATCATGTTTAACTAAAAGAAAAAAATGTGTCTTTTGACTGCCTGTGAGTATGCGTGTGCCCACGCGTGTGTTTTTGTGCAGTGCAGGAAGCAGCTGTCCCATTAGTTTGATTTTTTTTTGTTCTCCCCTTCCCCCTACTTAATGAGTATAAAACTCTTACTTTTCTCCTGTCCTACATCTCACAGTCCTAATAAGGTTGGTCCTTCTTTTCCTCAAGTTTCCTGAATAGGGAGGGTGGTGGACTGGTCGTGTGAGTAGCACAACCTTTTTCTGCTAAAAGTTAGCCCAAGAAGAAACAGAACATAGAAAGCTTGGATTCCCGTCAGTGAGGTAGGGATGTCCTAAAAAGCTTGCCTGGGATGACTGCAGGCTGCCGGGGTTCTGGGGCCTGATGGTCACTTTGTCTTTTCAGACATTTGTTTGTTTCTAAATCCCTCTCTCATGGAATACATTTGCAAGATGTAATTAAAGAAAATATTTTGATGTGAAAAAGCAGGATAGGTCAGATAGATTTGAAAAGATGGGATCTGTCAACTCCTTGATCCATCTTTTGCTTTTGAATTTTTCATGTTTACAGTAGTGATTCTTTGGTAAGATTTGTAAAATGTTAAGACACTTGTAGAATCAGTGTACCAGTTGTGAAGTGATGTGTAATATCTGAAGGATACACATTTTAAAGTTTCTTTCAAAGCAGAATATGGAAATTAGATATAAATTTTATTCGCCCTTTGGTCCTTTTAAAATAATTCAAGTACTTGGGTTTAAGTAAATTTGAAAATAGCTTTGGGAAATGTTTTTAAAATGCCAGGATTTTAGGGGTTAAAGATCATATGGGGTAGTTTAGGAAGTTTGTGACTATGAGATGAATTTGTGAGGTTTCTTGCCTACCTTTTTTCCCCCCCAGAGAAGGGTGGAACTAGATTTTAAAGGCATCTCTACTCTGCTTTTGCTGAGTAGTTTCACTGTCCCTTGAGATACCATTGGCTATTTATACCTGAGTCTAGTCTAATTCACATATATATATATTTTAAAAGTTGAGAGAACATACCTATTGATGTGGTTCAATAATTCATTTGTCAGGGAATATTTGATCTTAATTCCTTTCTAATAGGTAGTGATTGGATGTATTTTCCTACTTCCTGTATGTAATCTCTTTATGCCATGCTAGTTCTAACCAGTCCCTTCTTTTGAAAGCTTTTCTTTCTCTGCTTTTTAAAGGAATGATGGTGATCAGCAGGCATTATGCAGATACCACGTGCCTGAGGTTATGGAGGGGAAATGTCACATGACTGTATGAAATCATTATATGCCCTATTTTGTATTTATTGATGTTTCTTTTTGTGGGCCAAAAATATGTTTGTAATATATTTAGTTTTTTTAAAATCATGGTAATTGATTGGAAGATTTATTTTTAATAGCTTTGCCTTTTTTGCAGAGTGCAAAATTTCTAAATTATAACTTATGTCATAAAGCAAAATTATATTTGGTATCACCATAAATTTCTATTCTGAATGGTGAGAACAGATAATTTGAATATTTCTCACCTGTGAGTCTATATTAGTAAGCTTTTTTATTTTAATGTACTGTAATGAAGTGGTCACGAGTAGTTACCTCGGCTCAAAAATGTCATTTAGTTTGTTAAACTATTTTCACAACCATCATAAGCATAACTAGATAACTGTCCATTCCCAGCAGTTCAGTTTAGTCTCCATTGTGTATTTAAAGGTTGTCGCAGAGCAGCACATTGACTTCCTCATCAGCCCTTTGACAAGGAAGGGAAAGTCGTGGGTAGTCGATTTGAACTTTTTCTGTCTACTTGTCCCCTCATGTTAGCTGCTTGAAATTCTTCAGTTATGATACAAAGCTGAGTTTGCAGTAAGTTGCACATTTTATTGTTTGCAATTTTCTGTTTTATGTGCATTTAAAAGCCCTTCTCTGCTTTCTAGTAAGGAGGCATGAAATTATCAGGAATGTTGCTAGTTACAGCTTCACACCAAAAACTTTGAGTAAATACATTTTCGTTTGGATGCCCATGATGAAAGCTGAGGAAAGTGGTTGAGGAATTATCAACAACAAACTTTTCCTCTTATTTTATCTAGTTCAAAACAGATATCAAAGTTTGCAATTTGCTTTGCTCTTGCTGTTTCTTATGAGTCCCTTTTTGGAAGAGAGGAGAACATCTATAAGCCCAGAGAGATCTGTGTTTTTCTTTTACTTAATAGAGCCATTCTCGTCTATTAGTAGGAACTTTGCTATTAATATGTATAGAAAGGAATGAAGTGGCTTTTACTCCAGAAATATGAAAATTAGTATCTTTTAAAATAGCACTTATGCTATCACAAGGCAATACTGGAATGAAAAACAAATCTTATATAAGGTCCTAAATAGGTAGAAACTAGCTTTTATTCTAGTGTTGAACCCAGGAGAAATAGTGGCAAAGAAGTTTCACTCTGTTTCTGCAGTTCTTTGGGACTATTTATAAAGGCCAGTTAGATTGTGTTACTGTGATTTAATTTACAAAGTTGCTGCAGTTAATGGATACATTCTGTGCTCTGAGAATCTGAATTCCATTCTAATGTGTGATATTCACTGGCTATGATCAGTAGTATCTGAAGAAAAGATGGGCTTTTTCTCCTTTACTCTCTCTACATAATTATTAATATTATTTTAATTAAAGTACTTAAGACATTGTTTTTTCTTCTGTAAAAATGGCTTAGCAATTTGCACATCTGGGTAGGTTATGTAGCTAGTAAACAACTCAATAGTAAGTAGCAATTATACTTAACCCACCAAGTGACAGACTATGCAATGGAAAAATTTTCTAATTATCGTCACATAGCTTAGACAGCAAAGGATTATTTTCTCTGGTGACCTACCATGTGTGATATAACTGCTTTATAAATGACTTCCTGAGCAATTTCATGTTGGCAGGCAGTGTGGTGTGTCTAGTGCCCCTCTATGAGAAGACTATAATTTAATCAGAAACAAATAGTAGGCATGGGGAGCAAGTTGGAAAGTGAGGTTATTATTTTTTTTCCTTAAAATTGGTGTTACTGTCTTTAGTGGCTTGAGGCTAAAGAAAGCTGATACTTTATCTTTGCCAAATAATTATTTATAAGATTTATTTTTAAATAAGCCCAATCTCTCACCTGCAGTTAAGAATCATCATTTTCTGTGACTGACACTAAAGCTCTTCCTTATCAGAGCTTGTTCTCAATCTGTGATCACAGTCCACAGTGGCAAAGACAACTCTTTGATTAGGAAGGAAACCATGTTTGGGATGCACAGAGGTGCCCTGTCCATACGGTTTTCTTCTTACATGAAAGAATTGACCTTTCTGTTGACCTATACCATTCTGTTTTTATAAAGTGGGATTAGAATTTGAGCATATCTAGTAAATGCCGTGTGGTCAGTCCGCTGATGCTTGCCCGCCGTCTTTGCCGTGCCTTGGCATCCTAGGGGTGCTGGTGATGGTCAGTGGGCATCATCGGTCAGCAGTGCACGTGTAAGGCAATCTCCTCTCCTCCAGGTTAGTTCAGAAGGTCGCTATGGGTTGGTATTGCAAAAAGATGAGTATATGAACACTAAACTTATTAAGAGGTTTGAAATTCATTAAAAATTAGTTTTCAGTTTCTTCATCTTTCTTTTCAGACTTCTTTAAAAATACTGTTCTTAATCTGGTATATATAGAAATCTAATATTATGGTCTTCTAAATGGTCAACAGAACTCTCCAGTTTAATGAGGCAATTTAGAGGATTCCTTGAAAGAAAATTTCATCATACTGAACAGTCCTCATTTGTATCTCTTTTGTTACCAGTATTTACATTGTTCCAAGGATTTTTTTCCTGACAAAAAATATATTTCTCGGGAGTGGAGAGTTTTTTATATATATATATGAAAGAACATAGATGTTTCCCCCCGCCCAATACATTAACTGAATCTTCACTGGCATTCTGTAGAAAAGTTAAAACAGTTTAATAATGTCTTAACATCTTTATACATTTTCCTATATTCTGGAGGAAACCAGAATCATGTTTAGTAGATTAAAGTAACATTTTAAATACTACCTTTCCAATAATTTGTAATAAAATACCAGTGAAGGACATGTTTGGATATCTGTTAAGCATTTTTCCCTGACTAATGAATTAGGAAAGAAAACATAAAACATAAATGAATAGTTATGTCTCTTCTAATAAACAGTGTCATTAATGCTGCAGTTGTGGGTCAAACTTAGGGAGCCTTATTTCTAAATAGCAAAAATTCTGTTTTCACTTCAGCCCTTATTTTTTTTTGTTAGTTTTTCTCTGCACTGTGATACAGAGCTAATAAGAGGAAATGTGACGTTTCAGAGAGAGAGCAAGCAAATTGGGTATGACTTTTTTACCCTATGTTCCCCAATACTGGGGATGTTTGGCTACTTTGAACAGCAGTTTTTAGTGATCTAAAGTTTAGATCAATACTCGTATAAGAGAAAAATCTAACTCTCAGTGAGCTCCATAGGGCAGCACAGCTTTCCATCTTCTCTTTCGCCTTCTTGCGTCTGCCCACCACAGTCCCGAAGAATGCACACGCACATATGATCTGTACCCATCCCGCCCGAAGAGTCATAGAATCCTCTTCTTTCACTTGTTTCTTTTTTCTTCGTTTGTTTGTTTTTGTTTGTTTGTTTTTTAAGCTGGGGACCACTGAAGTAAGCTCTGTATGCACCCAAAGTTCCCCTTGGAAAAATTTTCAACACGCAGTGCAGAAGGCTCCAGTGCAGCTAAATGCCACACCATTGGTTCTACCTGGGGGAATAGACTGATTTGCCCTAAAATGACTCCAACCTGCATCATTAAGGTACAGTTGGCTCCAGTGGATTAGTGCTGAAATGATGGGAAGTCTGACACTTGTTGACATTGTCTTCATCTGTTTGGAAGGGTTGAATCTGTTCCTCTCAACAGTGATAGTTCTTTTCACTGTATAGTATTGAGTATGTCTCAGGGATTCCTTGTGGAAATTAGGGCAGTTTTTAAAATAAGAAAATAGTTTTAAAAGAAACTAAAGGTGACTCATCATTGAAGAGAGCGGAAGAAAGAGGAAACATTTGGTTTTGTAGCCCACAGTGTCTTGCATAGGACTTTTTCCTTTCTCCTCCAGGCTCTCATCTCAGCTTCAGAATACAGAATCCTTTCCCATCACGCACAGCTTTAAAACTTTTATTTAAAAATTTCCTTCCCCAATGAGCTTTCAGAATACTTATTGTAGATTTTAAGAGAAAAGGTATATTAATTTATGCTATTAACATCACCTCATAAATTATAAGTTTTATACTAAAGCTGTATCGAGTGTAATGAATTATGTTGCCTATGTGTTTAATAGCTAAATATATATGAGCTTTTTTTTTTTTTTTTTTTTTTGACAAAACAAACTAGTGAAGCACCTTTTTACACTGGATCTCTGCCGTGTCAAGGTGTATAGCTATCCTTTGCTACCTTGCAGATATATAAAATAAAAGGATATCCTGGGGCCTCAAAATGTAGAACACCTTTAGACCATTTATAACTGTTCCTAGAACTGTTGAGAATCATGTTCTTTAGTAAATGATCTGTGGTTTACACTTAAGATGGCTAGAAGCTTAGTTACAGGGTACATAGAAATACATAGATCAAGTAAAACTCCAACTACTGTAGCTGGAATTTGTAAACTAAGTTTGTAAGACCTCTTTTATTTCCTATGGAGTTATTCTTTAATTTACAGTTTATTCTGTAAGTTGGGAAGTAAAATAGAGAAAATAATAAATCTAGATGTTCTCAGTGTCTTATTCAGGAACTTTTTATCCCTCCTCACTAAGGAATTCCCACTGTGACTTTAAAATAGAACTAAATTACTTGTGTGCATGTATATGTCTGTATTTTTTACACACATGCAAAAATATACATTGGGGGCACGTGTGTGAGAGATATGAATGTGTGCTTATATAAAAATAGATAAAGGTAACCGAATGTATTGTAGAAACATGATTTATTTAGTTGAGGGTATTGGAGTTACTTTCTCATTGTCTCTGTTGTATAAATACACCAAATTAATCATTATGTTATCTTATGTTAAAAGGCTAGCTCTGATATCATGTGCATTTTATGTTAACCTTTGGATTAACTTATATTATGCTATGTTCATAAAATGACATGAGAAACAGGAGGTTCTAAGATCAGCCTCTCACTTTCGAGCATAAAAATAAGAGAGGGAGACAGACAGCCCCAGACATGAGCTGTGTTTATCTATTGTGGTGATGGGACCACAGATCTATTGAATCTTTTTTATGTTAATTATAGATTTCTTTATATTCGAGTAAGAAAATATTGTTGATCATCTTTTCTTGGTGAAGTTAAGAAAAAGTATAGGCCTTTCATAAACAATTTTTGGAAGGGGCTGCTTTGTTTAAGGAGTTGGTGGGATCATTTCACCGTGCATATTTCAAAGCTGGGGTGATTTCATTTATTTCCAAAATTTTTCAAAAAACTTTTACTCAGTTCTGCTGTTATTTATTAACTTAAGAGTGCTCCCATCCCCATATTTCAGCTATAGGAAAATTGTGCTACCCCTGATTCATATGGAATTAAAAAAAAATACATCCCTTTATTTTGAGTTTTAAGTTGTTATTTTGCTATACATTTATTACTGGAGTATCTGGTGGTCTGAAATAGTCAAAAGTAGAGTTGGTATTAAATGTTCCAATGACATTTATTTTTAATACTTAAAAAATCATGTACTTTGAAATATGTCAAAGCAACTTCTGATAATATACCTGAATTTGTAGTTGTCTCTTGAGCATCATTTACTTCATCTTAGATATAGTGAAGATCTAGGAAAGCTCTATATGCTGTTCTTTTCTACAGTTGTATTTTTGCAGCATCTCCTGGTTTCATTCACTCTTGTTTTGGGATTTTTTTTTAGATCTGCATATTTCTTGTACATATGCATGCAAATGAAAGAAGGGAGTTTGTACTGGTGCCATTTCTCCCTTCAGTTGCTGGTTAATGGGATTTGCTAGAAAAAATTCTCCCGGTTGAAGGGTGAAAACAGACCCTTATGTGTATATCTGTACAGAGATGTGTATATGGGATGTGGTGGCACTTTGCTGAATGTGAACTTGCCTTGTCAATGGAAAGATTGAAAAGTATTATGTTTATTTATACATTTGTATAAATCTATATATACACGTATGTATATGTGTGTGTATAGATAAAGCTATATACATATATTTCCCTTAAAAATGTGTGTGTATAATAGGTAAACAGCCTTTGTTAAGCAAGATTAATGTCTATGGAAAGTTCTGGATTATTCTGTAAGCCAGAGGAGGTGACAGTCTAGAGTACATCATCAGAACATACTAAAATGGAAGTCCTTTGGATTATAGTTTTGTTTATGGATATTACACAATGAATGCTTGTCTGAACAGTTCTTACTTGCCAGTTCCACTATTCTTCATCTTCACCACCTTCTACTGGTCAGTCTTTCATCACTTAAAAAAAAAAAAAAAATCACACATCATTGTGGTTTTTTTCCCCCTTAATTCTGTCTCTTCTAGCCAGAAGCATCTGGCTTAAGCATATTTCATCAACTTCTCTGTTATTTCTTTTAAAGATCTTTATCTCTGAAATTTTCCCAGAAGATACAAGTTTTGGTAATATTATCAATAGGAATTTTGAGACTTGGGCATTCATCTTTGTCTCAAAAACAAACAGAAAGCCAACCTTCAAATAAAACAAATTTGAAAGTTTTAGCTCAATAATTTGGGGACATTTTACTTAAATTACAAAAGAACATAATTATGATTTTATGATCGATATTAGTGTTAGGTTTATTTCCACACTTACTGTCATTAATTTGTCATTTACATATTTTTATTTGCTTTGTAGTTTAATCATAACTTCACCATTTACATTTTAATGGAAAGCATACAAGGTCACATGTTAGCCTCTTGAATTCTGTAACTAACTCATTTTTCTCATGATGAAACTGCTTTGATGAATTCCTGTGTGATGAATTCTGCTATATTTCCTTTTGACTTTTCTCAGTTTGTGACATTCTGTATTAACTTTGCTGCAGCTCTCTAGAAAACTTGCATCCCTATATATTGTGCCTTTAAAGCTCTTATGCACACACAGACAAAAGTGTATATATACATGTCAGAGCATGTGTACATATGCTTTCGTATGTACTCACACAGTATGTCTCTAGTATATATTGTGGGAGTAGATATATAGATATTCAAAGGCAATGAAATATTGCTCTCCAGATATATATGTATATAAATAGTGTTGATATAACTGTATATACACATGTATATGTATGAGTTTTAAATGGCAATCTTTTACATTTAGCAAAATGCTGCCCCTACTGGAATATTGTCACTGCAGTGGCAGTTGTATGTAATGATTTAAAATACATTATCAAAAGTTATTTAAAGAACATTTAAAGTCTCATCTAAAGACATCCACACACTATTTATTTATCTTCCTTTTCCTTTTATTGTTGTGTTTTTCTTAACTGAAAGGGAGACTGTCATTTTAAAAATGCCATCTGTCCCATGAGAGTAAGAAAGAGCTGGAGATTCACTTGAGGAGCTTTGTGCATTTTTCCTCTCTCTGAAGTGGAGATGTTCCACAGACCAGACTGTTTATTTCACTTATAAAGCAATCCTAATATTTCCGTTAGTGTATGTCAGCCACCATCTCCTAGATCAACTTAATTCACCAATTTGCCTCCTCCTTTCATTAATAAATAATGATTATTGAGATCATTTTGCCTGGGGGAAGTTAACTACTCCCATGCTGCAGGGAAATATATCACCTAATTGTTATTTTGCCTTGTTCAAAATTCAAATTTGAAAGAAGGCAGCTCTCTCATGAAGCTGTCTTAAGCACATTTTAGTTAAGGGCCCTCCCAAACTCTTTTTTCTTTCTTTCTTTCTTTCTTTTTTTTTTTTTTTTGCGAGTTCCAAGTTGCATGTGCTTGAAATAGATTTAATTCTTATTCCCCACAGTTTAGGTATTTTTCATTAGTACATCAATTTGACACACTGAATGCAAGACTATTAAGGAAGAACGATTAAATATTATTTTATTTTGTGAAGAGTTGGCAGCAGATTACATCTCAAGAACTTGCAGAGAGAGGAAGGTAGATGGACAATCCTAAATTGTAAGATGTTACAAAAAACAGTGAAGTAAGAGTACTCCTGAAGACTAAAATAGAGAGGCTGGGGTTTGAGCCATTTTACTGAGTAGCTTAGCTGGAACCTGATATCAGAAGTAGCCTTTAACAAAAAGCCTCTTGGCAATTGTATGGTACTAACAACTAGAGTACTGAAGTGTAAGTTGAAACCAAGTTGCAGTGGGAAATCAAAGGTGAGGTAGCTTATTTGAAACCAGCAAATGAGACAGGTTGGACAGTTTTAAAATCTCTTCTAACAAAGAAACTGCACGGTAGCAAGGACTAGCGGTTCTCAAAGCCCTTCTTTTTCAGTGTTCTCATTCACCTTGGCACCCAAGTATGTTTAACAGGCCATGCATTAAAAATAAATACAAAAATATAAAAGCCGCTTAAAGGGAACTTACAAACTGACAATCTCTCCTCTGTATTTGTGTTCATAGTGGCTGGGAGTTTAATTATATGCACAAAAGTTAGGAGCCACTTGTTTCTGCACAGACTGTAGGAGCAAGATGAGGAGATGGGCAGGTTTTGGTAAGAGCCCCCAGTTCTGGTGGACAGGCATACTTGTGGCATTGGGTGCGGCATTGCTGGGAGGACCACGTCTTGGGAGGCGATTGACTTTTGGTTTGTAATTTCCCTTTAAACAAGAAGAGATGGCTCACATTTTCCATATATATCTCAATGAATGTACTGTATTACTGTTTTAAAAATTTGATGAAATAATAATGAATTGGTCTCCTTTTGTTATCTGGTCCTTGTTTAATTTGTTTAAGGGTTTTTGTATACAAAAGTTTACATTTTTATGTATATTTTTCTTGTGTAAAAACTGATGTAATATGTGTATGAAACACTGTATGTATTATCTGTATATAGTGTGACAAAATCATTTTTCTTTCTTTCTTTTGGATGTATTAATAAATCTTGCTGTGAAGTAGCCTTGTTTTTAGTTTAATTTTCTATACTGGGATATTGATGGAAGCTGCTAATCCAGGGTAAGTATTTTTCTACCTTTATTTGAATACAGTATTTTTTAATATCTTGTGTTTCACCAATAACTCTAGGCAGATATATTCATGATTTTTATGGTTGAACTAACAATAATTAATATTTGTAATAGCCGTGGATCAATCAAATTCTATCCAAAGTGATTTTTGATATGGTAACCAGCCTTTGTTCAACTAGAATTTGCATTTGAAATTGTTATATGCTATAATGGAAGTCTTACAAGCCAATTTCTGTTTCTTTAAATCAGAAGCCTCTTCTGTCTTCATTTTCATAGTTTCACAAATATAAGAACAACTTCATGTTTTATAGCCAAAATTAAAAAAACAATACAAAACTCGAAGAAACTTTTTTTTTTTTTGAAACAGCATCTTGTTCTGTTTCTCAGGCTGGAGTGCAGTGGTACAATCACGGCTCACTGCAGCCTCAACCTCCCTGGCTTGAGCAGTCCTCCCACCTCAGCCTCCTAAGTAGCTGGGACCACAGGCATGTGCCACCCCGCCTGGATATATATATTTTTTAATTATTTGTTTTTTAGAGATAGGGTCTTGCCATGTTGCCCAGGCTGGTCTTGAACTCCTGGGCTCAAGCAGTCCTCCTGCCTCAGCCTCCCAAAGTGTAGGTATTATAGGCATAAGCCACCATGCCCAGCCCTTAATTTTCTATTTTTTTGTAGAGATGGGGGTCTCACCATGTTGCCCAGACTGGTCTTGAACTCTTGGGCTCAAGCAATCCTCCCACCTTGGCCTCCCAAAGTGCTGGGACACTTTTGTTCTTTAAGGCATTGATATAGTTTGAATATTTTCACCCAAATCTCAAGTTGAAATGTAATCCACAGTGTTGGAGGTGAGACCTGGTGGGAAGTGTTTGGGTCATGGGGGCAGATTCCTCATGTCTCGGTGCTGTCCTACCGATAGTTGAGTTCTCATGAGATCTGACTGTTTAAGAGTGTGTGGCACACCCAACCATCCCCCACCCACCCCACCATCCACCCCTCTCTTTTGCTCTTGCTCCTGCCATGTGATGTGCCTGCTCCCCCTTTACCTTCCGTCTTCTGGTCTTACTCTCTTGCCCAGGCTGGAGTGCAGTAGCCACCATCCTGGCTTACTGCAGCCTTGATCTCTTGGGCTCAAGCGATCCTCCCATCTCAGCCTCCTGAGTAGCTGGGACTACAGGCGCATGCCACCATACCTGACTAATTTTGTTTGTTTTTTGTAGAGACGGAGTCTCCCTGTGTTGCCCAGGTTGGTCTTGAACTCCTGGGCTCAAGCAATCCTCCTGCCTCTGCTTCCCAAAGTGCTGGGATTATAGGCGTGAGCTGCCACCCCTAGCTTCAGGTATTTCTTTATAGCAGTGCAAGAACAGCCTAATGCAGATACTAACAACTATTTACTTGGAATTGTTTTTCAACTTTCTAATGCTATCTTTTGTTGCTGAGGGAAGCTCTAGTGTAAGTGGTTTTGTTGTACACATAGAGGCAAAAATTCACATACAAAAATTAGTAACCTTTTTTTTTTTTTTTGAGACAGAGTCTCGTTCTGTAGCCCAGGATGGAGTGCAATAGTGTGATCACTGCTCACTGCAACCTTCACCTCCCAGGCTCAAGCTATTCTTATGATCACATGTTCTTTAGAGAGTTTCGCTTAAAAAAAATTTTTTTTTGGAGACAGGATCTCGCCCTGTCACTAGGTGAGTGCAGTGGTGCCATCTTGGCTCACTTCAGCCTCGACCTCCCAGGCTCAGGTGATCCTCCCATCTCAGCCTCCCAAGTAGCTGGGACCATAGGTATGTGCCACCATCCCCAGCTAGTTTTTGTATTTTTTTTGTAGAGACAGAGTTTCACCATGTTGCCCAGGCTGGTCTCAAACAACTAGGTTCAAGGGATCTGCCTGCCTTGGGCTCCCAAATTTCTGGGATTACAAGCATGAGCCACCATGCCCAGCCAATTTTTTTTTTTATTTTTGTGGAGCAGTTGAACTTGTTTTCCTTGGTCTCTAACCCAGGCATGTTTAAGGTACATTCTAAAATTGTCCTTTGTTTCTCTAAAAGAAGTTAACATTTTGAGGCTAGAAGCAGATGGCCACAGTACTAGTAAAATGGCCACAATAACAGAACTTTTTCCATTTCTCTGCATTGGAGATTGACAAGGTATGGAGGATAATGCTTGAAATGGATTGTTCTGTTTCTTCGGTTATATGGTAGCTGATTTTAAGCTCTTCTGTTATTTTCTACTTAAGGTTGCTTCCTAAGTCTCTGCACAAACTTTTGAGATTGTGCTGGCTAAGTTCTTGACTAAGAAAAAAATAGTAGCCTTAGGAGACAAGCCTGTTAGTGTAATATTTGAGTTGAGGCAACATCTTTAAAGCGGTAGTGCTGAGATCCTGTGGATTGTGAGTGGAAGCAAAAATTGGAGTTTAGAAGATAATATATTTTTATTAATTCCCCTTTAGTATACCTCCACCTATTTGTTCTTTCTTCTGCCTCATTAAGAGGTAACGATAATTTTTTTTTTTGAGACAGAGTCTTGCTCTGTCGCCCAGGCTAGGGTGCAGTGCAGTTGGCATGATCTCAGCTCACTGTAACCTCTGCCTCCTGGGTTCAAGCAATTCTCCTGCCTTAGTCTCCCGAGTAGCTGGGACTACAGGCATGCGCCACCATGCCCAGCTAATTTTTTTGTATTTTTAGTAGAGATGGGGTTTTGCCATGTTGGCCAGGCTGGTCTCAAACTCATGACCTCAGGTGATCTGCCCGTGGCCTCCCAAAGTGCTGGGAATACAGGCGTGAGCCACTGTGCCTGGCCTAACAATAGTTCTTTAAAAAGCCTGTATTGGCTGGGCATGGTGGCTCACACCTGTAATCCTAGCACATTTGGGAGGCTGAGGCAGGAGAATTGCTTAAGCACAGGAGTTCAAGACCATCCTGGGCAACAAAGTGAAACCTGTTTCTCTTTTTTTTTAACCCTGTATTGTTTAAAGACCTTATTTGCATTAATTTGTACCTTCCAGCAATATGTGGGTCTAAACATTAAGGTGATTTTCTTAGCCTGTTTTGTGCTGCTATCACAATACCAGAGACTGATTAATTTATAAAGAACCAAAATTTATTTCTGACAGTTACAGAGGCTGGGAAGACCAAGATCAAGGCACCAGCATCTGGTGAGGGCTGCTGCTGAGACACTGTGTCCTCCATAGAGGGGTAATACTGTGTTCTCACCTGGCAGAGGGCGGAAGGGCAAAGAGAGACAAACTTCCTCATCAAACTCTTCTACAGTGGCATTAATCCATTGATCAGGGCACAGCCCTCATGACCTAAACATCTCTTAAAATGCCCCACCTCTCAACATTTGCACTGGGGATTACATTTCCAGCACATGAATTTGAGACACATCAGACCATATCAGTGATGTTATTTTGTTCCTTTCACAGAAATGTCTTTTGGAAAAGTCCTCTTTAACATGTTGTGACTATAGTCAGTTATTTTTCCGACTTCAAATCCCTGTGATGGAAAGATGATGCTCATCACTTAGCACCCTGAAGTTTCAGTCAACCTCATGGTAGTATGCTATTGCTGTTTCTCCCATCTTTCCAGTTTTCTGTCTTTCTGACCTTGCATTCATTTTTATACATTTAGTTATATTTTTGGGCAGTTTGTGTTGGGGACAGTGAGACACATGAGAATGAATCACAACTGGATTCTACACCCAAAGGATTTTGCCACCTAGTAGGAGAGTGTTGCATAACCATCTGTGCAAACAAGAAAGACACTGTCAACTGCCTAGTAGAATGATAAAATGCTGTGTAAGCTCAAGTCAGGAAGACATAATTTGCAACCAAAGGATAGAGCAAATTTTCTAGAGGAGAGCAATTTCGAACTCCTGATGTCAAGTGATCCACCCACCTCAGCCTCCGAAGTGCTGGGATTACAGGCGAGAGCCACTGTGCCCCTCCCTGAGTAGAGTGATCTGAACAGAGCATCCACAGATGGGCGGTGTTTGGACATTCAGAAATGGAGAAGGTGTTCCAGGAGAAGCAAGCAGCATGAGCAGTTGGGATACCTCGTAGTTTGTGTAAGGACACTGAGCAGTTGAGCTTGTCTGGAGTCTAACGTGAGGGAGAGGGGTGAGGAGCAGAGAAGCTAATGGGTGACTGAGCATAAGGAATGTGGAAGGCTGGAATGGGAGTGATGATCAGCGGGGACTCAGGAAATCTAATTTTTCCTCTCGATCGAGGTAAGATTGCAGTGAGATGATTTGGGAGGGGGCTACTGCAGTAGTCAGGCTAGATAATGAAGTCGCACTTACTTGTGGAAGTAAAAATGGAAGGAAAGGGGAGATCAAAACAACTTGGAAACAGAGTGATAAGATGTGAGCGGCAGGGGAGAGGAGAGAGCCAAAGATGTTTCACCCCTGGGTTTCTGGAAGAGTGGTGGTGCCAGTGACGGAAGTGGGCAGCATGGCTGTGAACACTCTACAGTTTGGAGAGGGCCAGTGGGTTCTGAGTACACATAGTTTGAGCTGGGATCAGGGGCCAGGGGGAGATGGCCAGCTCCCCTTCCGCTAGCACTCAGAAGAGAGGCCCAAGCCGGAGGTACAGATGGGGAGGCTGTGGGCATAGAATTGAATGTTGAAGCCAGCTGTAAATGATCAAGGAAGAAAGCTAAGAACATATTTGGGGGAACAGCTGTTATCTATTTGTATTTTATTTTATTTTATTTTATTTTATTTTATTTTATTTTTTTATTTTATTTTATTTTATTTTATTTTATTTTATTTTATTTATTTTATTTATTTTATTTATTTTATTTATTTTATTTTATTTATTTTATTTATTTTATTTTATTTTATTTTATTTTATTTTATTTTATTTTATTATTTTATTTTATTTTATTTATTTTATTTTATTTTAGTTACAGGCCCAAAAAGAGACCTTAAATCATGTTTCCAGAGTCTCCCAGCTAGCAAATTATGGAGCTGGTATTCCAGTGCTATCGGGCTAGCTCTCCTCCCCGACGCTCTCTGAAGGGGAAAGTCAGCCCCTTCCCCAACCCTGGCGTTGTGAGGGCCTGAGCATGTGCACTTGCCTCCCCGTCATGCTCATTGTAATGACTTGTTTGTGTCCCCTTCTGGAAGGTATGCTCCCGTATCTACTTCCTTAATTCCAAAAAGCTCAGTCCCTAGCACAGCCTGCTTCCCAGTGTCAGCACATAGTAAATATTACTGAATGAAGTTAGTACTCCAAAGAGACTGAGGGGGTCTAGTGAGAAGCAGTATAGCAGTTGGTTAAGGCTGTGGCTTTGGGAGCCAGACTTCCTAGGTTCTAATCTTGACTCCAAGCTGTGTGATCTTAGGCAGGTCATTTATCCTCTCTCTCCTTCAGTTTCCTCATCTGTAAAATGCATTTTTGCATTGAGAGGATTGCAGAACAGAACCTATGTAAAGCACTTAGAATAGTCCTTGGCATATACTAAGTACTTAGTAAATTTTAGTTAGGCTTCTTTTATAACTAGAAGGAAAGACTGAAGATAAACAACATAGGCTATTTCCAGAAGGAAGTGTCCTGGGGAAATGAACAAGAGAACAGAGGTTAGCTGCAAATGAGGAAGATGGAGATAGGCTGAGAGCTTGGGAAGAAATTTCTGATCATAAGGAATGTCTGCTGCTGATTTTTTAAATACAAGAGGATATAGGTAACCAGCATATGTGGTTACTCTTACCCAACCAAGTTTCCAAATATTCGAGGATGCATTCAGTTATGGGAATCCTGTTAGTTGAAAATATAAGGCCGGGCATGGTGGCTCATGCCTGTAATCCCAGCTCTTTGGGAGGCTGAGGTGGGCGGATCACGAGGTCAGGCGATCGAGACCATCCTAGCTAACACCGTGAAACCCTGTCTCTACTAAAAATGCAAAAATTAGCCAGACGTGGTGGTGCACACCTGTAATCCCAGCTACTCAGGAGGCTGAGGCAGGAGAATCACTTGAACCCGGGAGGCAGAGGTTGCAGTGAGCCGAGATTGTGCCACTGCACTCCAGCTTGGGCAAGAGCAAAACTCCGTCTCAAAAAAAAAAAAAAAAAGAGAAAAATATAAATTTACCTTTGCTTTGAAACTTCAAAAAATTCTCCTACATTTTATCTTACATACTACAAAGCATCATTTAATGGAAGAAAATATATCATGGTATCCTGACTTAAAGAAGATACTTTGGGATAGAAACTACTTAAGAAAATAAAATATAGGCCAGGCGCAGTGGCTCACGCCTGTAATCCCAGCACTTTGGGAGGCCAAGGTGGGTGGATCACCTCAGGTCAGGAGTTCGAGACCACTCTAACCAATATGGTGAAACCCCATCCCTACTACATCCAAAAAATTAGCCAGGTGTGGTGGCGCATGCCTGTAATCCCAGCTACTTAGGAGGCAGAAGCAGGAGAATCGCTTGAACCCAGGAGGCAGAGGTTGGAGTGAGCCGAGATTGTGCCATTCCACTCCAGCCTGGGCAATTCTGTCTCAAGAAAAAAAGAAAGAAAAGAAAATATAGAGCTGGGTGCAGTGGTGCACACCTGTATTCGCAGCTACTCAGAGGCAGAAGCAGAAGGACCCTTTGAGCCCAGGAGTTTGAGGCCAACATGGGAAACATAGCAAGACCCCATGTCTAAAAGAAAAGAAAATATGACTATAAGTATAAAGAATTAGTAGACTCTGGTCCTTTATCAGAAGATGTGCATGTCCCACTGTAGACCCAGCTACTGGGGAGGCTGAGGCAAGAGAATCGCTTGAACCTGGGAGGCAGAGGTTGCAGTGAGCCAAGATTGCGCCACTGCACTCCAGCCTGGGTGACAGAGTGAGACTGTGTCTCAAAAATAAATAAAAAATGATAAAAAATATAAACTATTTTTCAACATAAGCTCCATCAAATTCAAGATACTTTTGCTAAACTAAAAAGTAGAGGATGGGCGCAGAGGCTCACACCTGTAATCCCAGCACTTCTGGAGGCTGAGGCAGGTGGATCACTTGAGGTCAGGAGTTTGAGACCAGCCTGGCCAACATGGTGAAACCCCATCTCTACTAAAATTACAAAAATTAGCTGGGCATGGTGGGGGGCGCCGTAATTCCAGCTACTCTGGAGGCTGAGGCATGAGAATCGCTTGAACCCAGGAGGCGGAAGCTGTACTGAGCCGACATCGCGCCACTGCACTCCAGCCTGGATGACGGAGTGAGACTCTATCTCAAAAAACACTAAATAAATAAAAAGTAGAAATCTAAGAAGCTAGACCATATGTCACCTCCACAGTACATAGAGGCCAAATATACTGTCCCACAATGCTTATTACTCTCAGTACCAATGTCTATTCTTGAAGACTAAAATCTTCCCTCCCCTTATTCCTTTAATTGCAGTCCTTTCTTTGTACTGGTCAACATTATACCTGCTCTTTCCACTGACTGTCACTCCTTAACCCATTGCAGTTTAGCTTTCACCTTGTTATTTGCCTGCAACTATTCTTTCTGAGGCCATCCATGCCCTTTGATGTCATTCTATTTAGCCTCTCTTGAACCAGTCAAGACTGATAACATTGCATTGTTTCTTTTCTCCACTTTATTCCCATATGATGCTTTTTCTGGGCTCTTTGTCAGTTCCAATTCTTCATCATCACTCCTCAGCCTTCTCTTTTGTTCTTACTCTGTACATGAGCTCCCAGTTTAGGATCCTTCTATGCCCTGGCTTAAACATTGACCTCCCTGGAGATTAACTTGAAAATTGTACCTACTGCTCTGATTACTCTCAAACTTTGGCCTCACATCTCCTGCTCCTTCCTGAGGACTCCCACCTTGATATCCAGCCATCATTCTAAATTTAGCTTGTCTAAATCCAAAGTTAACATCTTTTCCTTTTTGACCAGCTCTCACTGTGAACTTTTGCCTTTATTCACTTGCTCTTTTAATTATTCATTCTTTGAACAAATATGAAGACTCCCAACTCACACCAGTATCCGTAGTCATCTTGATTTCTCCCAGTGTTGCAGGTTTTCCTCACTTGCTGACCAAACTCATGCAATCATTTCCTAACAGATAACCCTCCGGAGGTTGCAGTGAGCCGAGATCACACCACTGCACTCCAGCCTGGGAGACAGAGCAAGACCTTGTCTCAAAGAAAATAAAAATAATAAAAATAAAAATCCTTATTGCTGGAGATAATGGTTCAATGCATATAGCAGAACCTGGATAAATTGTTGCCCATTATGATGCTAGAAGACGCCAAATAATATATTTGATTTTTTTTTGAGTGAGGGAGAATAAGGAACCTTCAAATATATCTTGGTATTCAAAATTGGCAATTTTTTCTATAACTCCAATTTGTCACAGAATATGTTAGATTGTCAGCATTTCATTAATCCGTGTTCTGTCTCCCCTAAAAATTGTGTGCAGAAAAAAGTATGCACAGAATATTAATCATTAAGAACATGCATCTAGCGCCTTTTTTGTTTTATTTAATTTTTATATACAGATAGAATAGCAGTGCCAAAATTGTATTTGAATTTTGGTATCAAAAGTATAATGTGATGTCCTGCTTGTGGATATTACCTACATTTCCCTCTGAAAATGATAAGCTTGAAGCTCTGTTTACTTGTATTATTATCACTTGTTTCTCTTATCATACTCCTGTTTAATTAACAGGTTACTTGACAAAATAAATGTATTCCTGAAAAGTTGGCAGTAAATCTGATTTATATTAATTAGTCATATTTTCTTATTGACACAAATTACCAAATTAGAGATGCTTTTTTTGGAAAGTGTTTTGGTTGTGAGACTAAATTAAAACCTTGCTTTAAAATGCAATGGAATAATGAAGTATTAAAATCACATCTTCTTAAGTATCTGGATAAAACAATGCTTTAAAAAATAAATTACTAAGATTTTAGCAATTCTTGATGCCACTGAACTAGTCTGGTAAAAAAAAAAAGTGTTTTTTTAAAGGCATAATTTCAGCTTCAGAATAGTAGCATTCTCAGTAGAAGTTTCAGTTTTGCTTTGGAACAATTTCTAACTGGTGCAGTTTTGTTTTGGTAAAAGCGAAAACTTGCGTCGCAATTTAGAAGTGGGTAGTCCACTAGAAGCAGCCTTGGACCGTGAGGAAATGGTTGAGCTCAAGCTGTTTCTCCAAAGTAGAAGTGTAACCTCGGAAAATCATCTCACCTTTCTGGACCTTCGGTTCCTCATCTGTAAACTAAGAGAATTAGGCCAGATTAGTAGTTTCTTTTTTCTTTCTTTCTTTTTCTTTTTTTTTTTTTTTTTTGAGACAGTGTGTCCGTCCCTGTGTTGCCCAGGCTGGAGTGCAGTGGTAGGATCTCGGCTCACTACAACCTCCGCCTCCCGGGTTCAAGCGATTCTCCTGCCTCAGCCTCCTGAGTAGCTGGGATTACAGGCACGCATCGCCAGGCCCGGCTAATTTTTTTGTATTTTTAGTAGAGACGGAGTTTTGCCATGTTGGCCAGGCTGGTCTCGAACTCCTGACCTCAAGTGATCCACCCACCTCGGCCTTCCAAAGTGCTGGGATCATAGGCGTTAGCCACTGTGCCCGGCCCATGTGGTTTTTTTGCTGTTAAAGGAAATGATATATACAGTGGTCTATTTCCAAGACAAAGTGCCTTGAATCAGCTTAGGTCAGCAAACTACAGAAGAAACAGCATATACTAGGCCTCTGCTTGGATAGCCAACACCTGCTTGTCGGCCTCCCCCCTCCCCCTCCAACCCCCTTAGTTGCCTTTACCCGAACCAAAGTTTAGTCTAAGATGAAAGTTTACTAGTCTGCAAGATAGCTCGCTTTGTCTATTCTTATCAGCCTGCCCAGCTACTTAGGTCCTAAGTCAAATACCCGAAGAGCCCCTGAGCTAACTAGGATTGCAATGCATTGTGGGCTGCAAAAAAAAAAATGCAGCAAGACAACCCTAAAGAAACCATCTAAATCCCCTACCCAACAATCATAGGCGATGTCTGGGAAGATTGTGACCCCATCGTCCTCAGCCTATGAGGAACTGGGGAAGGGACCTGCGCACTAGGGGACAAATTGCTTGTTGAAACTGTGCTGGGTGTTCCCATTCATCAGACACCCAATCTTGCAAGACCATCATTAAAAGTCTCACTTTCACGGTTCTCCCGGTCTCTTGAGTCCATTCTTTGGGTGTGGACAGGTGAGTTTTTTTCTCACAATGTCAAGTAGCATTTCCAGATCCCTGTGTTAGGAATGGTCTAAAGTGTCCTGTTATGCTGTGTCCAATGGGCTTTCACTAGCCCTTTGCCCATGGTAGATTCCCGTCTTAATGAACCAATACTGCCCATGTGACCTCTTTCCCTTGTGGGGACTCAGCTTGCTAATCAGAGCCCTTTTGACTATTTTTACGGACGTCTGCATGTCACTCTTCCCTCTCTTTCATAATCTTTCCCAAGAGACTCTTTAATTCCACCATGGCCTAGGGTAATGACTCCACCATGATGTCCTCGTCATCTGTGCAAGTCTCCACATAGGCCACATAGGCAAAGCTTAACCGCAACTGATCTAAGTCTTGGAATAGTGCCCTGTGATTGTCCCAGAACATGAGGAGATGCCCTAAGGCCATTTCCCACTCACCTCCCCATCTTCCATGGAGGCCGTCATGGGACACTCTCATTGTTTCTTGGGTTCTGATTGAGGTATGAGGCCTTGTCTTTACCCTTAGGGAATAGCTGCAGGCTATAAAATTGCTTAGTTGCAGCATGCCACAGGCTTCTCAGCTAGAGTGTGCTATCATCCATGCTGTCATCTGGCCACTTTTGTTTCAGTGTTGCCTTATGGGACAAAGGACATGAGGAACTGGCCTCTTTGTTTTTTGTTTTTGGGGTTGCTGTTGTTGTTTGATGTCTAAGCAATAAACTAAGTTCAACAGGGTATAAGTCTTGTTGTTTCTCTACTGGACAAATCTGCCAGCCTTGCTGGACACATGGCAGTTATCAGTGGACATGTTATATCTGTCCCTGCCACTCTTCCAATTTTTTTCCAAGTATGCTGCAGAAAAATTTTAAAAGTACTAACATGCTATGAAACAAATTAGATCGGAGAGTACTTTCCCAGATTGTATTTTAAAGGCATCTTCTCAGCTGTGGCCATTCCTCATTATTGGAAGCAACTTACTCATCCTTTCTGAAAAGTGTTTCCTCTGGAGCAAACTTGTAACCCAGTCACTGGTTGGTGTCACGAAAATGTTTGGAGTAGTTTCAGTACCATTAAGAATGTTTGGGGCCGGGCGCGGTGGCTCACGCCTGTAATCCCAGCACTTCGGGAGGCCGAGGTGGGCGGATCAGGAGGTCAGGAGATCGAGACCATCCTGGCTAACATGGTGAAACCCCGTCTATATTAAAAATACAAAAACAATTAGCTGGGCGTGGTGGTGGGTGCCTGTAGTCCCAGCTACTCAGGAGGCTGAGGCAGGAGAATGGCATGAACCAGGGAGGCGGAGCTCGCAGTGAGCTGAGATTGCGCCACTGCACTCCAGCCTGGGCAACAGAGCGAGACTCCATCTCAAAAAAAAAAAAAAAAAGAATGTTGTGGAATAATGACCTTGGAGCCTAAGTTCATCAGTTATTCAAGGACTAATTATCTGTTCTGTTTATTACCCTAGCTTCTCTGCTCTCCTAACTACTCCACTGACTGCTTGTCTTACAGACATTTTATGCTGTATAAGCACATGTGAGTAGGGGAAATAAGGAACTTCAGTCAGTACTGATGCTTCAAAAGTTGTAATTGAATAATTTAGGGGTAGGAGGCTTTTTATTTAAAAGATCTTTTTTTTTCTTTTTTTTTTTTTTTACATCCCCACCCCCTGGGAGGCTTTTTAAGGAACTAGTGGGATTTAGTTATTCTAGTAGTCCTAACGTTGCCTCGGTATTAATAAACAGTGCACAATATTCTTAAACGTTTATCTCTATTTGAAGTGTGGAATATCAGAGCTGGAAGGTTAATTTAGACTAACTCCCGTAATGCAAGAACCATCCTTCACGTGTGAAGTTTTCTAATTTTTTTTTTTTTTTTAGATGGAGTCTCACTCTGACACCCAGGCCAGAGTGCAGTGGTGTGATCTCGGCTCACTGCAACCTCCACCACCCGGGTTCAAGCGATTCTCCTGCCTCAGCCTCCTGAGTAGCTGGGACTACAGGCTACTAGTCCCAGTGCCACCACACCCGGCTAATTTTTGTATTTTTAGTAGAGACAGGGTTTCACCATATTAGCCAGGCTGGTCTCGAACTCCAGACCTTGTGATCCGCCTGCCTTGGACTCCCAAAGTGCTGGAATTACAGGCATGAGCCACTGCACCTGGCTAAGTCTTCTATCTTTACTCCCTCTCAAGTAGCCCATCCCATTACTGGATATCTCTATTAAGAACATATTATACTTAGATGAAATCTAGAAATTCCAGCCATTGGTGTGTATTCTGCATTTGGGGGTCACATATCGAGTATTACTTTTCTTCCCCACAATAAAGATCTGGGTTCTGCCATAGACTTGTTTAACAAATGTTTTAACTTCTCCGGCCTTCCATTTCTTTCTCTGTGAAAGAAAGAAGTTGAATAATAGTATTTAAAGTATCTTGTAGGTTTTTTTTTTTTTTTTTTTTTTGAGATGGAGTTTCACTGTTGTCGCCCAGGCTGGAGTGCAATGATGTGATCTTGGCTCACTGCAACCTCCACCTCCTGGGTTCAAGCGATTCTACTGCCTCAGCCTCCTGAGTAGCTGGGATTACAGGTGTGTGCCACCACACTTGGCTAATTTTTGTATTTTTAGTAGAGATGGGGTTTCACCATGTTGGCCAGGCTGGTCTCGAACTCCTGACCTCAGGTGATCCACCTGCATTGGCCTCCCAAAGTGCTGGCATTACAGGCGTGAGCCACCGTGCCCGGCCCAGTATCTTCTAGTTCTAAAAGTCTAGGGTCCTTAGATTTTAGTATAGTCAAGTCAGTGTTTCCATTTATTGATTTCAGGTTATTCCTTAAAAATTGAATTATAGGCTGAACACAGTGGCTCATGGCTGTAATTTCAGCACTTTGGGAGGCTGAGGCAGGAGGATTGCTTGAGCCTGAGTTTGAGGCCAGCCAGGGCAACATGGCGAAACCTCATCTCTACAAAAAGTACAAAAATTAGTAGGTGTGGTGACATGCACCCTGTAGTCCCAGCTATTCAGGAGGCTGAGGTGGGAGGATTGCTTGAGCTTGGGAGGCAGAGGTTGCAGTTACCTGAGACAGTACCACTGCACTCCAGCCTGGGCAACAGAGCAAGAACCTGTCTCAAAAAAAAAAAAAAAAAAAAAAGAATTATAAAGGGTCTGAGATATGGTCTGAGAGATGATTTTATGGTCACTAAATTCAAGTATACCCTTAATGCTGTCTGGCAAAGTGAAAGTGTCCCTTCACTCTTCTCCCTCTCCTAGACGATACATTCATACTTTTTCCTCTTTTCTCAGACCTCAACTCATACCTTGTCCTCACCTTTAGCAGATATCGTTGTTTCCTATTTCACTCAGAAAATTTAAGAAATCAAAGAAAAGTTCTACATTCTCCCACTACACACTGGAAGAGACATCTGTTCCTGTTCACTCCGCCTTCTTGTTTCCATGGATGATGGGTCTGTGCTCCTAGCAAGGGCCTGCCCTTCCACTCGGACATGGATCCCACACCCTTTCATTCATCAAAGACACCTTGCTATGGCCTGAATGGCGATGTCCTCCCCAAATTCCTATGTTGAACTCCTAACCCCCAGGGTGGTGATATCAGGAGGTTGGGCTTTGGGAGATGATTAGGTCATGAGGGTGGAGCCCTCCTGATAGGATAGGTGCCCTTATGGAAGAGGTGCAAGGGAGCTCCTGTACTCCTTCCACCAGGTAAGGCTAGGGCAAGAAGGTCCCAACTATGAACCAGAAAGTGGGCCCTTCCCAGGCTGGATTTTCCAGCTTCCTGATCTTGGACTTTTAGCCTCCAGAGTTGTGAGAAATAAACTTCTTTTGTTTATAAGCCCCCAGTTATGGAATTTGTTATAATAGTCCAAATGGACTGAGACATGCTGCTCTAGTAATTCTCCCTTCTCTCCTCTATTGTAAGTGTTTCCCTATCTAAAGGATCATTTCCATTTACATACAAACATGCTATTATTATGTTTCACATTTTAAAACTAAAACCAATAACACAGTGTGTATATATATACACACACACATATACATATGTGTGTATATATATCAACTTGAAACATATATATACATATTGATAGAAAGGTGTTGGCAGATTTGGACAGGAAGGGATCTAGGACAGGTACCCAGGACAACTGTCTTCAAGTATTTAAAGAATAGGGATTACATGTATTTCATGAAGTTCTGGAAAATAGTACATGGATTAGTGGCTGAACATTAAATGAAGGTAAATTTCAACTTCATAGCAATAACTTTGTAATATTTCTTAAAAATTGGAGAGGATGTCTTATTCGGGTAGTGAATTCTTTCTGGAAATTTTCAAGGAAAGTCTGGCTGTCCTTGTTTCAGAGGAATTCCTGCTTTGATAGGTGTATTAGTCCGTTTTCATGCTGCTGATAAAGACATACCCAAGACTAGGAAGAAAAAGAGGTTTAATGGACTCACAGTTCTATGTGGCTGGGGAGGCCTCACAATCATGGCAGAAGGCAAGGAGGGGCAAGTCACATCTTACATGGATGGCAGCAGGCAAAAAAAGAAAGAGCTTGTGTAAGGAAACTCCCCCTTATAAAACCATCAGATCTCATCAGACTTATTCACTATCATGAGAACAGCATGGGAAAGACCTGCCCTCATGATTTGATTGCCTCCCACTGGGTTCCTCCCACAACACATGGGAATTCAAGATGAGATTTGGGTGGGGACACAGCCAAACCATATCATCGGGGTGAAGTCCTATAGATCTATGACTTCCATAAACAAATCCTGTGGGCAAGTCAGAAGTGATCCTCTCATGCTGGCTTTACCTGAGTAAAGACTGTGGTTTCAAGCCTGCTCCTATCTCTAAGCTAAGGCAGGGACATTAAACTCCAGAATTCATCTTCTTGTGTATAACCTGGGAACCAAGAGTAAAGAAGCAAGAAGGCAAATAGAGGTTAAGAGCTTAGAACTCTTTCCTTTTTTCTCTTTATATTTACTTACTTTCCTTTTTCCTTCTTATTTTCTCCTTTATTTTCTTCCTTTTGTGTCCGGAATTGGTGGGTTCTTGGTCTCACTGACTTCAAGAACGAAGCCGCAGACCCTCGCGGTGAGTGTTACAGTTCTTAAAGGTGGCGTGTCCGGAGTTTGTTTGCTCCTTCTGATGTTCGGATGTGTTCGGAGTTTCTTCCTTTTAGTGGGTTCATGGTCTCGCTGGCTCAGGAGTGAAGCTGCAGACCTTCGCAGTGAGTGTTACAGTTCTTAAGGCTACCTGCCTGGAGTTGTTCGTTCCTCCTGGTGGGTTTGTGGTCTCGCTGGCTTCAGGTGTGAAGCTGCAGACTGTCACGGTGAGTGTTACAGTTCATAAAGGCAGCGTGGACCCAGAGTGAGCAGTAGCAACATTTATCACAAAGAGCGAAAGAACAAAGCTTCCACAGCGTGTAACTGGACCGAGTGGGTTGCCACTGCTAGCTCGGGCAGCCTGCTTTTATTCTCTTATCTGGCCCCACCCACATCCTGCTAATTGGTCCATTTTACAGAGAGCTGATTGGTCCATTTTGACAGGGTGCTGATTGGTGCGTTTACAATCCCTGAGTGAGACACAAAAGTTCTCCATGTCCCCACTAGGTTAGCTAGATACAGAGTGTCGATTGGTGTATTTACAAACCCTGAGCTAGACACAGAGTGCTGATTGGTGCATTTACAAACCTTTAGCTAGACATAAAGATTCTCCAAGTCCCCACCAGACTAACTAGATAGAGTGCCGATTGGTGCATTCACAATCCCTTAGCTAGACATAAATGTTCTCCAAGTCCCCGCCAGACTCAGGAGCCCAGCTGGCTTCACCCAGTGGATCCCGCACAGGGGCCGCAGGTGAAGCTGCCTGCCAGTCCCGCACCATGCGCCAGCACTCCTCAGCCCTTGGGCCGTGGATGGGACTGGGCGCCGTGGAGCAGGGAGCAGTGCTCGTCAGGGAGGCTCGGGCTGCACAGGAGCCCACAGCAGGTCGGGGGAGGCTCAGGCATGGTGGGCTGCAGGTCCCCAGCCCTGCCCTGCAGGGAGGCAGCTAAGGCCCAGCCAGAAATCGAGCACAGCAGCTGCTGGCCCAGGTGCTAAGCCCCTCACTGCCCAGGGCTTGCGGGCCTGCCGGCTCCCAGTGTGGGGCTTGCCGAGCCCATGCCCACTGGGAACTCACGCTGGCCTGCAAGCGCTGCGCGCAGCCCCGGTTCCCGCCCGCGCCTCTCCCTCCACACCTCCCCGCGAGCTGAGGGAGCCGGCTCCGGCCTTGGCCAGCCCAGAAAGGTGCTCCCACAGTGCAGCGGTGGACTGAAGGGCTCCTCAAGCGCGGCCAGAGTGAGCGCCAAGGCCGAGGAGGCGCCGAGAGCGTGCGAGGGCTGCCAGCATGCTGTCACCTCTCTCTTTCCCTCTTTGACTTCTTTTTTTTTTTTTTTTTCCCCGAGTCGGAGTTTCACCCTTGTTGCCCAGGCTGGAGTGCAATGGCACAATCTCAGCTCACTGCAACCTCCACCTCCCGGGTTCCAGCGATTCTCCTGCCTCAGCCTCCTGAGTAGCTGGGATTACAGGCACGCGCCACCACGCCCTGATAATTTTGTATTTTTAGTAGACACGGGGTTTCTCCATGTTGGTCAGGCTGGTCTCAAACTCCGGACCTCAGGTGATCCGCCCGCCTCGGCCTCCCGAAGTTCTGTGATTACAGGCGTGAGCCACCACGCCCCATGACTTCATTTTTGATACTAAATTCAGGCCACAGGATTGGTGAGCTTGGCTGTGGCCTGAGGGTCCGGAACCTGGATCTCAGCAGCACCCAGTCAAGGAAGGGCGGTGAGGAAGCAGGCATGGGAAGTAGTTGAGGAGCTCTAGGGCTTCTCCCTTGGGATGCCTCCCACCCACCAGTCTTGGCCACCTTACTTCGCAACGTGCTTGCTAGATTCTCTGTTGGAGGGCTCCGAACTGCAAAAGCCCTCCTTCCCCTCCTGGAACCATGGCCCTTCTTGTTTTTGATAAGCAGACCTCAAAAGACATGATGTTTCTCTTCTCCGTTTCTGAGACTCCGTTTCTGAGTCTCTATGACCTCTTAGAAGACTCTCAATAGGAGCCAATAGAGTAGAATAATTCCCCGTAGTGTTGGCTGCTTCGCGGCATGGCTGCTTAGGGAGTCCAGAACCACTGAGGAGCCCCAGGGGCCATGCTGTCTTGTACATAGCCACTGCCCTTATGGGACTACTGAGCCCTTGAAGCCTGGTTAGCTGGAATAAGAGGTTCCTTAAGGGTAAATACCTGCCAGCTTTCGAATACTTCGTATGAAAAAAAGAATGTAAAACACCTCATAAATAAAATTTTCTATTGGTTTCATATTGCAATGATAACATTTTAAGTTATTAAGTTAAATAATATATTATTAAAATGAATTTTACCTGTTTCTTAACTTTTTAGTGCAGCTACCAGAATAGTTAAAATTATGTACAGGGGCTTGCATTTTTGCCTTGCTTTATGTTTCTGTTGAACAGTGATGCCTTAATATCTTGCTACTTTAAAGTGTGGTCCCTGTACCACCAGC
Organism: Homo sapiens; assembly: GCF_000001405.40. NCBI lineage: Eukaryota > Metazoa > Chordata > Mammalia > Primates > Hominidae > Homo > Homo sapiens. The sequence continues at coordinate 205,975,896 of NC_000002.12, read as the reverse complement.
AGCGGCAGCAGCAATAGCAGCAGCATTTCCTGACAGCTTGTTAGAGATGCAGCGTGTCAGTGCCCACCCCAGACCTAAAGGATCAAAATCTGCATTTTAACCAGATGCCCAGGGTTTCAGGTGCAATGCAAGTATGAGAAGTGCCTCTCCCTCTGCCACCATAGAGGCCTTCCTGTAGGTTTAGCATATCCATCTGCTACCAGGAATGCATTCTAGAATGGCTACTGCACTGTGGCATGCTAAGCAGCACGTACAAGGCTGTCAATATATTGCTGCTGAAACTGTTATTGTTTTCCTGTCTCCCAGTATGGACTGTTTGGGTCAAGTTGAACTTCCAGAGAGAGACTGGTGTTTGATAACATTGAACACATTGGGTTGGGAGATGGGGTTGGGGAGAAACAGGGTGTGTCACAGGAGAGGAGGAAGTACAGAGAACAAGACAAAGTCCTTGTTTGTGCACTCCAGTTAATGTTTAACTTTACCTTGGAGAAAGAAGTGGTTGAGAGGGTGGACTTTAGTTTCTGGTTCTTTTTCTGAAAAAATATGTGGACTTAGTTTGATTATCCTCCTGTCTTGAAGAATTGCAGCTGTTGGGAATACATTGGGCCATTTTATACCCAAGTCTCGTGAACTAGGGGACTGAGCCAAGTAGGGAAAGGTCTGGGCTTTTCCTTTGTGGTCTGGTTTTCTGCTCTGCTCTGGATGAATAAACAAGTCATTTAGCCACATGAAACCTCAGTGAGATATCCCACCTCTGAATTAGGAATTTGTGTTTTGAAAACGGGAATGAATAAATGACTCAAGTAGAATGTTTAATAGCACTATTGAGCTATAGTTTACATGCCATAAAATTCACTCATTTTAAGTGCACAATTTATAACAGAATTTTTATTATAAACAAGTAGAAAAGTAATGACACTTTTCTCAGTCCTCTTGGATCAGATTGAATCATATGAAATTGTGGATGTTTAACTGTTTTTGACCTACAATGTGATTCAATCATAACTGAAATGCCCTTTTTCAAAATTCTTTCAGAGCAAGAAAATATTTTCCCAGAGAATTTTCCAGCTAATGAGATGTCCTCCCACATTCCGTATCTCTCTTTGAAGTAAACTGTAATAGATGTGTTGCTGTGTATATTTTATTCCTTTATACCTTCATTTTGAAACAAACTTTAAATAACCTCTAAACTGGACAAAATTACTTTTCCTTTGCAGAAACCACATCTTTATGTCTTCTTTATAAACTTTTCTTTTCTTTTCTTTTCTTTTTGAGACGGAGTCTCGCTCTGTCACCCAGGCTGGAGTGCAGTGGCGCGATCTCGGCTCACTGCAGGCTCCGCCCCCTGGGTTCACACCATTCTCCTGCCTCAGCCTCCCGAGTAGCTGGGACTACAGGCGCCTGAGACCACGCCCGGCTAATTTTTTGTG